>NC_000016.10:28801693-29116900 GCF_000001405.40 Homo sapiens
AATTTGGCTGGGCGTAGTGGCTCACGCCTATAATCCCAGCACAACATGGTGAAACCCCATCTCTGCTAAAGGCACAAAAATTAGCCCAGTGTAGTGGTGTGCACCTGTAATCCCAGCTACTTGGGATGCTGAGGCATGAAAATTGTTTGAATCCAGGAGGCAGAGGTTGCAGTGAGCCAAGATTGCGCCACTGCACTCTATCCTGGGCGACGGAGTGAGACTCAGTCTCAAAATAATAATAAATTGTTCTTGGTTCTTCCATGTATAAATGGTGTTCCATGACAGGTGGTGGTTGGCTCATCCCACAACTCCATCTCTGAGAGCCTTTCCAGAGGTAACCATTGGATTTATGATTAATCTAAACACTTTATCCATTCTTCTCATTTTGACACGCAGAATATTAAGAAGAAATATATTCAACGGTTGAGATTTAATAAAATTGATCATTTTTACTGCTTCAACAAGGACATTCTGAAATGAAACTGTGGCCAGGTGTGGTGGCTCACACCTATAATCTCAACACTTTGAGAGGCCAAGGTGGGAGGATCGCTTGAGCCCAGGAGTTCGAGACAAGCCAGGGCAACATAGTGAGGACCTCATCTTTACAAAAAATAAATAAATAAATAAACATTAGCCGGGCATGGTGGTACACACCTGTAGTCCCAGCTACTTGGGAGGCTGAGGTGGGAGGGTTACTTGAGCCTGGGAGTTCGAGGCTTCAATGAGCCCAGATTGTCACTGCACTCCAGCCTAGGCGACAGAGCAAGAACCTCTCTCAAAATAATAATAGAAAGAAAGAAAGAGAAAGCAAGCAAGCAAGAAGGAAAGAGAAACAAAACTTGCCTTTCCTTTTTTTTTTTTTTTTTTTACCATGAGCACATACTGGTGCCAGTTTTCTATCTGTTGCCTCCCAGTTCCAAATCCATTTATTGCACTGCTTGCTACCAGATGTGGAACTGGCAAACATTTCTTCTTTGCCAGTAGAGGGCGCCGGAGGAACACCACAGGAGGAAGGGGCTTGTCCTGGTTCCTCCTCTGTCCCACCCCCGTGGCAGGCAGCCCTGCACCGGACACACAGTGGCATTCAACTTCCTGCCTGCCAGCCCCAGTGTGTGGTTCCCAGCCTGACAACCTTGGCACCCCAGCACCCCAGCAGGAGGGGTTTCTGCTTGTGGTCCCCTGGCCACCAGCCTCGGCCAGCTGGTTGTGGACCAGCCGTGACCTGGGGCAACCCAGCCAACCTCACCGTCCAATGGGCTGCAGCCACCTCTCTCCAGTGAGGTCTGAGACCCAGCCTTAACGAGGCTACCCCCTTCCAGGTTTGTTCTTTCTCTGGGCTCTCTCCCTCACCCTTTGGGTGTTTTTTGGTTGTTGTTGTTTGCGTGTGTGTGTGTGTGTGTGTGTGTGTGTGTGTGTGTGTTGAGACAGAGTCTCCCTCTGTCACCCAGGCTGGAGTGCACTGGCATGATCTCGGCTGACTGCAACCTCTGCCTCCCGGGTTCAAGCGATTCTCCTGCCTCAGCCTCCCAGGTAGCTGAGACTACAGTTGCGTGCCACCACACCCAGCCAATTTTTATATTTTTAGGAGAGACGGAGTTTCACTATGTTGGCCAGGCTGGTCTCGAACTCCTGACCTCTTGATCTGCCTGCCTCAGCCTCCCAAAGTGCTGGGATTACAGGCGTGAGCCACCACGCCCGGCCCCATGGGTGTTTTTTAGAGTTCTCTTTGATTCACACTTAGTCACAATCCCCTGTAAATAGTTCATTGTTCTGTTAAAACTTCCCTGTTTAAATGACTCTGTGGTTTCCGCCTTGTGAGTGGATCCCGATCGATGTAGCATTATTACAAGAGGGGTGCCTGGAGATAGATCCACAAGGATAGCATTTGGGGACTGGTTTGTCCATGCCCTTGGGTTTGAGCTTTGTCTGAGCTCCAAGGGAATGGGAACTGGACGTTGGTAATCTGTGATGTGCTGTGGCATCGAGTTAATCAGACTGTTGCCTACAGCTTGTCTTTATAAAGTACCAACTCCAGCGCATGCCCCGGGAGCCCAAGTGGCTGCTGTACTTGACTGTGATGTCAATAACGATGACTGTAAGGGCTGTGGCGTGGGACGGATTCTTCTCAGTGCACTGCGTCACTTCCAGAAAGAAAACCACAGGCTTGGCTAGGCATGGTGGCTCACGCCTATAATCCCAGCACTTTGGGAGGTGAAGGTGGGTGGATCACAAGGTCAGGAGAGCGAGACCATCCTGGCCAACACGGTGAAACCCTACCTCTACTAAAAAATTAGCTGGGCGTGGTGGTGCACACCTGTAGTCCCAGCTACTCAGGAGACTGAGGCAGGAGAATTGCTTGAACCTGGGAGGCAGAGGTTGCAGTGAGCCGAGATCGCGCCACTGCACTCCAGCCTGGTGACAGAGCGAGACTCCGTCTCAAAAAAAAAAAAAAAAAAAAAAAAAAAAAATGTTCCAAGAACTGATAAGTGATTTTAGAAAGGGAGTAGAATACAAATCAATGTACTGTTTCTAAAATGCATGTGGGCCGGGCTGGGCACGGTGGCTCACGCCTGTAATCCCAGCATTTTGGGAGGCCAAGGTGGGCAGATCACTTGAGGTCAGGGGTTCGAGACCAGCCTGGCCAATATGGTGAAACCCAGTCTCTACTAAAAAAACAAAAATTAGCTGGGCGTGGTGGCAGGCACCTGTAATCCCAGTTACTCAGGAGGCTGAGGTGGGAAAATCACTTGAACCGTGGAGGCAGAAGTTGCAGTGAGCTGAGATCATACCACTGCACTCCAGCTGGGGCAACACAGCGAGACTTCATCTTGGGGGAAAAAAGGCACTTAATAGAATGAAAAGATAAGCCATAAATTGGGAGAGAGTCTTTGCGATAATAAGAGTAACAAAAACAATAATAATATCTGGGTCAGGCGGAGTGGCTCATGCCTGTAATCCCAGCACTTTGGGAGGCTGAGGCAGGCAGGTCACTGGAGCCCAGGAGTTCAAGACCAGCCCGGCCAACATGGTGAAACTCTGCCTCTACTAAAAATACAAAAAATTAGCCAGTCCTGGTGGCAGGCGCCTGTAATTCCAGCTACTTGGGAGGCTGAGGCAGAATTGCTTGAACCAGGCGGCAGAGGTTGCAGTGAGCCGAGATCTTGTCATTGCACTCCAGCCTGGGCAACAAGAGTGAAAGTCCATCTCAAAAAAAAATAAATAGGCTGGGCGCGGTGGCTCACACCTGTAATCCCAGCACTTTGGGAGGCCGAGGTGGGCAGATCACGAGGTCATGAGATCGAGACCATCCTGGCTAACACGGTGAAACGCTGTCTCTACTAAAAATACAAAAAAATTAGCTGGGTGTGGTGGCGGGTGCCTGTAGTCCCAGCTACTCAGGAGGCTGAGGCAGGAGAATGGTGTGAACCTGGGAGGCAGAGCTTGCAGTGAGCCGAGATCACACCACTGCACTCCAGCCTGGGCAACAGAGTGAGACTCCATCTCAAAAAAAAAAAAAAAAAATTAGCCAGGTGTGGTTGCGGGCGCCTGTAGTCCCAGCTACTTGGGAGGCTGAGGCAGGAGAATGGCGTGAACCCAGGAGACGGAGCTTGCAGTGAGCCGAGATAGTGCCACTGCACTCCAGCCTGGGCAACAGAGCAAGACTCCGTCTCAAAAAAATATATATATATATAATATATATATTATATATATATATGGAGCAGAAAAAGCCTTTGTTGGACGAATTTACAAAGCTTGTGCAAATGTAAGGTGTTTAAAGCCTATGGTTGCTGGGCACGGTGGCTCACGCCTGTAATGCCAGCACTTTGGGAGGCTGAGGCGGGTAGATTGCCTGAGGTCAAGAGTTCAAGACCAGCCTGGCCAACATGATGAAACCCCATCTCTACTAAAAATACAAAATTTAGCCGGACATGGTGGCACATGCCTGTAATCCCAGCTACTCAGGAGGCTGAGGCAGGAGAATCGCTTGTACCCAGGAGGCGGAGGTTGCAGTGAGTGGAGATCGCGCCGCTGCCCTCCAGCCTGAGCGATAAGGGAGACTCCATCTCAAAAAAAAAAAAAAAAAGCCTATGGTTATTAACTGTATGATTCATCAGCAGGTACTTTGCACACATTTTTGAATCTGTCATAAGATATTGAACCAGTACTGTCAATTGTGAACTTCATTTGCTTGTGTGGATTTAACTGTCAGTTCCATAAATTTTTGTTAGAAATACAAGCTGAATATCCTGACTTGCCATGCCATACAGTAGTTTGATGTCTTGGAAGTGCTAAATTTTATGGTTTTGATTTGTTTTGTTTTTTTGAGACAGGGTCTCACTCTGTCACCCAGGTTGGAGTGCAGTGGTGTGATCTTGGCTCACTGCAACCTCTGCCTCTCATGCTCAGGTGACCCTTCCACCTAAGGTTACTTCCCTAAGAAACTGGGACTACACACATATGCCACCACGCCTGGCTAGTTTTTGCATTTTTTGCAGAGACAGGGTTTTGCCATGTTGCCCGGGCTGGTCTTGAACTCCTGGGCTCAAGTAATCTGCCTGTGTCAGCCTCCCAAAGTGCTGGGGTTATACGTATGAGCCACCACACACAGCCATATGGTTTTTAACTCCGGGCTGAGATTGAATTTTTTTTTCTTTTCTTTTCTTTTTTTGTTTGAGACTGAGTCTCACTCTGTCACCCAGGCTGGAGTGCAGTGGTGCTATCTCAGCTCACTGCAATCTCTGCCTCCCGAGTTCAAGGGATTTTCCTGCTTCAGCCTCCCAAGTAGCTGGGATTACAGGTGCCCGCCACCACACCTGGCTAATTTTTTTTTGTATTTTTAGTAAAGACGGGGTTTCACTGTGTTGGCCAGGCTGGTCTCGAACTCCTGACCTCAGGTAATCCACCTGCTTCGGCCTCCCAGATTGCGGGTATTACAGGTGTGAGCCACTGCACCCGGCCTGAAATTTTTCTAAATAAGAACCGGGCCAGGTGCAGTGGCTCACACCTGTGTTACCAGCACTTCAGGAGGCCGAGGTGGGCAGATCACTTGAGGACCATCCTCACTAACATGGTGAAACCCCGTCTCTACTAAAAATACAAAAAATTAGCCAGGCTTGGTGGCGGGCACCTGTAGTCCCAGCTACTCCGGAGGCTGAGGCAGGAGAATCGCTTGAACCTGGGGAGGTGGAGGTTGCAGTGAGCCTAGATCATGCCACTGCACTCTAGTCTGGGCGACAGAGCGAGACTCCGTCTCAACAACAACAACAACAAAGAAGAACCACACATAACCACTGCTATCAAACACTGAGAGGCTTTGTTAGCTAGCTTTTGAAGCAGTTTTGATAATATCTCTTAATAATTCAACCTAAAATTATAAGGCAAAACAGCACGTATATGTTTAACGTATGCTGCTGTAAAGTAACTTCATTGATGGTATATTGTTTGAATCACAAGCGATGTCAAGCTGCCTTATACACAGCCCATAATATCAAAGTTAAAACAAGGAGCAAGATGTCCATTCCCATATAGATTTTTAGGAGCTACATTTCCAATCTCAAACTGCAGTTCCAGTAGCATTTTTAGGACTTCAGTGAAATTGAGACACATCTCAAGTGATTAAACCATAATGTAGTGACATGCTAAAAGGCAGATAGCAAGAGAAAAATCCAATCCAAATAGATTTTTTTTTTTTTTTTTTTTGAGACACGGTCTTGCTCTGGTGCCCAGGCCAGAGTGCAGTGGCACCATCTCAGCTCACTGCAACTTCTACCTCCCAGGTTCAAATGATACTGAGCATCAAGTAGCTGGAATTACAGGCACACGCCACCAGGCCTGGCTGATTTTTTTGTATTTTCAGTAGAGAGGGGGGTTTTGCCGTGTTGCCTAGGCTGGTCTGGGACTCCTGGCCTCGAGTGATCCACCTACCTCGGCCTCCCAAAGTGCTGGGATTAAGTGAGCCACCGCACCTGGCCAGAGTCCAAATAGAATTCTATAAATGCCTTTCAAATGATGAATGTGCTCGTGACATCATATGCTTGTGGATTGCTATCTGTATTTGGCAATACCTATCTTCAGGAAAAACTATTTTTGCCAAATCTCATTACAGATTAGAATTAACAGATAAACATTTGTCATAGACTTTGATGATAGGGAACACTAACTTTGTTCTTTTTTTTTTTTTTTTTTTCTGAGATAGAGTCTCGCTCTGTCACCCAGGGTGGAGTGCAGTGGTGTGATCTCGGCTCACTGCCACCTCTGCCTCCTGAGTTCAGGCAATTCACATGCCTGAGCCTCTCCAGTAGCTGGGATTACAGGCATGCGCCACCATGTCTGGGTAATTTTTGTATTTTTAGTAGAGTCTGGGTTTTGCCATGTTGGTCAGTCTGGTCTCAAACTCCTGGCCTCAAGTGATCTGCCCGCCTCGGCCTCCCAAAGTGCTGGAATTACAGGCGTGAGCCACTGTGCCCTGCCATAATATACTACTTTTTATCTGTTGTCCTACAACACCTAAAATATTTACTATTTGGCCCTTTACAAAAAACATTTGCCAACCCCTGCTCTAGAAAATGCAAATCAGGTCAGGCATGGTGGCTCACACCTATAATCCCAGCACTTTGGGAGTCTGAGGTAGGCAGATCACCTGAGCTCAGGAGTTCGAGACCAGCCTGGCCAATGTGGTGAAACCCCGTTTCTACTAAAAATACAAAAATTACCTGGGTGTGGTAGTGGGTGCCTGTAATCCCAGCCACTTGGGAGGCTGAGGCAGGAGAATTGCTTGAACCTGGGAGGCGGAGGTTGCAGTGAGCTGAGACTGCACCATTGCACTCCAGCCTGGGTGACAAGAGCAAAACTCCATCTCAAAAAGAAAAAAAGAAAATGCAAATCAACCTATCGTGACAGAAAGCAGATCAGTGGTTTCTTGGGTATGAGGGGTCAGAGAGAGGCAGGTGGGAGAGATTACAGTCACAAGGAGACTTCTGCGTGATGCATACCTTCGCTATCATGATTGTGGTAATGACTTCACGGCTATAGATATAAAATATATGTCAAAACATCAAATTCTGGCTGGACACAGTGGCTTATGCCTGTAATCCCAGCACTTTGGGAGGCTGTGGCAGGAAGATTTGCTTGAGGCCAGGTGTTTGAGACTAGCTTGGGCAATATTGTGAGACCATGTCTCCACCAAAAAAAGGTTTTTTTGGTTTTTTTTTTTTAATTAGCTGGGCATGGTTGTGCACACTTGTAGTCCCAGCTACTCTGAAGGCTGAGGTGGGAGGATGGTTTGAGCCCAGGAGTCCGAGGCTGCAGTGAGCTATAATTGCACCAGCGCACTCCAGCCTGAGCAACAGAGCAAGACCTTGTTAAAAATAAATAAATAAATAAGCTGCGCGCAGTGGCTCACACCTGTAATCCCAGCACTTTGGGAGGCTGAGGCAGGTAGATCACCTGAGGTCAGGAGTTCGAGACCAGCCCGGCCAACATGGTGAAACCCCATCTCTACTAAAAATACAAAAATTAGCCAGGTGTGGTGGCGTGCATCTGTAATCCCAGCTACTCGGGAGGCTGAGGGAGGAGAATTGCTTGAGCCCGGGAGGCAGAGGTTGCAGTGAGCCAAGATCACACCACTGTACTTCTGCCTGGTTGACAGAGCAAGACTCCATCTCAAAAAAATAAACAAAAAACTTGCTCTAGTAGCCAAAAACCTAAGTTGAGTTGCCATAGTGAAGAGTTGTAGTCTCTCGCCTGAATTTTAGACCTAAGTCAGCATAGATCCAGAGTCACTTAATTGGAGAGAAGTTTGGTTCTCCCTGAGAGAGGAACATGCCCTGTTTACTAGAGTGTGCATCAGGGAGAAGAAAATACCCAACCTTTTGAGGATTCCTAGACATTGGCTCTGAATTAACGCCAAGTCCTGAGGATCCAAAATGCCACTGTGGCTCATCACTAAAAGTAGGGGCTTAAAGATAGATGGTCAGGTGCTAGATGGAGTCTTAGCTCAGCCCCAGCTCACAGAGGGCTCCGTTGATCTATGGTCCCACCCTGTGGTTATTTCCAAATTCCTGAGAGTATAATAGGAATAGCCATCTATGGCAACTGACAAATCTCCACACTGGCTCTCCCACCCATGGAGTGAGAGAATCATGGTGGAAAGGGCTAAGGGAAAGTCCCTGTAACTTCCACTTCCTGTCAAGACAGTTAACCAGAGGGCTGGGCGCAGTGGCTTACACCTGTAATCCCAGCACTTTGGGAGGCCAAGGCAGGCGGATCACGAGGTCAGGAGATTGAGACCATCCTGGCTAACACGGTGAAACCCCATCTCTACTACAAATACAAAAAATTAGCCAGGTGTGATGGCGGGCACCTGTAGTCCTAGCTACTCAAGAGGCTGAGGCAGGAGAATGGCGTGAACCCAGGAGGCAGAGGTTGCAGTGAGCCAAGATCATCCTACTGCACTCCAGCCTGGGCAACAGAGGGAGACTCTGTCTCAAAGAAAAAAAATTTTAAAAAGACAGTTAACCAGAAGCATTATCACATCCCTGGAGAGTCGCAGAGACTAGTGCCACCCTCAAAGACTTGCAAGGGGCCAGGTGGGGTGGCTCAGGCCTGTAATCCTAGCATTTTGGGAGGCCGAGGCGGGTGGATCACCTGACGTCAGGAGTTCGAGACCAACCTGGGCAACATGGTGAAACCCTATCTCTACTAAAAGTACAAAAATTAGCCGAGTGTGGTGGCAGGTGCCTGTAATCCTGGCTACTCAGGATGCTGAGGCAGAAGAATCGCTTGAACCTGGGAGGCAGAGGCTTCTGAGCTGAGATCATACCACTGTACTCCAGCCTAGGCAAAAGAGCGAAACTGTGTCAAAAAAAAAAGACTTGAATGGGCAGGCGTTTGGCATATGCTGGTTGGATGGATCTTAGAGAATGACTGTGGACTATGGGAAACTCATTTAGATGGTGACTCCAATTGCAGCTGCTGCCTCACATGTGGTATCTTTAGACAGCAGAAGAAATCAACATGACCCCTAGTGTGGTGCAATGATGTATTAAAGACTCAGTTAAGGCAAGATGTGGTGGCTTACACCTGTAATCCCAGCACTTTGGGAGGCCAAATCACTTGAGGTCAGGAGTTTGAGACCAGCCTGGCCAACATGTAAAACCCCATCTCCACTAAAAATACGAAAATTAGCCAGGCGTGGTGGCGCATGCCTGTAATACCAGCTACTCTGGAGGCTGAGGCAGGAGAATCACTTGAATCTGGGAGGTGAAGGTTGCAGTGAGCCGAGATCATGCCACTGCCCTCCAGCCTGGGCAACAGAGCAAGACTCTATCTCAAAAAAATAAAGACTCAGTTAAGGCACCACTTGAGAGACCACACCCCAGAAAGAATGGTTTGGGTTTTTTACCCCGCACAGAGGCTGGGATTCTTTTTTATAGCATGCACACTACTATCTTTTTTTTTTTTTTTTGAGACAGAGTCTCACTCCTGTTGCCCAGTCTAGAGCGCAATGGGGTGATCTCAGCCCACTGCAACCTCCACCTCCTTGGTTCAAGAGATACTGCTGCCTCAGCCTCCTGAGTAGCTAGGATTACAGGCATGCGCCACCACGCCTGGCTAATTTTGTATTTTAATAGAGACAGGATTTCTCCATGTTGGTCAGGCTGGTCTCGAACTCCTGATCGCGGGTGATGCGCCTGCCTTGGCCTCCCAAAGTGCTGGGATTGCAGGCGTGAGCCACCTCGCCCGGCCAACACTGCTGTCTTAATGAGAGACCATTATGTAGTGCTTTTTCTCTCATAGCCAGAATACAAGTCAGAATCAAGGAGAGATATTAGATCTCGTTCTTCTCGCTGTTTTTTTTTCTTTTCTTTTCTTTTTTGAGACAAAGTCTTGCTCTGTCGCCCAGGCTGGAGTGCAGTGGCGCGATCTCGGCTCGCTGCAAGCTCCGCCTCCCAGGTTCACGCCATTCTCCTGCCTCAGCCTCCAGAGTAGCTGGGACTACAGGCGCCCGCCACCACGCCCGGCTAATTTTTTTTGTGTTTTTAGTAGAGACGGGGTTTCACCGTGTTAGCAGGATGGTGTCCATCTCCTGACCTCATGATCCGCCCGCCTTGGCCTCCCAAAGTGCTGGGATTATAGGCGTGAGCCACTGTGCCTGGCCGTTTGTTTTTTTTTTTTTTTTTTTGAGACAAACTCTCACTCTGTCGCCCAGGCTGGAGTGTCATAGCTCACTGCAATCTCCGCCTTCCGGATTCAAGCGATTCTTGTGCCTCAGCCTCCCAAGTAGCTGACCGCCACGCCTAGCTAATTTTTTTTTTTTTTTTTTTTTTTGATGTTGTCTCGCTCTGTCGCCAGGATGGAATGCAGTGGCGCCATCTTGGCTCACTGCAGTCTGCCTCCCGGGTTCAAGCGATTCTCGTGCCTCAGCCTCCCGAGTAGCTGGGTTTACAGGCACGTACCACCACACCCAGCTAATTTTTTTTTTTGTACTTTTATGGGGTTTCACCAGGTTGGCCAGGATGGTCTTGATCTCCTGACCTCGTGATCCACCCATCTCGGCCTCCCAAAGTGCTGGGATTACAGGCGTGAGCCACTGTGCCCAGCTGACGCCTGGCTAATTTTTTTTTTTTTTGAGATGGAGTTTCACTCTTGTCCCCGGGGCTGGAGTGCAATGGCGCTATCTTGGCTCACTGCAACCTCTGCCTCCCGGGTTCAAGTGATTCTCCTGCCTCAGCCTCCTGAGTAGCTGGGATTACAGGCATGCGCCACCACGCCAGGCTAATTTTTGTATTTTTAGTACAGAGAGGATTTCACCATGTTGGTTAGGCTGGTCTTGAACCCCTGACCTCGTGATCCAACCTCCTTGGCCTCCCAAAGTGTTGGGATTACAGGCATGAGCCACCGCGTCTGGCCACCAAGCTAATTTTTGCATTTTTAGTAGAGATGGGGTTTCGCCATGTTGGTCAGGCTGGTCTCAAACTCCTGGCCTCTAGTAATCTGACTGTCTCAGCCTCCCATAGTGCTGGGATTACAGGTGTGAGCCACCACACCTGATCAAAAAATTGTTTGTTAAAGACAAAGTCTTATTCTGTCACCCAGCCTGGAGTACAGTGGTGCAATTATGGCTCACTGCAGCCTTGAACTTCTGGGCTTGAGCAATCCTCCTGCCTCAGCCTCCCAAGTAGCTAGGACTACAGGTGCGTGCCACCACACCTGGCTAATTTTTGTATTTCTTTTTGTTTGGTGGGGGCGTGGACAGGTTCTGGCCATGTTGCCCAGGCTGTTGTCAAACTCCTGCCCTCAAACCATCCTCCCACCTCGCCCAGTCTCACTATTCTACCAAATAACCCACTTGCAGATTTTTTGTTTCCTGTCTTGGTAAGTTTGAGCTCTGCTGACTTGGAAGACTTAGTCCTCAAGGGAGGAATTCTTCCATCAGGGACACAACAATGATACCATTGAATTGGAAAATGAGACTGCCACCTGGTCATGTTGGACTTTTTAGGCCACTGAACCAACCGCAGAAAATGGGGTTACTCTACTGGCTGGAGTTATTGATCCTTATGACCAGGAGGAAACTGGGTTGCTGCCACACCATGGGGGTAAGGATGGTGTGTCTGAATCCCGGGTTTCTCTGGAGTGCCTCTTACTATTTCTATGCCCAATAATACATGTTACTGAAAAACTGTGGTAACTAAAAGAAGGCAGGACAATGCGGACCCTTTAGGAATGAAGCTTTGCCTCATCCTACCAGGTAAAAAGCCCAATTATCGGAGCCCAAGGATTTTTGGATACTTACAGAAGGGAACATAGTTACCAATTATGGGCTCATGACCAATTACAGAACTGAGGATCTTGGAAGCTTGTCATATTTCCTTTTTGCTTTTTTTTTTTTTTTTTTTTGAGATGGACTCTCACTCTGTCGCCCAGGCTGGAGTTCAGTGGCTCAATCTCAGCTCACTACAACCTCTGCCTCCCGGGTTCAAGCAATTCTCCTGCCTCAGCCTCCCGAGTAGCTGGGATTACAGGCATGTGCCACCATGCTTGGCTAATTTCTGTATTTTTTAGTAGAGATGGAGTTTCACCATGTTGGCCAGGCTGGTCTCAAACTCCTGACCTCAAGTGATCCGCCCGTCTTGGCCTCCCAAAGTCCTGAGATTACAGGCGTGAGCCACCGCACCTGGCCCCTTTTTGCATAATATATTCATGTCTTTATTTGTACATGCTAGCCATCTTTTTTTTTTTATTTGGTCCATAGGCATTTTATTTGTAAATATGTGTTACATCTCTAGAAAAAGAGTCCCAGGATTTTCCTTCCTGTGTGTTTTCGTCTTGCTTCTTCATGGTCCATGATGCCAGCTGAGGTGGTCAGTACAATGAAACCAAACTGGCGGGATGGAAGCAGATCATTCTGCTATTTTTCTAGATCTTTGCACATCAAATCTGGGGCTGATCCCACGTTTAGCCTGCCTGTGAGGTTTACAGTAATTTTCCCAGCTGTGTGATCATCAGTGATTTCAAATTCGCCAATGTAACCATGCTTCATCATCACAGTTAGAAACTGGACGATGACTTTGGAGAATGGCCTAATAGGTACCTGGCATTTTGCCTCTCTTTTTGGCATTGTTGATGTTCTATTTTTTTTTTTTTTCTTTTTGAGACGGAGTCTCCCTCTTTCACCAGGCTGGAGCGCAATGGTGCGATCTCGGCTCACTGCAACCTTTGCCTCCCGGGTTCAAGCGATTCTCCTGCCCCTGCCTCCCGCGTAGCTAGGATTACAGGCGTGCGCCACCACGCCCAGCTAAGTTTTGTATTTTTAGTAGAGACAGGATTTCACCATGTTGGCCAGGATGTTCTTGATCTCTTGACCTCATGATCTGCCTGCCTCAGCCTCCCAAAGTGCTGGGATTACAAGCATGAGCCATAGCACCCAGCCTGTCAATGTTCTTGAGAGCATCAGCCGGGACAGTCATATGCGCCATTTTGGTGGCAGGGGAAGATGGAGGAAAGAGCTTTCTTTTTTTTCTCTCCTCGTTCTTATTTTTTATACAAGTTATTGGAGGTTAGCTCTACAATTCGGCCTTTAGGTAGCAGAACATTCAAGACTATGACTTAATTTGAGGAGTAATTAAAATAGCCAGCAACTGGTGCAATGATCATTATGACAGTGAGTCTCATTTTGGAGAAACAGTGAGAACTTTCCTTGTATGAAAGATAACTATCTCTTTTTTTAGTTTTTTATTTTTATTTTTTGTGGGAACGTAGTAAGTGTATATATTTACAAGGTACATGAGATATTTTGATACAGGCACACAATGCATAATAATCACATCAGGGTAAATGTGGTATCCAGCACCTCCTACGTTTATCCTTTGTGTTACAAAGAATCAAATTAAACTATTTTAGTTTAGGGTTTTTTGTTTGTTTGTTTGTTTGTTTTTTGAGACAGAGTTTCACTTTTGTCACCCAGTCTGGGGTGCAATGGCGCGATCTCGGTTCACTGCAATTTCTGCCTCTGGGTTCAAGCGATTCTCCTGCGTCAGGCTCCCAAGTAGCTGGGATTAAAGGCATGCACCACCACACCCAACTAATTTTGTATTTTTAGTAGAGATTTCTCCATGTTGGTTAGGCTGGTCTCAAACTCCCAACCTCAGGTGATGTGCCCACCTCAGCCTCCCAAAGTGCTGGGGTTACAGGCGTGAGCCACCATGATCAGCCTTTTTTTTTTTTTTTTGAGATGGAGTCTCACTCTGTCGCCCAGGCTGGAGTGCAGTGGTGAGATCCTGGCTCACGGCAACCTCTGCCTTCCAGGTTTTTTTGTTTGTTTGTTTGTTTGTTTGTTTTGAGACAGTCTTTCTCTGTTGCCCGGGCTGGAGGGCAATGGTGCAATCTCGGCTCACTGCAACCTCCACCTTGCGTGTTCAAGCGATTCTCCTGCCTCAGCCTCCTGAGTAGATGGGATTACAGTCGTGCACCACCATGCCTGGCTAATTTTTGTATTTTAAGTAGAGACGGGGGTTTCACCATGTTGGTCAGGCTGGTCTCGAACTCCTGACCTCATGATCCACCTGCCTTGGCCTCCCAAAGTGCTGGGATTACAGGCGTGAGCCACCACACCCAGCCTCTGCCTTCCAGGTTTAAGCAATTCTCCTGTCTCAGCCTCCCGAGTAGCTGGGATTACAGGCACCCACCACCACACCTGGCTGAGTTTTGTATTTTTAGTAGAGACGGGGTTTCACCATGTGGGCCAGGCTGGTCTCGAACTCCTGACCTCAAGTGATCCACCTGCCTTGGCCTCCCAAAGTGCTGGGATGACAGGCGTGAGCCACCACGCCTGGCCCTCTTTTAGTTATTTTTAAATGTACAATAAATTATTGTTGACTGTAGTCACCCTGTTGTGCTATCAAGTAATTTTTTTAATCCTTTTCTTTTTTTTTTTGACAGGGTCTCTCTGTGTTACTCAGGCTGGAGTGCAGTGGCGTGATTTCTGCTCACTGCAGCCTTGACCTCCCAGCAGGCTCAAGCAATCCTCCTGCCTCATCCTCCCGAGTAGCTGGGACTACAGGCATGTGCCACCACGCCCAGCTAAGATCTTTTTTAAAATGCTTAATCCAGAAGTCATTACAAACAAATACTAGATCTTATTTATTCTATCTAACTATATCTCTGTACCCATTAACCATTCTGCCTTCCCTGCCTCCATTACCCTTCCCAATCTCTGGTAAACATCCTTCTACTCTCTGTCTCCAGGAGTTCAACTGTTTTTCATTTTTGGCTCCCACAAATAAGTGAAAACTTTTGAAGCTTGTCTCTGTGCCCACCTTATTTCACTTAGCATCATGACCTCGAGTTCCATTCATGTTGTCACATATGACAGGATCTCATTCTTTTTTATGGCTGAATAGTACTCCATTATATATATGTACCACATTTTCTTTATCCATTCATCTGTTTGTTGGGGTTTTTTTCTGTTTTTGTTTTGAGATGGAGTCTCCACCTGTCGCACAGGCTGGAGTGCAGTGGCATGATCTCGGCTCACTGCAACCTCTGTCCACCTCCCAGGGTCAAGCGATTCTCCTGCCTCAGCCTCCCGAGTAGCTGGGATTACAGGCGCCTGCCACCAGGCCCGGCTAATTTTTGTATTTTTAGTAGAGATGGAGTTTCACCATGTTGGCCAGGCTGGTCTCGAACTCCTTACCTCAAGTGATCTGCCTGCCTCAGCCTCCCAAAGTGCTGGGATTACAGGCATGAGCCACTGCGCCTGGACAATTTTTACTTTTTTTTTTGAGACGGAGTCTTGCTCTGTCACCCAGACTGAAGTGCAGTGGCGCCGTCTTGGCTCACTGCAAGCTCCGCTTCCCGGGTTCACGCCATTCTCCTGCCTCAGCCTCCCGAATAGCTGGGACTACAGGCGCCCACCACCATTCCTGGCTAATTTTTTTGTATTTTTAGTAGCGATGGGTTTTCACCATGTTAGCCAGGATGGTCTCGATATCCTGACCTCGTGATCTGCCTGCCTCGGCCTCCCAAAGGGCTGGGATTACAGGCGTGAGCCACTGTGCCCAGCCAATTTTTACTATTTTTATATTTCCAAAAGCTTTGAACTAATTTTACTACTTATGTGCAAATTCTTTTTTTTTTTTGAGACAGAGTTTCACTCTTGTTGCCCAGGCTGGAGTGCAATGGCACGATCTCGGCTCATCGCAACCTCTGTGTCCCAGGTTCAAGCGATTCTCCTGCCTCAGCCTCCCGAGTAGCTGGGATTACAGGCATGCGCCACCATGCCCAGCTAATTTTGTATTTTTAGTAGAGATGGGGTTTATCCATGTTGCTCAGGCTGGTCTTGAACTCCTGACCTCGGGTGATCTGCCCACCTCGGCCTACCAAAGTGCTGGGATTACAGGTGTGAGCCACCATGCCTGGGCTTCAAATTCTTTATTTTGAAACAATTTCAAATGTACAGAGATGTTAAAAGGCTAGCGTTTCCAGGAAAGTCTAGAACGTCAGGATAACATTTACCCAGATTCACCAGTTGTTAATATTTTGCCACATTTGCATTTTCTCTTTCTGTGTGTATATTATACATATATATGTGTGTGTATGTGTATATATATATATATATATATGCTTTTTTTGGAAACCTTGTTTGTGTGTGAGACTCATTCTGTTGCCAGGCTGGAGTGCAGTGGCAAGATCTCGGCTCACTGCAATCTCCACCTCCCGGGTTCAAGCGATTCCCCTGCCTCAGCCTCCCGAGTAGCTGGAACTACAGGCGCGCACCACTACGCCTGGCTAATTTTTTGTATTTTAGTAGAGACAGGGTTTCACCATGTTGGCCAGGCTGGTCTCGAGCTCCTGACCTCAAATGATCCACCCACCTCAGCCTCCCAAAGTGCTGAGATTACAGGCATGAGCCACCACACCTGGCCTTTTGGAAACATTTGAGAGTAGGTTGCATCTATCACACTCTGTTGCCCCATCATACTTCTTTATATATTTACTAAGAATATACCCTGGGCTGGGCTTGGTGGCTCACGCCTGTAATCCCAGCACTTTGGGAGGCCAAGGTGGGCAGATCACTTGAGGTCAGGAGTTCAAGACCAGCCTGGCTAATGTGGTGAAACCCCGTATCTACTAAAAATACAAAAATTAGGCCGGGCGCAGTGGCTCACGCCTGTAATCCCAGCACTTTGGGAGGCCAAGGAGGGTGGATCACCTGAGGTCAGGAGTTCAAGACCAGCCTGACTAACATGGAGAAACCCCCTCTCTACTAAAAATACAAAATTAGCCAGGCGTGGTGGCACACGCCTGTAATCCCAGCTACTCGGGAGGCTGAGGCAGGAGAATCACTTGAACCCAGGAGGCGGAGGTTGCAGTGAGCTGGGATCTCACCACTGCACTGCAGCCTGGGTGACAAGAGGGAGGGAGACTCTGTCTCAAAAAACAAAAAACAAAACAAAACAAAAAAACACCCTGGCCGGACATGGTGGCTCACATCTGTGATCCCAACACTTTGGGAGGCAGAGGCAGGTGGATAGCTTGAGGCCAGCAGTTCAAGACCAGCATGGGCAACACAGCAAAACCCCATCTTTACCAAAAGAAAAAAAAACCAAGAAACAAAAAATTAGCTGGGCGTGGTGGTGCACACCTATAGTTCCAGCCACAACTACTTGGGAGACTGAGGTGGGAGGATCTCTTGAGCCTGGGAGGTGGAGGCTGCATTGAGCCAAGACCCCACTGCTGCACTCCAGCCTGGGTGACAAGAGCGAGACCCTGTCTCAACAACCACAAAAAAGAATACATCCTTCCATATCTCCAGTAGAGTCATAACACATTCAGGAAATTTATCATGGATGCAATACTTTGTAGTCTATATTCCAAATTTATCAATTTTCCCCATACTGTCTGTTTTGTTTTTATTTTGAGATAGGGTCTCGCTCTGTCGCTCAGGCTGGAGTGCAGTGGCGAGATCACGGCTCACTGCAGCCAGGACCTCCTGAGCTCAAGCAATCCTCATTTTCCCCCATCCCCCCATCACAGGTAATCAATTTGATGAGTTTCTGGTTTATACTTTGTTTTTCTTGGCAAAAACCTGCAGATACATTTATGTCTTCATATTTCCCCTTCTTCCTTATACAAAAGGTAGCACAGTATACAAAAGGTAGCACAGTCTTTTGAAGTTTGCTTTCTTTTTCTTTTCTTTTTTTTTTTTTTTTTTTTTTTATGAGATGGAGTCTGGCTCTGTCATCCAGGCTGGAGTGCAGTGGCATGATCTTGGCTCACTGCAACCTCCACCTCCCGGGTTCAAGCGATTCTTCTGCCTCAGGCTCCCGAGTAGCTGGGACTACAGGCGTGAGCCACCACACCCAGCTAATTTTTGTATTATTAGTAGAGACGGGGTTTCACCATATTGGCCAGGCTGGTCTCGAACTCCTGACCTCACGATCCAACCACCTCGGCCTCCCAAAGTGCTGGGATTACAGGCGTGAGCCACTGAGCCTGGCCATAGTGATATAATTTTTAAATTGCACACGATAAGACAACATTCCCATTGTTGGGGCAGGAGTGCTGCCCCAACCCCACCACCAGGAATGTTAGGCAACCATCAGGTGATGGTCAGGTGGTTGTTAAACTTGTCTCTAAAATAGTAATTGGTTGCAGCCAGCACCAGGGAAAGGCAGTCTCCAAATAGATGGAAAACACTTGAAACTGATGATCAGCAGCTTCTCGATAAGATCTCAGAAGTTGGGTAAATGGGCTCAAGCTTATGCACCAAGAGGCAAAATGGCGGAGTTTAATGGTACATGCCCTTCCTCCAGGAATGCTAGATCTGTAAGGGAAGAACGTCTTAAGTGAGCATGTGCACTTCAGTATACTGAACACACTGTGCTTGTGGCCCCTCCAAGTGCTGGCAGGCCACCGTGCATGTGGACAGCCCATGCCAAGGTAGGAATCAGGGGAGAAGAGATGCAAACCGTAAATCCCTGGAAGCATGCCAGCATATGAAACCCCAAGTCAAAGGTCAAACCAGGGACTTGAATCTGTCAAGTCATTCACGCCTGGCCCTCTTCCAAGTGTACTTTACTTCCTTTCATTCCTGCTCTAAAACTTTTTAATAAACGTTCACTCCTGCTCTAAAACTTGCCTCTGTCTCTCCCTCTGCCTTATGCCCCTTGGTGGAATTCTTTCTTCTGAGGAGGCAAGAATTGAGGTTGCTGTAGACCCCATGCAAATTAGCTGCCACTAGCAAGGGCAAGGCAAGCTATGGAGAAAGAAGTTTCATGGGGCTAAAACTCAGAATTTGAGTGTGGAGCAGGATGGGGTAGATGGAAGGGGGTTAGAGTGCTCAGTGCTCACAATCTGTCAATGAGGGTAGAGAGGTGGCATGGCATCAGGTGGTCCAGGTAATGCCAGGAAAAAGCTGGACTGTGTTTGTTAGGGAACCCAGGAGACATGATGACCTTTAAAACACCATTTGGGCTGGGCGTGGTGGCTCATGCCTGTAATCCCAGCACTTTCGGAGGTCGAGGCGGGTGGATCACCTGAGGTCGGGAGTTCAAGATCAGCCTGACCAACATGGAGAAACCCCGTCTCCACTAAAAATACAAAATTAGCCGGGTGTGGTGGTGCATGACTGTAATCCCAGGTACTCAAGAGGCTGAGGCAGGAGAAACGCTTGAACCCGGGAGGCGGAGGTTGTGGTGAGCCGAGATCGCGCCATTGCACTCCAGCCTGGGCAATAAGAACAAAACTCCATCTCAAAAACAAACAAAAAAACATCATTTGGATCCACTCACCTTACAGATATTTCATTGAGTGCCTGCAGTGTGCTAGAGTACTGCAGAGCAAGAAATAAGTCAAGATCCTAACCCTTAGGGAGCTGACATTAGCAGGAAGACAGAATTAAAGGAGCTGTTAGAATACAGTGGGATAAATTGCTCGGCGAGCACACAGGAGGGGAAACTAGCACATCTGAAGGCAGGAGCGAGGCAGGGCGAAGGACTATTACCCAAAAAGTAAGGCAGTGTTGTAGCTAGGTGTGCATGTGTTTGGTGCAGGGGCTGGGAAGAGTTCCAATGCTAACATTTAGAGCGAAGAGATTGAGACATTGAGAGTTTCGCTGGGATTAAGACCACATGGACTTAACAGCTCCACTCCATTCTCCACGTTGCAAAGAGTAAACCTTTAAAAATGCAAATCTGACCTCTTTTCACTTGTTTTTTTGTTTGTTTTGGGGGGAAGGAGTCTTGCTCTGTCACCCAGGCTGGAGTGCAGTGGTGCGATCTGGGCTCACGGCAACCTCCGCCTCCTTGGTTCAAGTGATTCTCCTGCCTCAGCCTCCTGAGTAGCTGGGATTACAGGCATGCACCACCACGCCTAGCTAATTTTTGCATTTTTAGTAGAGACAGGGTTTCACCATGTTGGCCAGGCTGATCTCAAACTCCTGACCTCAAACCTCCCAAAGTACTGGGATTACAGACCATGCCCAGCCTCTTTTCACTTTCTTAAATAAGCTCCCCACTGCTTTGAGGATAATGTCCGTGTCTCTTACAAGACTTGGGAGCCTTTAAAACCTGATCCCAGATTAGCTACCTCTTCCCCCCTTTAATTTTATGCTTAGGACAAGCTGAGTTTTTCTTAGTTTGTCATATCCTATTTCCCTGCCTAGAAACCCATCTCCCCCTGCCCTCTTATCAGTTTTTTTTTATAATTTAAATTTTTTTTTTTTTGTAGAGACAAAGTCTCACTTTGTTGCCTAGGCTGGTCTCAAACTCCTGGCCTTAAACGATCCTTCTGCCTCGGACTCCCAAAATGTTAGGATTACAGGTATGAGCCACTGCGCCCGGCCCTCCTGTCCCTTATCTGGGTCTCCCAAAACTGGATTAAGATTAGGTGTCACTCCCATTTGCTCTTGTAGTCCTCTGTGCTTCACCTACTAGATCTCGTCAAATTCTCTGAATTCACCACTAGCATGAACTCCTCCAGAGCAGGAAGCAGTTTAATTATCCTTGTGTCCAAAACAACTAACTGAATACTCCAATGCCCAACTCATTTTGAATGAATGAAGCTGCCTTCATTGCAGGGTCGGGTGGAGGATTTTGAACTCGGAACTTTGGCCTTCAGTCTTTGTTATTACAGTTTAAAGATTCATTCTCGGGCATGGAGGAACAATTTAGGTCAAAATCACAAAAATCTGAAATAATTTAGGACGAGGCGTAAATTTATCTGCAAAGATCAACACGCTCAAACGAATCACTAATGCTCATCAGTCTTTTACTTAAAGCAAACAAGGTGGAGGGTAGCTCCTTGCGAAACCTACCACCTGCCTAAAAGCGCAGTGGCTCGGGTGGTCCAGTCCCGGAGACTTTCTTGGCACTTAAGGCTCTGCCCACGGGCCGCCAAGTGGCGGAAGAGCCTCACGCACGACGTGCCGCCTCACACTCCCGCGGAGGCATCGCGACGCAGCGACGGCGTGGGCGGAGAGGCCGGCCCTTCCTCTGGCGCCTTCGGCTCCTCCCCCTGCGCCTCACACGCTCATTGTGAAGCGACAGCGGCCGCCGGCTTCTAAGGCGGTTTGAGACCTTAAGACCCTAAATCCTTGGCGCGCGTGAGCGCCCGCGCCGCTCCTTACCCACTCCCAGGGCTAGGGGTGCGAGGTTCACCGACTTGATTCTCTCCCACTTTCCCGCCGGGAGCTAACCGCGCCGGTGTGCGCGGCACCTCGCGCCACTGCTCGCTCCTGGCCCCCCCCCCCCCCCCCCCCCCCCGGGAGCTCCCACCCGCGCGCTCCTCCCTCTCCGCTCCCCGGCGACGCGCACGCGCGCCAGCCCGGCTCGCGCCCTCTCGCTTTCCTCCAGCCGCGAGACCCCCTCCCCTTCCGCCTCGCGGCGCTTCCTCGCGCCGCGGTCTTCTCTCTCCACCCCCGACACCGCGGGGCTCCCCCCGCCCGCCCACGGCGGGCCCCGGCTGCCCGATCCCCCTCGCTTCCCGCGCTCTCCAGCGGGGCCCCAGCCCCGGCCCCCTCTCTCCCTCCCTTCTCTCTAATTCCCCTTCCGGACGCTGCCATCATGTTGAAGCCTCAGCCGCTACAACAGCCCTCCCAGCCCCAGCAGCCGCCCCCCACGCAACAGGCCGTGGCCCGTCGGCCCCCCGGGGGCACCAGCCCTCCCAACGGCGGCCTCCCGGGGCCGCTGGCCACCTCTGCGGCTCCTCCCGGGCCTCCAGCGGCCGCCTCCCCCTGCCTGGGGCCTGTGGCCGCTGCCGGGAGCGGGCTCCGCCGGGGAGCCGAAGGCATCTTGGCGCCGCAGCCGCCGCCGCCGCAGCAACACCAGGAGAGGCCGGGGGCAGCCGCCATCGGCAGCGCCAGGTGAGAAGGGTGGGCTCCGGGCGAGGGAGCCGCGGCCACCCAGAGGCTGTGGCTCGGTTCCGGTGGGGCGGACCCCGACCCGGCACCGTCAGGGGCACCGGCTGGGTGGGGAGTCCCCGTGAAGCTGGGGGAGGGCCCCCTCAGGTCCGAACAGGTCGGACGGAAAGGGTCCCCGGGCGGCCACCGGAGCACTGAGGGGCCGCGCTCGGCTCTCGGGGCCTAGTCAGGGCTCGCAGCCCCGGCCTTCAGGGGAGGCGGGGCGCATCCCGCCGGCGCCGTCGGAACGGGGAGTTGGGGGGGGGCAAGGAGCTGATCGGGGTCCCCGGTTCCATTACCACGAAGGGTCTCGCGGTCCCCGGCTTCAGCCAATGGGGAGTCTGCTGCGGGAAGGGGTCCCCGGCCGTAGCCAATGGAGGGGGGCGCGCGGCCCACAGTTTGGCCAATGGGGAGGGAGGGACTTGGGAGCGGGTTGCTGCCTCCCCCTTCCCGGTCTGGCCAGTAGGAGGGGAGCGAGGTGGGCGGGGGGACGGAAGGAGGGATGACTGGGAGGACTGCGGGCCGGGAGCCTCTGGCGCGCGCGCCCCCTTCCCGTACGTGCGCGTGGATGCTCGGTCTCATGACCCGGGCATTCGCGCGCCCCGGGAACACCTAGGGCAGGGACTAGTTCGTGGAGGGGCTCGTCTGGTGGCAGTGCATGAGTAGTGGAGGCCCTGCTCAGTTTTTCCTGTGCGAGTGTGTGTGTGTTAATGGAATTAAGAGTGGCAGCACACGCAGGCGCAGTGGGCTCTGATCGCTGGAGGTGGGGGTTCGGAAAGTCCCGTGGGTTTTAGTGCGCAGGCGCAGACCGGGCGAGGCCTCCCGGTGGATGGCTTTTGCGGCTGCGCTGTCCCCCAGCCCCGCCAGCGGCCCCCTCTTCGCCCTCAACCGCCGGTTACATCAGCCAGCGACGAGCAGGGTTACCTGGCGATTGGTGATCCCCGCAGAGTGGGTAACGGGCTGAATGAGTCATGAGGTCGAGGGGATGGGGTGTGGAGGGGATACCCCTCCTCCCACAGTTTTGAGGCGTCAGGCTGCTGAAAATGATTGTCTTTTCTGTTTGGGAGGTAATGTACCTGAGCTAGGTAGTTCCAAAGCTGCACTCCTGGAGCTTTTGCCCTCACAGCTGGCGTGGCTTTTTGGTTAATACTGTAGCATTGATCTGTTGGTAGCCTGCAGCCCTAGCCCCTTTCTCGTTGGTTCTTAGAGCAATTGACAACCATTGTTGATTGAGATCTTTTTGCTGGCATTTGGAGGAAATGTGTTTGCTGGCTTATTAATGTCTATTTTTTTCTTCCTCTACAAGGTGACAGTTTGAAAATCTTATTTATTGGCCGGGCGCAGTGGCTCACGCCTGTAATGCCAGCACTTTAGGAGGCAAAGGTGGGAGGATCCCTTGAGCCCAAGGAGATCGATACCAGCCTGGGCAACACAGATGGGAAATCCCATCTCTACTAAAAATTAAAAAAAAAAAAAGCCAGGAGTGGTGGTTCGTACCTATAGTCTCAGCCACTCGGGAGGCTGAGGCAGGAAGATCACTTGAGCCTTGGAGGTTGAGGCTACAGTGAACTGAGATCACGCCACTGCACCCCAGCCTGGGCAACAGAGGGAGACCCTGTCTCAAAAAAAATAGAAAAATCTTACTGATTAACAATTTTGTAGTCTAAATCAGCATCATCAGGTGGTATATACTTCTAGGATTTAACATTAATTTCATAGTGGTCTAAGAGGGCTTGAACAGACTTAAGTAATTTCTTGTTTTCTTTTATAGGGGACAGAGCACAGGAAAGGGACCCCCACAGTCACCTGTGAGTGTCTTCTCCCACCCTGTTTAAGATACATAGACCTAAAAGATGCATAATGTGGGAATATAGGGCACATTAGGTCTAGATAGAGTCTAATGTACTCAGGAGGGCTGTGGGCCCGGCACACACAAGGCAGAATGAGTAGAGTGCGGCGGGCATTTAGAAAAGAAAATGAGGTGTTGACTGATTACTCCTTTAATTCTCCCTCTTATGTTAACTGACAGGTGTTTGAAGGCGTCTACAACAATTCCAGAATGCTGCATTTCCTTACAGCTGTTGTGGTAAGTTGGTACTTAACCCCCGGGTTGTTTAAGGAACGTAATGCATCTACTTTCTGGAGACACTCTTCTTATTTTTCCCACTCTGCCAGGGCTCCACTTGTGATGTAAAGGTGAAAAATGGTACCACTTATGAGGGTATCTTCAAGACGCTAAGCTCAAAGGTCAGTGTACTCAAATTTAATTATTTTTGGAGTTGCAGAGTAGGAGGAGAATGAAATAGGCTCATTGAAGGTGTCAATTGGGTGATGTCAGAGTATGCCTTTAGTTGTTTCTGTAGGCCTGTGCTGAATAGTGCTGCAGGGAAAAAAGACAAATTTGAGGGCTGGGTACTTTAATGTTAAAATATTTAAGTTTAAATTTTTGTGAGACTTTTGCTAAGTCCTGTGGCTGATGTTGAGAAAACAATGCACTTGGTTCCAAGCATGTTGAGGATGTAGTGTTGTGAAAAGTTTGGGAAGGGTAAGAGAAATCCAGTTCTATTTAAGAGAAATCCAGTTCTATTTTTGCCTTCACTTTTCTTGAAACTGACCCATGGGTGTGGGGAATGGGGTGTTTGTAGTTTGAACTAGCCGTGGATGCTGTGCACCGGAAAGCATCTGAGCCAGCAGGTGGCCCTCGTCGGGAGGACATTGTGGACACCATGGTGTTTAAGCCAAGTGATGTCATGCTTGTTCACTTCCGAAATGTTGACTTCAACTATGCTACTAAAGGTATTGTCCTAGGCTGTTACCTCAGACCTGCTCTGTGTGCATAGAGGACAGAGGGTAGTTTGTGTGCAGGTGGAACATGGTGATGTGTTTGGTTTGTTTTTTTGTTTTTGTTTGTTTGTTTTGCTTTAATGCCTTTTTTTTCCTGAGCGAAGTGGGTGGATTTTTCTTCTTAAAAATATGTCTTGATGTCTAATATATAATGCGATGAATTCCTGTCTGTGTTGTGGTTCTTCATATTTTCTTTGCTTGGTTTTTAACTTCTTTTTTCTTTGGAATCATAGTACTGATAGACTTTTTATACTCTTCTTCTCTTGCCTCCCCACCCCCTGGCCATCCTAACACACGGGCACACGTACTCTGGACTTCTTAAACTTTGTTCCTGAACTACTTACGGAGAGTGGGGTTGGGGGATATTGGAAAGAAGTCTGTGAAATATAGCCTGACTCCTGATCTTCACCTCTGCCCCCACAGACAAGTTCACCGATTCAGCCATTGCCATGAACTCGAAAGTGAATGGGGAACACAAAGAGAAGGTGCTTCAGCGCTGGGAGGGGGGTGACAGCAACAGCGACGACTATGACCTCGAGTCTGACATGGTATAGCCTCCTTCCCTGAGAACTTGGGAGCTGGACAGACAGAATGGGTTGTTGACAGTGAGGTTCATTTGAGTGGGGAGGGAAATATTTACTGTTGCCCATTGATGGTAGTCAGATAACAAATAGAAAGGTATAGAAAATAGCAAAGTAAAAATATCTATTCTTAGCTGGGTGCAGTGGCTCATGTTTGTAATCCCAGCACTTTGGGAGGCCAAGGCCGGTGGGTCACTTGAGGCAAGGATTTCGAGACCAGTCTGGGCAACATGGTGAAACCCTGTCTCAACAAGATATATAAAAGCTATCAAGGTTTGGTGGCATGTACCTGTAGTCCCAGCTACTTGGGAGGCTGAAGTGGAAGGATCACTTGAGCCCAGGGAGGTCGAGGCTACAGTGAGCTGTGATCATACCACTGCACTCCAGCCTGGGTGGACCGTGTCACACGCAACAAAACCAAAACATCAACTTACTCTCTTACTATCTATAATTAACCACTCCTAGCATTTGCATCACGTTATTTTTCAACATAACAAAAAGTATAGATTAATGTGTAGGCCCATTTCTCTTCCCAAAATCAGCTACTCTGAGGCATTTAAAATCTCATGAGGCTGAGCGCAGTGGCTCATGCCTGTAGTCCCAGCTACTTGGGAGGCCAAGGCAGGAGCTCCGATCACTTGAGCCCAGGAGTTTGAGGCTGCTGTAAGCTGAGATTGTGCCACTGGACTCCAGTCTGAGCGACAGTGAGGATGTCTCAAAAAAATAAATAAAAACCGCTCATGAATAGAGCTGAGCGTGGTGGTCCCACACCTGTAGTCCCAGCTACTCAGGAGGCTGAGGTAGGAGAATCATTTGAAGCTTTGGTGCACTATGACTCAACTTGTGAATGGCCACTGTGCTCCAGCCTGGGCATCATAGCGAGACTATCTGTTGAGAAACAAATGTCTTGTGAATGAATATATTATTGTTTTGTTATGTTTAGTTTGTACAAGAATTTGCTTTTCTTGCCTTTTCGAACTTCTCATGGTTGTACGTAGATCTAGTTCTTTGCTTCTATTGTTGTGTGCTGTTTTCAAATATACACACACACGTGTACACAGCAAATTGTATTTGTCCTTTTCCTTAATCATCTGCATTTGGTTGCCATTATTTTGCTACTAAAAATAGTACCTTGCTGGACTTTTAGAACATATATTCCCCACGCACATGTGCCAGAATTTTTCTGGGATGTCTTGGAAATAGAATTGTTAGGTCTTATGACTTTTCAGGTTTACTAGTTATTGATAATTTCTGCTGCAGTTGTTAGTAATCATTAACAGTTGCAGGCCGGGCGCGGTGGCTCACACCAGTAATCCCAGCACTTTGGGAGGCCAAGGCGGGCAGATCACCTGAGGTTGGGAGTTTGGAACTAGCCTGACCAACGTGGAGAAGCCCCATCTCTACTAAAAATACAAAATTAGCTGGGCGTGGTGGCACATGCCCGTAATCCCAGCTACTCGTGAGGTTGAGGCAGGAGAATCGCTTGAACCCAAGGAGACGGAGGTTGCGGTGAGCCAAGATCGCACCATTGCACTCCAGCCTGGGCAACAAGAGTGAAACTCTTTGTCTCCAAAAAAAAAAAAAAAATTGCAGTTATTAATTACAATTATTAGTTGATTACTTTTGCCAGCCACGTTCCAATTTTTTTTCCACTCTTGTTTTGTCGTTTATTTTTGAGACGAGCTTGCTCTGTTGCCCGGGTTTTTGTTGTAGTTGTTTGTTTTTGTTTTTGTTTTTGTTTTTTTTGGAGACAGGGTCTCACTCTGTCACTCAGGCTGGAGGCTGGAGTGCAGTGGCTCGATCTCAGCTCACTGCAACCTCTGCCTCCCAGGTTCAAGCGATTCTTCTGCCTCAGCCAGGACTGCAGGCATGCGCCACCACGGATGGCTAATTTTTTATTTTTAGTAGAGACGGGGTTTCACCATGTTGGTCAGGTTGATCTCCTGACCTCAGGTGATCCACCCACCTCCCAAAGTGCTGGGATTACAGGCATGAGCCACCACGCCCAGCTAGTCGCCCAGGCCAGAGCGCAGTGGTGCCATAATAATTCACTGCAGCCTCAAACTCCTGGGCTCAAGTGATCCTCTCTCCTCAATCTCCTGAGTAGCGAGTAGCTAGGACCCCAGGCATGCACCACCACACCCGGCTGTTTCATTATTTTTTTCTAGAGATGAGCTCTTGCTGTGTTGCCCAGTCTGGCCTTAAACTCCTGGCCTCAGGAGAGCCTCCTGCCTCAGCTTCCCAAAGTACTGGGATTACAGGTTTCAGCCACTGTGCCCAGCCAATTTGTTCACATCTTGGAGTTTTTAACCTGATGGAAGGGAAGTGACTTGTCGTTGCTTTTCCTGCTGGGTTTTAAAACCACCTTCCTCCCTCCCCAGTCCAATGGATGGGACCCCAATGAAATGTTCAAGTTCAATGAGGAGAACTACGGTGTGAAGACTACCTATGATAGCAGTCTTTCTTCTTATACGTGAGTATCTTGGTGCTCTCCAGGTGATGTGTTGGTGATATGGGGTCACTAAGTGAAGACAGGTTTCCAGGTAGAACATAGTTTTTGCTCATTTTTCTCTGGGTGTCCAGGGTCGCCATCCCTACTCCTACTCTGCCTTGTGGAATTCTTCCCTCAAAGGTTTTAAGCGTCTTAAGTGCTTCTCACATTCCCAGATAAGCCTTGGTGCTCTACCTGGGATGCAGTCGGTGCCCGTTACCCAGATGTTGAAGGGATTAAATACTTCCATGCCTGAACTGGTGATTGGACTTGTTGAAATGTTTTTCCTTTTTTCCTCTTTTGTCCCCTGGCACTGGGATGGTGGTGGTCTGTGGGTGCTGTCTCAGGGTGCCCTTAGAAAAGGACAACTCAGAAGAGTTTCGTCAGCGAGAGCTGCGTGCGGCCCAGTTGGCTCGAGAGATTGAATCAAGCCCCCAGTACCGCCTACGGATCGCCATGGAGAACGACGATGGGCGCACTGAAGAGGAGAAGCACAGTGCAGTCCAGCGGCAGGGCTCAGGGCGGGAGAGCCCCAGCTTGGCATCCAGGTGACTGTTGCAAACAGCCAGGACTACTTGGGGCTTCTGGGAATATCCTGGGGCCTGGGCCCAGAGTTGATGAGTGCTGTGGTTTAAGCCTTGTGACCATGTAAAATGTCATACACAGGTTTAGGAGGTTGAGGTAAAGCGAGATTATGTAATTTGCCTAAAGTAACAAAGCTGGAGCTTGTAGATCTAAAAAAAAAAAATTCAAAATTTATGTGCTATTTCTTTTTATAAAAGTGAAATATAACTACATTATTTGTGTCTTTTAAAAACTATCCCTGGAACTACGGTGTGATCCTACTTTTGTCATAGGTCAGGAGTTGTAGAATTGTGGAGCACTGGCCAGGTTGGTTGGCTCAGAGTTGATGTCACATGAGGTCATAAGTCCGTAGCCACAGAACGTTAAACTAGGGCAGATCTTCAAGTGGGATGGTGCTGGAGCCAGGCAGTGTGTGTATGTTTGGGGGCAGAAGGGGGAGACTTTAGAAGAAGAAATGGCTTCATCTTTCCAAAACGTGGGTTTTGTGGCTACCTGGCCTTATTTGAACTCTTTCCTCAGGGAGGGGAAGTATATCCCTCTGCCTCAACGAGTCCGGGAAGGTCCCCGGGGAGGAGTTCGATGCAGCAGCTCTCGGGGCGGTCGGCCTGGCCTTAGCTCTTTGCCACCTCGTGGCCCTCACCATCTGGACAACAGCAGCCCTGGCCCAGGTTCTGAGGCCCGTGGTATCAATGGAGGTGAGTTATGAGGTGACTTTGAGGAAGAGGGCAGGGAAGGGGATGCCAAGGAGGTGGGAGGGTAATTGGAGGGGTTTGGGTGTGTTGGAATGACGCTGCATCGGTGGGAATGTAATAGGTCGTCTGCCTCCTGACATTTTCTTCTCAAAAAAAAAAAAAAAAACCAAACAGGCCCTTCCCGCATGTCCCCAAAGGCACAACGGCCTCTGAGAGGTGCCAAGACTCTGTCTTCGCCCAGTAATAGGCCTTCTGGAGAAACTTCTGTTCCACCTCCTCCTGCAGGTAAAGCTTTAGTAGTGTTGGATGAAGAAATGGATGGAAATTTGTAAAGAGATGTAAATATGTCCATTTGTTACAGTGCTGGAATGGGAGATAATTTTAAGATAGATGTTTTGGGCATTTGGGATTTAGTCATATTGGGAAATAGTTCTTCGATTTCCCTAGTGCAGAAATCTCAACCTAGCAATCCATGGGTTGTGTCTGCTTGGCAGACATCTTTTGTTTAGATTTGAATCAGTTGCTAAGTTTTGTTTTGTTTTGTTTTTTTCTTTTTTTGAAACGGAGTCTTGCACTGTTGCCTGGGCCAGAGTACGGTGGCGCCATCTCAGCTCACTGCAGCCTCCACCCCTCAGATTCAAGCCATTCTCCTGTCTCAGCCTCCCAAGTAGCTGGGATTACAGGCACCCACCACCACGGCTGGCTAATTTTTTTGTATTTTTAGTAGAAGCGGGGTTTTATTATGTTGGCCAGGCTGATCTCGAACTCCTGACCTTGTGATCCTCCCACCTTGGTCTCCCAAAGTGCTGGGATTACAGGCGTGAGCCACCACACCCTGCCAGTTGCTAACTTTTTAAAACAGGCCGAGGTAGGCAGATTGCTTGAGCCCAGGAGTTTAAGACCAGCCTGGGCAACACGGCAAAACCCTTCTGCAAAAAATAAAAAGATTAGCTAGGCTTGATGGCGTGCACCTGTACTCCCAGCTACTTGCGAGGCTGAGGTGGGGGGAATCGCTTGAGCCCAGGAGGCTGAGGTTGCAGTGAGATGGCATCACACCATTGCACTCCAGTCTGGGGAACAGAGCGATACCCTGTCTCTAAATAAATAAATCAATAGAAGCCATAGAAAATTTTTAGTTTCTTTTGAATTACAGGAAATTCTGTCAACTGAGCTTGCCTTGCTGCGTAGCTTGAGTTGACTGGAACAGAATCCCTGCCACTCCTTTAAGCATTCCAGTTGTCGATGATGCCCATGAGGCCATTTACCTGCTTGTGTTACCTGCCTTGAGCTTCTAGACATTTAAGTTGGTGACTCTGGTTGTATAGTGTGTAAACTTTCTTGCTGTTTTGAGTAAGGCCCTTGTACTCACTGCTGTTGACCAGCAGTAACCATCCTACAGCTCCCCCTTTTCTTCCAGTGGGCCGGATGTATCCCCCGCGTTCTCCCAAGTCTGCTGCCCCTGCCCCAATCTCAGCTTCCTGTCCAGAGCCTCCCATCGGCTCGGCAGTGCCAACCTCTTCAGCCTCCATCCCTGTGACCTCATCAGTCTCAGATCCTGGAGTGGGCTCCATTTCTCCAGCTTCTCCAAAGATCTCCCTGGCCCCCACAGATGGTAAGAGCTAGGTGTTTGAGTGCTGTGAATGCATATTTAGTGTGATTTGTGGTTCTGGACAGAAGGACCTTTAGGCATTTCTCTTTACTTGAACAGTAAAAGAACTCTCTACCAAGGAACCTGGGAGAACTCTGGAGCCCCAGGAGCTGGCTCGGATAGCTGGGAAAGGTGAGGGTGGTTTTTTTTCTGCTGAGGATTAATGCTCCTTTGTCTGGGGGAGAGTATTTCAGTTAGGAAGTTTGTTGGAATTCAGAGGCAAACAATGTCTATCAGTCCTTGGATTATAATTTCACTTCTGTGATCCTCAAGAGTTTCTCTTTTTTCTTTGCTTTCTTGTCCTCTGTTCTTTTGGCACTGTGTAGCCACCTTAGAGAAAGAATGTTTTGTATTTTCTTCTTTTTGACTGTTTTCTCATAGTCCCTGGTCTTCAGAATGAACAGAAACGATTCCAACTGGAAGAACTGAGAAAGTTTGGGGCCCAGTTTAAGGTGAGAGAAGAGTGAGCTGGGATATTAGCAGGGTAAAGGGGTTGGGAGTGGTTCGTAGATGAGGCAAAGGACTAGATAGGAGTCAAAGAGATGAGATCAAAAAAGGATGAAAGAAGAAAGCCAGGACTAGGGTCTGGGTCAGACTGGACTGTGTGTGTTTCTCTCTTCCAGCTTCAGCCCAGTAGCTCCCCTGAGAACAGCCTGGATCCTTTTCCTCCCCGGATCTTAAAGGAGGAGCCCAAAGGAAAGGAGAAAGAGGTTGATGGTCTGTTGACTTCAGAGCCCATGGGGTCTCCCGTCTCCTCCAAGACAGAGTCCGTATCGGATAAGGAGGACAAACCACCCCTGGCACCATCAGGAGGCACTGAGGGGCCAGAGCAGCCCCCACCACCTTGTCCAAGCCAAACTGGCAGCCCCCCGGTGGGCCTCATCAAGGGAGAAGACAAAGATGAGGGCCCTGTTGCTGAGTGAGTGGAGCGGGGTGGGGCTCTGGGAGGATGGCAGGAGGGATGAGAGCAAGCCGTGAAGATTTACTGTACTTTCTCTCACAGACAAGTAAAGAAATCAACGTTGAACCCTAATGCTAAGGAGTTCAATCCTACAAAGCCTCTGCTGTCTGTGGTGAGCTGGGACAGGAGAATGTGGACTTTGGTTTCTGTGGGGAGACTTGGGCAGTGCTTATAGATGAATAGGGGGAGGAACACTTCACTTCCAGGACCACTTGCCTGGCAGGCAGTGTGAGGAGATGTCATAAAAATGTAAGGATGGCACCTTTGGGGCTGGCTTGGGGAAAATGGACTCAGGTCTCTAGGTTTGGGTGATCAGGGGATCAGGGATCCCAGTGAGTCTGATGAGGGGTTAACAGGCTTTTCTTTGGTTCTTGGCATTTGGCTGAGGGAGTATTGGAGTGGGGTAGTCATGAACAGAGGCCAGCTGACTTGGCTTGAGCCCCTGTATTTGGAAGGTTTGTGATCTTGGACGTCACTTACATTCTCTGCCTCACCTGTAACTTTAGAATACTCATCTCCTCATAGGGTTTAATGTGAGGCTTTATCAAGATAAGTGCAGAATATGTTTGGTATGCAGCATTTCACGAATGTTAATTATTACCACTCTAGGCATGGCCAGGAGTAGAGGGGAAAATACAAAATAAAATTGTCCTCCCTTGTTTTTGCAGAATAAATCCACCAGTACCCCAACTTCTCCGGGGCCCCGGACTCATTCAACTCCCTCCATCCCGGTGCTGACAGCAGGCCAGAGTGGGCTATACAGCCCCCAGTACATCTCCTACATACCTCAGATCCACATGGGACCAGCTGTGCAGGTATGCAGAGAGACTGGCCGGGCCCAGGGTTAGCGGGGTGGGATTTGGTTGCGCTGGTTGAGGGACCAGGTCAGGCCTGTCTGGGCATTCGTGAGCGAGTCATTCAGCCTCATCTGTGTCCTCATCCCCAGGCACCTCAGATGTATCCATATCCTGTATCCAATTCAGTGCCTGGGCAGCAGGGCAAGTACCGGGGAGCAAAAGGTGAGCAGGGCTGGGAGGGGCAGGCGGCGAGGCTGCCAAGGGCCTACTGGCAGGTGGAGCTTGAGCTCTCCTCTCCTCCTCCTCTTCCAGGCTCCCTTCCTCCGCAGCGCTCGGACCAACACCAGCCAGCCTCAGCCCCGCCGATGATGCAGGCCGCCGCGGCTGCTGGCCCGCCTCTGGTGGCTGCCACGCCCTATTCTTCCTACATCCCCTACAACCCTCAGCAGTTCCCAGGCCAGCCAGCCATGATGCAGCCCATGGCCCACTACCCCTCACAGGTGACTGCGGCCCAGGAGGGCAGTGAGGATCCAGGGCCCCTGCTAGGGATCCCATCTTCTCCAGAGACTTGGGAGCTGGCTAGGGGTGGCAGGCAGTGTTGTAGGTGGGATCGGCCCTCTGTGGTATTGGCGGTGTCAGACTTGGGCTTGAGCCCTGGCTCTGGTGGTACCTGTAACAAGGCATTGGACATCTGTATCTCTGAAGTGTAGAGAAAATAGTGTCTGCTGGGTGGGATCGTTATGAATGTTGAATCAATAGGGTGATTGTGAGGAGGCCCAAGCGGTGCTGTGCACGCAGTGACTGGCAGGAGGACACCTTCCCAGCTGGCGGCTGTGCCAACCACTCCTCTCTCTGTCCCGCCAGCCGGTGTTTGCCCCCATGCTTCAGAGCAACCCACGCATGCTGACGTCGGGCAGCCATCCCCAGGCCATCGTGTCATCCTCTACCCCTCAGTACCCTTCTGCAGAGCAGCCTACCCCCCAAGCCCTTTATGGTGAGTCCTGCGCCTGGTCCCTCTGCTCTGGGCTGTGTGCCAGCCCCCTCTGGTGTGCTCAGCACTGGTTCTCCCTCTTTCCTGCTGCAGCCACTGTTCACCAGTCCTACCCACACCATGCCACACAGCTCCATGCCCACCAGCCGCAGCCGGCTACCACGCCTACTGGAAGCCAGCCGCAGTCCCAGCATGCGGCCCCCAGTCCTGTCCAGGTGCCTGCCATGGGGGGTGCTGAGTGGTCCTGGTGCAGGAATGGGTGGCCAGAAGAAGGGATAGAGCTAGGGGTCATTTCTGAGTGGCGAGGACTGGGGGCCAGCGAGTTGCTGGCCTGTGTGGCACTCAACCTTCCCCTCCCCAGCAGCATCAGGCGGGGCAGGCCCCACACTTGGGCAGTGGACAGCCACAGCAGAATCTGTACCACCCAGGGGCCCTGACAGGCACGCCGCCCTCTCTGCCACCGGGACCTTCTGCCCAGTCCCCTCAGAGCAGCTTCCCCCAGCCAGCCGCTGTGTATGCCATCCACCACCAGCAGCTGCCCCACGGCTTCACCAACATGGCCCATGTTACCCAGGTAAGAGCCCAGCTGTCCCACTTCTGGGTCTGTTTGCCAGGGCCCGTCTGCCATGGGGACCATCCCATTGCCAAGTCCCTGGTGCCACCCTTGCCATAGTGCTCCCTAACTCTGGCTCTCAGAGTCTGTTTCAGGATTCTGTGGTCTTCCCGGCTACTTTTTTGTTTTCCACAGGCCCATGTCCAAACTGGAATCACAGCAGCCCCGCCCCCTCACCCTGGGGCTCCCCACCCGCCCCAGGTGATGCTGCTGCACCCACCCCAGAGTCATGGGGGGCCCCCCCAAGGCGCGGTGCCCCAGAGTGGGGTGCCTGCACTCTCAGCTTCCACACCCTCACCCTACCCCTACATCGGACACCCCCAAGGTGAGCAGCCTGGCCAGGCGCCTGGATTTCCAGGAGGAGCCGATGACAGGATTCGTGAGTTCTCATTAGCTGGGGGAATTTGGCATGGAAGAGCTGAGGGGCTGCAGGTGGGGCAGGATGCACGGGTTCTGGGTGGGGAGTGAGGGGTCTTGGAGGCAGGGCTGTCCCACAGGGCGCCCGCCGACCTGCACCTGTCTGTGAAGTATGTAGGGTGGGCAGAAGCCACAGTCGCCGCCGCCAGGGGCTTGCTCCTGGCTCTGTCCTTTGCTTCCCTCCGTCCTCGCTCAGTTGTGATCCAGCAGCCCCCCTCCCCACTGCCTCCCCAGCTCTCAGTGACCCCGACTGTCTCCTGACTTAGCCGAGGTAAGGTCAGTGCAGCAGACAGGGCCAGACTGGGGTGTGGGGGGCTGAGCTGGGCACATGAGTGAGGGCTCTGGCTTACTGGGAAACAGCGATTGACCTGTGCTTCTGACAGCCCCCGAGACACCTTGAGGAGGCCGCTCCTTCCCAGACACACCCCCACGCCCCCACTGGACGGCATTGGAGGAAGGGACAGCTGCTTGGGTTCTAATGCTCCTGCTCTCTTCTCTTTCCCCTCCAACCAGTTCAATCTCATCCCTCCCAGCAGCTCCCCTTCCACCCCCCGGGGAACTGAAGATTGTCCTGGCCGCGACCTGAGACCTCCATGAGTGGAGGGAAGAGTGATCTATGTCTCTTCCCCCAGCAGCTCGGACCACTCCCAGCCCCCCATCCCCCCGTTCCCCAGGGGAGCTGGGGAATTCCTGCCAAGCACCTTGAATGGGAGGGGCCTCACAGAGGGCAGGGCCAGGGTCCAGCAGGGGTGGGGGGTTCCTGCTCTGCCCCTGCCCGTCCCCACCCAGTCTTGCCCTCCCATCCTCTCATCTATTCCCCCGCTGGAGACGGAAGATCTTTTATTTTCTATTATTTATAACTTCAGACTTGGGCCCCCTGTTCTTTCTTTCCCATTAACTTGAGTGACCTGTGTGAGAGACAGACAGATGCCCCACGAGGATGGCTGGACAAGGACTTTTACTTTTTATTACATAAAAATATTAAAAAATAAATAAAAAAAATAAAATTTTAAACTAACTTAACCTGCCTGGAGTTTCCTCCTTGGAGACTAGAGTGGGGTGACAGCTGTCAGTCTTTTGTGGCATTGATAGGTGCTGCATTGTGACCTGTTCCTTCACCTCCATGTAAAAATCGTGTCCAGTGGCCAGCCATGGTGGCTCACGCCTGTAATCCCAGCACTTTGGGAGGCTGAGGTGGGCAGATCACCAGGTCAAGAGATGGAGACCATCCTGGCCAACTTGGTGAAACCCCATCTGTACTAAAAATACAAAAATTAGCCAGATGTGGTGGGACATGCCTGTAATTCCAGCTACTTGGGAGGCTGAGGCAGGAGAATCACTTGAACTCGGGTGAAACCCTGTCTCTACTAAAAATACAAAAATTAGCCTGGCGTGGTGGGACATGCCTGTAATCCCAGCTACCTGGGAGGCTGAGGCAGGAGAATCACTTAAACCCAGGAAGCGGAGGTTGCAGTGAGCTGAGATCACTCCATTGCACACCAATGGTGGCCAGTTTTTGAAATCTAGGATGATGGGGAGCCAGATCGGGATCCTGTGCCATGCATTTGAAGGTGGGTTCCAGACTTCATGTGAAGTTGTGTAGTTGATGACTGAGGTTCTGGATGACCGGATGGCTAAAAGCACGTGAGATGGGAGTCCGCTTCCCAGGATGGGACAGCAGTGGCACAGTTCCCAAGGATGCTGTCCCTGACTGGCTCTGGAACTGCTACATAGATAGCTCACCCAGCTGTCTAGTGACTATTTTCTCATCTTGAACTTGGCTTCATCTCAAGGTGTGATTCAAAGTTTCATTTCTAATATGAGTATCTCATGAATTACATACACCTCTTTATGTTGAAGGGTGAATGTTTATGGTCATTGGAATTAAAATCCTGATGGATGTGCAGCTGACTGTGGATGAGAGCTGTAAAGGTGAAGCTGTTAGTGGGAGAAGAGGGGAGAGGATTGGTTGGGAACTGGGCTTACTGGGGAGCAAGAGCAAAATTAGGCATTATGGGTGGGACAAGAAGATTGAAGCATGGGATGTGGAAATGACAGCAGGCTCCAGAGGAGGTAGTTTTTCAAGGAGGTTGAGAATTCTCTCGGAGACTTGACCTTGGTTTCCTTGCCTAAAATGGAGGTGATTTCACCTTTCCAGGATTTTAAGGAAGTGGCTGGTGCTCAGTGGTAGACGGGTGTTTCAGCTCTCACCAAAGCCAGAGAAAGCTGGCTGAGACCAGGACAGGAAGAGTGAAGGCTACAGTATTGGGGAAGAATCCCAGCATATGCAGATTTGGAACTTGGTAATAGGTGTACATGGTGGGGTGGAGAGAAGGGGTTATTAAAGAGGTTAAAAAAAAAAAAAAAAAAAAGGACTTTATGTGGTAGCCACTTGGATGCTAAAAATGGGCGGGGTTGGAGTCCCAAGAGCACTCAGCAGGTAGATGTGGGGTGGTGCAGGAGCTGCAAGGCTTCAGCTGGGCTCAGGATATTTGAAGTGTAGATGGAGAGACAGGTATCTACTATGAAATATGGCAAGTATTACTGGGTAATCTTTCAATTTTTTTTTTTTTTTTAAGAGACAGAGTCCCATTATGTTGGCCAGGCTGGTCTTGAACTCCTGGGCTCAAGCAGTTCTGCCTTGGCCTCCCAAAGTGCTGGGGATTACAGGTGTGAGCCACCACACCCAGCTGAGTAGTCATTTTGATGCTTTCTGGAAGGACTGCAGATTGTACAGCAGTCCGCCCGCATCTGGGGGGGATGTGATCTGAGATCCCCAGTGGATGCCCATAGTACCAAACCTTATGTATACTATGTTTTTTCCTATAGCTATGATGAGGTTTAGTTTCTAAATTAGGCACAATACTCTTGTGCTTCGGGGCCATCACTGAGTAAATCAGGGCTACTTGAACACAATCATTGGAGTGCTGTAACGGTCAATCTGATAACCAGCACGGCTACTAAAGTGACTAACAGGCAAAGGGATGGTTCACGTCCTGACAGGATGGATGGAGCAGGATGGCAAAAGATTTCATCATACTACTCAGAATGGTGCTCAACTTAAAATCTGAACTGTTAAATAGAAAATTCTAGGCCAGGTGCGGTGGCTCACACCTGTAATCCTAGCACTTTGGGAGGCTGAGGTGGGTGGATCATGAGGTCAAGAGATCGACACCATCCTGGCCAACATGGTGAAACCCTGCCTACTAAAAATACAAAAATTAGCTGGGCATAGTGGCGCATCCCTGTCGGCCCAGCTACTTGGGAGGCTGAGACAGGAGAATGGCTTGAGCCCGGGAGGTGGAGGTTGCAGTGAGCAGAGATCGTGCCACTGCACTCTGGCCTGGCGACAGAGCGAGACTCTGTCTCAGGAAAAAAAAAAAAAAAAAAAGAAAATTCCAGCTGGGTGCGGTGGTTCACGCCTGTAATCCCATACTTTGGGAGGCCGAGGAAGGTGGATTATTTGAGGTCGGGAGTTCGAGATCAGGTTGGCCAACATGGTGAGATGCCATCTCTACTAAAAATACAAGTTAGCCAGGTGTGGTGGTGGGTGCCTGTAATCCCAGCTACTTGAAGGCTGAGGCAGGAGAATCACTTGAACCCGGGATGCAGAGGTTGCAGTGGGCCGAGATCGTGCCACGGTACTCCAGCCTGGGTGACAGACACTGTCTCAAAAAAAAAAAAAAAAAAATTCCAGAAATAATCAGACCAGTGTTGACAGTGGATAACTGAAACCAGGGATAAGGGCAGAGACTACTGTATGTTTACCATCTTTGAGCAGAAATCTCAAAGTTGGAAGGGAACTTAGCCTTCAGCCAGCCAGAAATTCCTCTTGGCAGCCCGTCAGCCTTGCCTTGAGCACTGAGGAGAAGACAAATCTGCCCTGTCATTGGACTTCTTTTTGCAAAGTTCTTCCCTCTTCCTCTTCTCTCACCCACTTCCCTTAGTTTGCCTCTGTTCTGGAGTCAAAAATCAGGTTTTGCATTTTCTCAAAACAGCTCTTAAGTTGGGCCCAAGAGCCCTCCCTTCTGGGAGCTCATCTTAGCCATCCTGGGTGTGTATTCATTTGTCAGGATGCATTTGTGATAGGGGTGCCTGTTAACCTCTGCCGAGCCTTGCTTTGCTTGGTGTCGGCATCCTTGCCAGTCATCACTCCCAAGTTTTTGAAATTCACTCATAGTTTATTCCCTGCATATTAGAGAAGTGGCCTTTTTCTTTCTTTTTTTAAATTTATTTTTTCTTTCCTTTTTTTTTTTTTTTTTTTTGAGAAGGAGTCTCACTGTGTTGCCCAGGCTGGAGTGCATTGGCGCAATCTCGGCTCACTGCAACCTCCGCCTCCCTGGTTCAAGTGATTCTCCTGCCTCAGCCTCCCAAGTAGCTGGGATTACAGGTGCCTGCCACCACGCCCGGCTAATTTTATTTTTAGTAGAGACGGGGTTTCACCATCTTGGCCAGGCTGGTCTTGAACTCTGACCTCATGATCCACCCGCCTCGGCCTCCCGAAATGCTGGGATTACAGGCGTGAGCCACCGCGCCTGGCTATTTTTTCTTTTTTATATAGAAACAGAGTCTCCCTATGTTGCTCAGGCTGCTCTGGAACTCCTGGGCTCAAGGGATCCGCCTGCCTCGGCCTCCCAAAGTGCTGGGATTACAGGCATGAGCCACCACGACCGGCCTTTTTCTTTTCTTTTGAGACAGAGTCTCACTCTGTCGCCCAGGCTGGAGTGCAGTGGCGCAATCTCGGCTCACTGCATCCTCTGCCTCTCGGGTTCAAGTGATTCTTGTGCCTCAGCCTCCTGAGTAGCTGAGACTACAAGCGCAAGCCACCATGCCTGGCTAATTTTTTTTTTTGAGACGGAGTCTTACTCTGTTGCCCAGTCTGGAGTGCAATGGTGTGATCTTGGCTCACTGCAACCTCTGCCTCCCAGGTTCAAGCGATTCTCCTGCCTCAGCCTCCCAAGTAGCTGGAATTACAGGCGCCTGCCACTACGCCTGGCTAATTTTTGTATTTTTAGTAGAGACGGGGTTTCATCATAATGGCCAGGCTGGTCTCGAACTCCTGACCTCAGGTGATCTGCCTGCCTTGGCCTCCCAAAGTGCTGGGATTACAGGCGTGAGCCACCGTGCCTGGCCTCGGCTCAAGTATTTTTAAATCAAGTTTTCTTAGACATTACACACTTAATAAGTTGACCCTTAAGTGATTGGGGTTCAAACTGCACAGATCCACTTACATGTGAATTTTTTCAAATACAAGTTACACCGAGTCTGCCTGTCTCCCCTTTGGCCTCCTCCTAAGAAACGTGAAGACAATGAGGGCCTTTATGATGATCCACTTCCACTTGATAGTGAATATATTTTCCTTATGATTTTCTTAACACCTTCTCTAGTTTTATTGTTTTTTTGTTTTTTTTTGAGATAGAGTCTCGCTCTGTCACCCAGGCTGGAGTGCAGTGGCGCGATCTCAGCTCACCGCAACCTCCGCCTCCTGGATTCAAGCAATTCTCCTGCCTCAGCCTCCTGAGTAGCTGGAATTACAGGCATGTGCCACCACACCCGGCTAATTTTTTTGTATTTTTAGTAGAGACAGGGTTTCACCATGTTGGCCAGGCTGGTCTCGAACTCCTGACCTTGTGATCCACCCACCTCAATCTCCCAAAGTGCTGGGATTACAGGCGTGAGCCACCGCGCCCGGCCACTCTCTAGTTTTAAGAATACAGTATATAATACATATAACACACAAAGTATGTGTTTGTATGCTATCAGCGAGGCTTCTGGCCAGCAGCAGGTTACTAGTTACATTTTGGGGGAGTCAAGTTATATGTGAGGAGCCAGACACGGTAGCTTACACCTCTAATCCCAGCAGTTGGGGAGACCAAGGTTGAGCCCAGGAGTCCAAGGCTGCAGTGAGCTAGGATGGTGCCACCGCACCCAGCCTGGGTGACAGTGAGACCCTATATCTCTTTTTTTCCCTTTGTTCAGCCTCCCCATAGAGACCGTCGAAAATTGCCAATGCTGATTATATTTCAAGTCATCATGGAGTCATTGGCTATGATACTGCCACTGCACAAAGCTGGCCCCATCTCAAAAACAAGTTATATGTGGATTTGTGGCTGCATGGAGGAGGGCTGACACCCCTAACCCCTGCATTGTTCAAGGGTCAACTATAATATAAACATAACTTCACTGAGAAATCAAAAAATTTGTGACCTGCTTTATTGTGGTAGTCTGGAAGCAAACCTACAGCATCTGAGGTATGCCTGTCCAGTCCCTGTTCCCACAGAATGTGAATGGATGCTAGACATTCACTTAGTATTCCGAGGAAACAAGATGGGTTTGGCACCTGAGCTGAAGCCATGCTGGCTCCAGAGCGATAGAACATTCTTTCCCACTATCTCCCAGGAGGCTGAATAACGGCATCCTACTGTGTCTAGGCAATCACTAAGCTCACTGGACTTGATTTATCCGTTAAAACTGCTCTGGGATCTCACAAGCTCCCCATCTGTCTGGGGTTCAACACCCTTTTTGTCCTCCCCTATCCTCTCCAATTTGCACAAAGGACACAGGACACAGGCTGGCTTACTATTCAAAGTTTACTGACCTCCCCAGCCAGGCAGGCCAACCCTTCCGAGCAGGGGAAATGTCCATCTAGCTGCCCTCTGCTGGGTTGCAGCCTATGCCATGAGAGGGTACTGGAAGCAGGAGGGAGCCCTGGCTAGGGCAGGCCTTAAACGCAAGGGAAGCTGAGCAGAGATCTGCACACTCAACCCCATTTGATATTCTTCTCCTCCTCAGTCATGGCCAGCGTGTTGGTGACTAGACCGGTGCCAATAGTCCGGTTGCCATCTCGCAGGGTGAAACGCTGGCCTTTCTCTAAGATCATTGGCTGCCGCAAGATTAGGTTGAACTTCAGGTCCTCCCCGGGCATGGCAAGCTCCTAGAGTAGGAAGAGAAGGATCATGCGTGGCCTCCAGGGTGCCTTCATTCCTTAAGTCTTTTTTGGCTACCTCGGAGGTTAAGAGTCATGGGAGAATGCAGCAGGGGAATGGTTCTGCCTGGGGACAGCTTCATCCATCCCAGGCTGTCAGGCAGATGCAAACAGCATATTGAGACAGGAAAACATAAAAGAGACCAGTGATGAGTGTTCCTAAGGTATGTTCTTGAGAAAAAAATGTCTAGGAAGTTGTGGGTTATGCAGGTTTCTTGGTCACAGAACTTCTTAAGCCTTCATATATAATGAAACGCTCAAAAAGAAGAGACCTTTTCTAGGAAATCTTTCTGTGGGTACATGCTGGCAGAGCTAAACTTTTAACCTGCTTCAGCTTAGGGCACACTGGATGAGGACTCCCGCCCCTAAGTCCATGGGCCATGCCCCTTCTGTTGGCTAGCAGCGGCAAGCAGCCCCTTTCCACCTAAGGAAATAAAGCCACTCGGGTTGTCACAGTGTATCTTTGGAACTATGAGTGAAGCAAAGGTAATATAAAAAGTCCCCCCTCCACCCTACATTCCTCCCACCCACCGTACCTTCTCTGGGGGCAGGATAATCCGACAGGCCATGTCCCAAGTCAGGGAGAACATGACAGGCATGAAGTGGGACACAAAGGGCTTGTGGCGGCCACCTTCCTCCTTGCTGAGGATGTAAACCTGGAGGAGAGCAAGCAATGACGGTGAGCTGGGCTTGGCTGGAGGCTGGGGAGAGCTTGGCTCAACCCTGCCCACCGTCACCTGGAGCCCTCACCTGGGCCTCCACCTTCTGGTGGGGCTTGATGGAACCTGGCTTGACCATGACCAGGCCCCGCCGCAAGTCCTCCCGCTTCAAGCCTCGGACCAGGGCCCCGAGGTTATCTCCGGCCTCGGCCCTCTCCAGGCTCTTGTGGAACATCTCAATGCCTAGGACGGAAAGGGAAAAGGAGCAGGGAGAAGGAAGGCGAATGTGAGACAGAGGGAAGGCACAAGGGATCTGCCGGGGTAAGGCCACCCTTCAGCCAGGCCCTGCTCTCCAGACTGGCTTCCCAAACCTGTCACCACAGTGCGGATGTTCTTGCTATGTCCTAGGAGCTCACACTCGTCTCCCTTCTTTAAAATGCCACGCTCTAGTGTACCTGTCACCACGGTGCCACGGCCTGGGAGGGAATAAGACAGGATATCAGGGACCCCGAGCTAGGCTTCTGCTAGAGAGAGTGCGTGGGAACAGACAGAGTCCTCACCAGGGACGGAGTACACCGCCTCCACAGGCAGCAGGAAAGGCTTCTCCAGGTCCCGGGCGGGCACTGGGATGTAAGTGTCCACAGCATCCAGTAGCTTCTGCACAGACTTCAGGCCTAACTCAGGGTCCCGACCCTGTTGAGGGGAAGTGCCAGGACTCTGAAATCCCCATTCTACTTCCCTCGATTATCAAGAGCCACTTCCCAGACACAAAGCAGAGCTCTGGGTGCCCATCCAGCCCCACCCTCTGCAGCAGCTGCCCTGCCTGACCCCGCGTTCACCTCAAGGGCACAGAGAGCAGAGCCTACGATGACTGGGGTCTCCTCCCCTTTATAGCCAAACTCGGTGAGCAGCTCCCGGATCTCCAGTTCCACCAGTTCCACCATCTCAGAGTCCTGGACAGCGTCAGCCTTGTTCACATACACCACCACATGCTCCACCCCAATCTGTAGATGCCAGAGAGACAGGGACAATATACAGAGGGGCCCAACTCCCCACTCTTCCCTTTTGCATCCTTACCCAGGCTCTGAGTACCTGTCTGGCCAGTAATAAGTGCTCTCGGGTCTGGGGCATGGGGCCGTCATTGGCTGCTACCACCAGGATGCAGCCGTCGAGGGGTGCAGTGCCTGTGATCATATTCTGGAGAGGAGAAGGAAAGGAAACAGCCAAGTTCAACGAGCTCTTCAGTTCACATCCATATAGCCAAGTGTAGCAGTTAGAAACTCAGGCCCACCTTTCTCTACCATCTCCTCACCACCCATTCTGCGTGGCCAAGACCACAAACCTGCCATCTCATACCCAAACACTGAATATCTTAATCTCCTCCCCACAAGCCTAACATTTATCCTGACAAGAGGCAGCTTCTGGCCCTGTCTCCAGTGTCCCAGCAACCCTCACCTTAACATAATCTGCATGACCCGGGCAGTCTGTGTGGGCGTAGTGGCGGGCGGCAGTGCTATACTCCACATGAGCCGCATTGATGGTGATACCCCGAGCTCGCTCCTCCGGGGCATTGTCAATCTCCTCGTACTTCTTGAACTTAGCCCCACCTCCCTCAGCTAGAACTAAAGGAGGAAAAGAACACACCTCTCAGCTAAAGTTCCAGTGCTAGAGGCAGAGCTTAGACCACGCCCCTGAACCCTCCCACCTAAATACATAACCTCCTCCAATCTCTAACTCTTCCAGCAGAGAGAACTGTGGGTCAGAAAGAAATGTTAGAGGGCCTTAAGGGTCTGCCCTGTGACTTCTTTAGGGTACAGCCTCTGCTTGCAGAGCATTCCCCACGACTTTGTGATCCCCAAGCCATTGGTGGATCACAAAGTTCTTCCTGTTCAGGAGAAATTTGTCTCTTGCATCTCCCAATCCACCTGTCGCACAAATTCGGGCTCTTGGGGCCACAGTAAACTCCTCCAGCAGACACTCTGCTGGCCTTGCCTCCCTGGCTCCAGGTCCCATCAGTAGATAGGGCGCTGCTGGACGCCCCAACCCCACTCACTCTTCGTGATGGCTGCAGTCAGCGTGGTCTTCCCGTGGTCCACATGGCCGATGGTACCCACATTCACATGTGGCTTGTCGCGCACGTAAGTCTTCTTGGCCTCCACGGCCAGGCCGCGGCACAAGAGAGGCAATGCCGGGGCTTTCAGCAGCCGCAACAGACCCTGCAGCAGGAAGGTCCGGCCGGCGGCGAGACCTGCCGGGACCGAAGCTTGGAGTCAGGCAGGGAAGGGGTCAGACCGAACCCAGCCACCTACCACTCCCCCAAAGTGTTCCTGGGCCGCCATCGCCCTCCCTGACCACTCACCGCTGAAGTGGGGCGTCGCGCGCAGCAGGGTGGCGGCCGCCATTGTGGTCATACTCGCGCCCCGGTAACCGGGGAGCCGGGACCAGGAGCCCGAGCGCACAGAAGAAGAAGGGCGCCTGCGGCTGGAAGGCACTTCCGGCGGAAGTTAGAGCTGGGAGGGCAAGTCCGGGCCCCTCTAGCCGCCAGTGTCTATGGCCGTCTCAGCCGACGTCGGGCGCGCGGCTGAAGACGTCATGGAGGGGGCTGGTGTCTCGAGGGCGGAGTATGATGGAGAGGTTTTCCACCACTCGCGCCTCTCGGGCTGAGGGGCAACGTAGTTCTCTCTGGCGGTCGCAGGGGGCACTGAGGAGCGTCCCCTAAATCACCGGCGCCGCGAAGGCTCATGGGCGTAGTAGTTCTCAGGTCGGCGGGCTGTGGAGGTGATCAGAGTGGGAGTCAGGCGGGCTAGGCCGGACCCGGAGGGAGGGGCTCGGGCTCCGGGAGGCAGCTGCGGCTCCGACTGCTCAGGAACCTCCTCCTGGGCCCGGCAGAGAGAGACCCCGAGTCCCCCGGAGTCCGACTCGCTACGCGGGTCTTGCGAGATATCTGGCCGCCTCTGCCGCAGCTGGAGGTAGGGGACCAGGTCCTGGACGCCTTTCGGGGATGGGGTGAAGTGTGACCTCCCTCTTCGCTGAGACTTTGTTTTCTAATCTGTAAAATGGGAATAGTAGTATCCACTTCATAGGGAGAGCCTGACATCTAGCCCTGAGAGGAGATGAACTGGGTAGGAGTCAGTGTTGGGCCCTGTGAGGTCAGGCAGCTTGCGGGGACCCTGTACTGCTAGACCTCACAGGGCCAGAGCCCACAAGACAGACAGCTTCGCTGCCCACCCCTGTAGTCCCTCAGCAGCCTAAGGAGCAGTTCCGTTGGGCATCGCCCCACCCATCTAATTTTGCAGATGAGGAGCCAAGGATGAGGAGCCAGCTAGGGGAGCCTTTAAGGGGAGCCTGAGTCTCCTTTAATCTGTCGGTGTCCCCAGCACCTAACAGGGTGGAGCATGCAGTGAATGTTGAATGAATGGGTGCAAGGGTAGTCAATGTCCCTTAACTTTCACATCCATCATCTCATGGCAGCTTCCACAGGGCACTCCAAAGTGTTAATTATGGCTGCTTAACCCTGGCTAATGTTTCGGAACTCATCAGATCCTGAGACTCAGTGGACAGTGTTTGTTTCAAATAGATTCCCTAATTCCTCCCCTGGAGGTTATGATTCCGTGGGGTCTATGCACAGACTGGGAAGCTATATAACAAACACTCTTCTAAAACTGAGAAGAGGCTGGGCACGGTGGCTATAGTGCCAGCCTATAGTCCCAGCAGTTTGGGAGGCTGAGGTGGGAGGACGGTTTGAAGCCAGGAGTTCAAGACCAGCCTGGGCAGATTAGGAGACCCTATCTCTACAAAAAAAAATTTAAAATTAGCCAGGCACAGTAGCATGCAGCTATAGCCCCTCCTACTCAGGAGGCCGAGGCAGGAGGATCGCCTGAGCTCAGGAGTTCAAGGCTGTGGTGAGGTATGATCATGACACTGCACCCCACCGTGAGTGACAGAGAAAGACCCCATCTTTTTTTTTTTTTTTTTTTTTTTTTTGGAGACAGAGTCTCACTCTGTCGCCCAGGCTGGAGTGCAATGGGGCGATCTCGGCTCACTGCAACCTCCACCTCCTGGGTTGAAGCAATTCTCCCACCTCAGCCTCCTGAGTAGCTGGGACTACAGGCATGTGCCACCACGCCTGGCTAATTTTAGTATTTTTAGTACAGATGGGGTTTCACCTCGTTGGCCAGACGGCTCTCGAACTCCAGACCTCAAGTGATCCGCCCATTGTGGCCTCCCAAAGTGCTGGGACTACAGGCGTGAGCTACCACGCTCAGCCAAGAAAGACCCCATCTCTATAAAAATATTTTGGCCAGGCGTGGTGGCTCACACCTGTAATCCTAGCACTTTGGGAGGCCGGGCGGGTGGATTGCTTGAGTTCAGGAGTTCGAGAACAGCCTGGGCAACACGGTGAAACTCTGTCTCTACTAAAATACAAAAAATTAGCTGGGCGTGGCAGTGTGCACCTGTAGTACCAGCTACTCAGGAGGCTGAGGCAGGATAATTGTTTGCACCCGGGAGGCGGAGCTTGCAGTGAGCTGAGATGGTGCCACTGCACTCCACCCTGGGCGACACAGCGAGACTCCGTCTCCAAAAAAAAAAATTTTTTTTCAAATGAAAACTCAGAGGAGTTTAGGAAACTCTGAACTAGAGCTTTATGATGTTCAGGCATTCCTATTGTTTCACAATCAGCGCTCCCAGTGCTACCCTGGGTAGTAGGAACTATTATTTCCTCCATTTTGCAGGTGTGAAAACTGACGGTCAGGGTGATTAAGGAATCCACCACCACTAAACCCCAAAAAGTGTGCACACCGCACTGTCCTTTTTTTTTTTTTTTTTTTTTTGAGACAGAGTCACACTCTGTTGCCCAGCTGGAGTGCAGTGACACGATCTCGGCTCACTGCAACCTCCATCTCCCAGGTTCAAGCGATTCTCCTGCCTCAGCCTCCCGAGTAGCTGGGATTACAGGCGCCTGCCACCACGCCCAGCTAATTTTTGTATTTTTAATAGAGACGGGGTTTCACCATATTGGCCAGGCTGGTCTTGAACTCCTGACCTCAAGTGATCCACCCACCTTGGCCTCCCAAAATGCTGGGATTATAGGTGTGAGCCACCATGCCCAGCCAGACTGTACTATAATTTAACTCTCATTTTACTGCTCAGATAAAGTGAGGAACTTGCTAAGACTTCTCTCTTCCTGGCCCTCCAGTTAATCAGTTCTGCTTAGGAAAGGCTGGTATCATGTGTAGTATAAACAGATTTTGTTTTTGTTTTTTTGACAGAGCCTTGCTGGGTCTCCTAGGCTGGAGCATAGTAGGGCAGTCACAGCTCACTGCAGCTTCAGCCTCCCAAGCTCAATCTACCTCAGCCTCCCAAATAGCTGGGATTACAAGCATACACCACCACACCTGGCTAATTTTTGTATTTTTTGTAGAGATGGGGTTTCGCCATGTTGGCCAGGCTGGTCTCCCAATACCGGGGCCCAAGCCGTCTGCCCACCTTGGCCTCTCAAAATGCTGGGATTACAGGCATGAGCCACTGTGCCCAGCCTAAAAGGGTTTTCTGTTTCTACTCTGTACCTAAGTCACTGTACTCCTAGGAATTTATCCTAAGACACTATTGGCCACTAGCAAGTTATGAGTTTTTGGGGGTGGTATTTGAATTAATGGTTTATATTTTTGTGGTGCTATATTTATTTTAATGTGTATTAGCTTGAAAAAAAACTGGCATAATAATCAAGTTTTTAAAAAAACAGATCAACTTAAAAGAATATTGTTTGGTAGATAATATTATGGATGCACTGGGCACAATGGCTCACACCTATAATCCCAGCACTTTGGGAGGTCGAGGCAGGCGGATCACTTGAGGCCAGGAGTTCGAGACCAGCCTGGCCAACATGGTGAAATCCCGTCTTTACTAAAAATACAAAATTACCTGGGCATGGTGCACGCCTGTAGTCTCAGCTACTCAGGAGGCTGAAGCAGGAGAATCGCTTGAACCCAGGAGGCGGAGGTTGCAGTGAGCCGATATCACGCCATTGTACTCCAGCCTGGGTGACAGAGCGAGACTCTGTCTCAAAAATAAAATAAAAACTATTATGTGTGGTATGAATATATGGCAAATTTTTTGGAAGGTAGTGAATGAATGGCTAGAGTTTGAGAAACACGGTGTTCGGAAAAGAGCCCAGAGAAAATTTTTTCTAGAGCTGTTGACCGTAGCATCCTCTGTATTAGTGAATGGCTCAGTCAGAAGTCTTGACTTACAGATAACAGATTTTACATTGGCTGGCTTAAGCAGAGGAGGGATTTGTTAAGGGTATTAGGCAGCTTACAGAATTGTGGGGCAAACTGGAGAACTAATTCCAAGCCATAGAACTGATTTGACCTGATAAGAAAACTGCTGTTACTGTCACTACCATCAAATGCTACATGCCAGGATATCAACTCGTCTGTTATAGCTACTGCCGGGGGCACTGAAACCACTTCTGCTATTGCTTGAGACCAGGAGTTCGAGACCAGCCTGGGCAAAATAGTGAGACCTTGTCTCTACAAACATAAAAATAAAAAAATTTGCCAGATATGGCAGCACATGCTTGTATAATCCCAGTTACTGGGGAGGCTGAGACAGGAAGATCACTTGAACCCAGGAGTTTGAGGCTGCAGTGAGCAATGATAGCACCACTGCACTCCAGCCTGTGTGACAGTGCCAGACCACGTCTCTAAAACAAAAAGGGCCAGGTGTGGTGGCTCACGCCTGTAATCCCAGAACTTTGGGACGCTAAGGTGGGCGGATCATGAGGTCAGGAGATCAAGACCATCATGGCTAATATGGTGAAACCCCACCTCTACTAAAAATACAAAAAATTAGCCAGGAGTGGTGGCACGTGCCTGTAGTCCCAGCTACTTGGGAGGCTGAAACAGGAGAATCGCTTGAACCCAGGAGGCAGAGGTTGCAGTGAGCCGAGAGTGCGCCACTGCACTCCAGCCTGGGCGACAGAGTGAGCGAGACTCCATCTGAAAAAAAAAAAAAAAAAGGAAATTAAAAAGGGCCGGACGTGGTGGCTCATGCCTGTAATCCCAGCACTTTGGGAGGCCAAGGCAGGTGGGTCACGAGGTCAAGAGATTGAGACCATCCTGGCCAATATGGTGAAACCCGTCTCTACTAAAAAAATACAAAAATTAGCTGGGCATGGTGGCGCTTGCCTGTAGTCCCAGCTACTCGGGAGGCTGAGGTGGGAGACTCGCTCGAACCTGGGAGGTGGAGGTTGCAGTGTGCCGAGATTGCGCCACTGCACTCCAGCCTGCCGACAGAGCAAGACTCTGTCTCAAAAAGAAAAAAAAAAAAACCAACCTATCCAAAACAGGACTCTCCACTTCCTCTCACTCTCCTTATACATCTGAACGTGGGGCACCACTGTTCTCCCCTCCCCTCTCCCCACACCTACGCTCCTCCCCAGTTCTGATTCTCCAAATGGAATCCCCAGTGTGACCCCACGTTTTACTATGTCCTCTGTCAACACTGTGGTTCAATTGGGATCATCTCTCATCCAGGTTACCTCAGGAGCTCTCCAGTGGGTCTCCTGGCTTCTGTTCTCATTCCCAACGCCTTTCTTCTTTTTTTTTTTTTTTTCCAAGATGGAGTCTTGCTCTGTCACCCAGGCTGGAGTGCAATGGCACAATCTTGGCTTACTGTAACCTCCGCCTCCCGGGTTAAAGCGATTCTCCTCCTGCCTCACCCTCCCAAGTAGCTGGGATTCCAGGCGCCTGCCACCACGCCCAGGTAATTTTTTTGTATTTTTAGTAGAGATGGAGTTTCACCATGTTGGCCAGGCTGGTCTCGAACTCCTGACCTTGTGATCCACCCGCCTCAGCCTCCCAAAATGCTGGGATTATAGGCATGAGCCACCGCGCCTGGCCTTTTTTAAAAAAAATACATATATTGGCCAGGCATGGTGCCTCACGCCTGTAATCCCAGCACTTTGGGAGGCCGAGGCAGGTGGATCACGAGGTCAGGAGTTCGAGACCAGTCTGACCAACATGGTGAAACTCCGTCTCTATTAAAAATACAAAAAATAGTTGGGCATGGTGGTGCGCACCTGTGGTCCCAGCTACTCAGGAGGCTGAGGCAGAAGAATCGCTTGAACCCAGGAGGCGGAGGTTGCAGTGAGCCGAGATTGTGCCACTGCACTCCAACCTGGGCGACAGAGTGAGACTCTGTCTCAAAAAAAAGAAAAAAGAAATTTAAAAAAAAGAGTAAAGAAAAAGGCCACTTCTCTAATATGCAGGGAATAAACTATGAGTGAATAAACTATGAGCAAGACTCCGTATCCAAAAATATATATATTTTTATTTATATATTTACATATATATATTTACATATATATTTACATATATATATTTACATATATATATTTACATATATATATTTACATATATATATTTACATATATATATTTACATATATATATTTACATATATATATTTACATATATATTTACATATATATTTATATATATATTTATATATATTTACATATATTTATATATATACATATATATTTACATATATATTTATATATTTACATATATATTTATATATATATTTACATATATATTTATATATATACATATATATTTATATATACATACATATATTTATATATATACACATATATTTATATATATACACATATATTTATATATATACACATATTTATATATATACACATATATATTTATATATATACACATATATATTTATATATATACACATATATATTTATATATATACACATATATATTTATATATATACACATATATATTTATATATATATTTACATATATATTTATATATATACATATATATTTACATATATATTTATATATATACATATATATATTTACATATATATGTATATATATATTTATATATATATTTACATATATATTTACATATATATTTACATATATTTACATATATATTTATATATATATACATATATATATTTTTATATATATTTACATATATATTTTTATATATATTTACATATATTTTTATATATACATGTACATATATATATTTTTATATATATGTACATATATATTTTATATATGTACATATATATGTACATATATATTTTATATGTACATATATATGTACATATATATTTATATATGTACATATATATGTACATATATATTTATATATGTACATATATATGTACATATATATTTATATATATTTATACATATATATTTATATATACATTTATATATATTTATGTATACATTTATATAAATATATATAAATGTATATATAAATATATATATATTTTTTGGGTACGGAGTCTTGCTCATATATATATATAAAAATGTATATATAAATATATATATATATATGCACACACACATACATATATTGGCTGGGCACTGCAACCTGCAACCTCTGCCTGCCAGGTTGAAGCAATTCTGCCTCAGCCTCACAAGTAGCTGGGATTACAGGCGTGTGCCACCATGCCCAGCTAATTTTTTGTAGTTTTAGTGGAGACGAGGTTTCACCATTCTGGCCAGGCTGGTCTCGAACTCCTGACCTCATGATCCGCCCACTTCAGCCTCCCAAAGTGCTGAGATTACAGGCATGAGCCACTACGCCCAGCGCCCACCCACCCCACTTTTTCTTTTTTTTTTTTTTGTAGAGACGGGGTCTCCCTATGTTGCCCAGGCTAGTCTCAAATTTCTGGCTCAAGCAATCCTCCCACTTTAGCTTCCTGAAATGCTGGGATTTCAGGTGTGAACCATCACGCCCAGCCCCCAATACCTTTCACATCCATTCTCCGTGCAGCAGCCAGATCAGTCTTTAAAATGTGCCTCGAAGCTGGGTGCGGTGGCTCATGCCTGTAATCCCAGCACTTTGGGAGGCCAAGGCGGGCGGATCACAAGGTCAGGAGTTTGAGACCATCCTGGCTAACACGGTGAAACCCCATCTCTACTAAAATACAAAAAAAATTAGCCGGGCGTAGGTGGTGCACGCCTGTAGTCCCAGCTACTCGGGAGGCTGAGACAGGAGAATGGCGTAAAACCCGGGAGGTGGAGCTTGCAGTGAGCCAAGATCGCACCACTGCACTCCAGACTGGGAGACAGAGTGAGACTAGGTCTCAAAAAAAAAAAAAAAAAAAAAAAAAAAGTGCATCATCTCAGAACTTTGTGAGGCCAAGGTAGGAAGATAGCTTGAGCCCAGGAGTTTCAAGACTAGCCTGGGCAATGTAGTGAGACTCCATCTCTACAAAAAATTTGAAAAATTAGCAGGGCATGGTGGCAAGCACCTGTAGTTCCAGCTCTGTGGGAGGCTGGGGTGGGAGGATCACTTGATCACTTGAGCCCAGGAGGTCGAGGCTGCAATGAGCCGTGATCACACCACTGCATTTCAGCATGGGTGACAGAGCAAGACCCTGTCTTAACAAAAATAATAATATAAATAAAATATTGACCATAAATGAACCCTCCCTAAATGACTCCTCACTGCACTTGGAATAAAATCCAAATTCCTACTTTAAATGGGCGATTTGTATCTCAATCATGGTAGGTGAATTATATCTCAATAAAGCTGTTATTAAAAAAATAATAAGGCCAAGTATGGTGGCTCATGCCTGTATGTAATCCCAGCACTTTAGGAGGCCGAGGAGGGTGGATTGCTTGAGCCCAAGAGTTTGAGACCAGCCTGGGCAACATGGCAAGAACCCGTCTCTACAAGAAATAGAAAAATTAGCTGGGCATGGTAGTGCACCCCTGGAGTCCCAACTACTTGGAAGGCTGAGGCAGGAGGATCAATTCAGCCTGGGAGTTCAAGGTTGCATTGAGCTGTGCTCAAGCCACTGCACTTTTGCCTGGGTAACAGAACGAGACCCTGTCTCAAAATAATAACGACAATAATAATAAAATTCTCCGTGTGTCCCACAAGGCCTGCATAATCTGGCCAGCTCTTTGAACCCATGTAGTTCATTTTCCTCACTCCCCTGGCTGCACTAGCCCTTCATTTTTGTTTTTGTTTTGAGACAGAGTCTCGTTCTGTCGCCCAGGCTGGAGTGCAGTGGCACAATCTCGGCTCACTGCAACCTCCATCTCCTGGGTTCAAGCGATTCTCCTGCCTCAGCCTCCTGAGTAGCTAGGATTACAGATGACCACTACCACACCCTGCTAATTTTTGTATTTTTAGTAGACAGGGTATCACCATGTTGGCCAGGCTGGTCTCGAACTCCTGACTTCGGGTGATCTGCCCACCTTGGCCTCTGAAGGTGCTGGGTGCCTTACAAGTGTGAGACACCATGCCTTTCCCACACTGGCCCCCCACTTTCGTTTTGCAAACATTCCATGATTGTTTCTTTTTTTAATTGTTGAGACAGAATCTCACTCTATCACCCAGGCTGGAGTGCAATGGTGTGATCTCGGCTCATTGCAACCTCCACCTCCTGGGTTCAAGCAATACTCATGCCTCAGCTTCCCAAGTAGCTGGGATTACAGGCAAGTGCCACCACACCCGACTAATTTTTTATTTTTAGTAAAGACGAGGGGTTTCACCATGTTGGCCAGGCTGGCCTCAAACTCCTGGCCTCGAGTGATCTGCCCGTCTCTGCCTCCCAAATTGCTGGGAGTACAGGCATGAGCCACCGCGCCCGGCCCCCATGATTGTTTCTACCTTGATTTTCTTCATAGCATCTAAATGCCCAAAATTATCTTACTATTTTGCTTGTTTTCTTCCCATCTCACCAGCTCGTGGCACTAAGAACTTATTTATTTATTTATTTATTTTTTTTTTGAGACAGAGTCTTGTTCTGTCGCCCGGGCTGGAGTGCAGTGGAGCGATCTCCGCTCACTGCAAGCTCCGTCTCCTGGGTTCATGCCATTCTCCTGCCTCCGCCTCCGGAGTAGCTGGGACTACAGGCGCCCGCCAGCACGCCCGGCTAATTTTTTTTTTTTTTTTTTTTTTGGATTTTTAGTAGAGATGGGGTTTCACTGTGTTGGCCAGGATGGTCTCGATCTCCTGACCTCGTGATCCGCCGACCTCGTGATCCGCCTGCCTCGGCCTCCCAAAGTGCTGGGATTACAGGTGTGAGCCACCGCGCCCAGCCTTTTTTACTCTTAAGAACAATGCCGGCCAGGCGTGGTGGCTCACACTTGTAATCCCAGCACTTTGGGACACCGAGGTGGATGAATCACGAGGTCAGGAGTTAAAGACCAGCCTGGCCAACCCCATCTGTACTAAAAATACAAAAAAAAAAAAAATAGCTGTGGGGTGGTGGTGGGTGCCTGTAATCCCAGCTACTAGGGAGGCTGAGGCAGGAGAATCACTTGAATCCGGAGGTGGACATTGCAGTGAGCCCAGATCACGCCACTGCACTCCAGCCCAGGGGACCGTGCAAGACTCCATCTCAAAAAAAAAAAAAAAAACCACACACACACAAAAAAGTGCCTAATACTTAAGTGAATCAGTATTTGTTGGAGGATTTATTGAATCATTTCAATTGAGCATTTGCATTGGGCTTAGTAAGTTTCCTGAGGTTTTCAATGGAAAGCAAATTTTATATTCACATTCATTTTTATAAATAAAGATGGGTCACTGTACCTTCTTGGCCCTCAGCTTCATTATCTACAAATTGGGGGTGGAGGTTAAATCATATGATGATCTCTAAGATTTCTTGTAGCTCTAAAACTTCTAAGAGGAGGATGGGGTCTGGTGCAATGGAAATGAGTACTGGGCTAGCCAGGAACTTAGTGGCACATTAAGGACTAGGTCCCAGCGCACTGTCCTTGGTGCCACTCTATAAATCCTTCCTCAGAGGAAGCTCAAGGGCATCCTTCACTCTTCACTCTTCCCACCAGCCAACTTGGCAGGACCTCCTGGGAAGTCTCTCTGGTTAAACCCCTTGGCACCAACCCCATTACATCGCCATAGCCAGGCCAGCATCAGCCCTCTTGTGGACCACTGCACCAACTTCTGCTCTGCCTCCTGCCTCCCCAAGTCCCTGCATGCCAACCCTGAGTGTGCTTCCAAACCCAGGGCTCCCGTCATACCCATGTCACTCTGATGTGATGGGAGACATCACAACTGGAAGCACTTGGTGAATGTCATACAAAAGCTACTAAGTAAAAGGTACTTGAGGCCAGCCCCAGTGGCTCACACCTGTAATCCCATCACTTTGGGAGGCCGAGGTGGGAGGATCACTTGAGGTCAGGAGTTCGAGACCAGCCTGGCCAACGTGGTGGAACCTCATCTGTACTAAAAATACAAAAATTAGCTGGACGCGGTGATGCACACCTGTAATCCCAGCTACTTGGGAGGCTAAGGCAGGAGGATTGCTTGAACCCGGGAGATGGAGGTTGCAGTGAACCGAGATTGCATCACTGCACTCCAGTCTGGGCAACAGAGTGACTCTGTCTCAAAAAAAAAAAAAAAGATAGTTGAGAGGTGGCCTAGGTGGACCAGCCATGCATGGCTTCCCAGAGGAGGCTACACTGTCCCCCATCAGGTTCAGCAGTTCACAAGAATGGCTCATAATGGGGAGTGGGGGCGGGGGGGTGAAAGGGCAAAAAATAATATAAATGTATTTATTACCACTGAACTGTACACTTAAAAATAGTAAAGATGTAAATTATACATGTATATTTTACTTAAATAAAAACAATGACTCATAGAATGCAGGAAAGCACTACACTTGGGATTACAGCTTTACAAAGAATACAAAGCAGGGCCAGCCAATGAAGAGACACACAGGGAGAGCTGGGACAGCAGGCCACCAAGCTCCTGTGCCCTCTCCCCTGTGGAAGCAGGGCACGTCACCTCCCAGCACATCAATGCATTTGCTGACCAGAACACCCACTGAGTTTCAGTGTCCGGAGTTCTTTTTTTTTTTTTTTTGAGACGGAGTCTCGCTCTGTTGCCCAGGCTGGAGTGCAGTGGCGCAATCTCGGCTCACTGCAAGCTCCGCCTCCTGGGTTCACGCCATTCTCCTGCCTCAGACTCCCGAGTAGCTGGGACTACAGGCGCCCACCACCACACCTGGCGAATTTTTGGTATTTTTAGTAGAGAGGGGGTTTCACTGTGTTAGCCAGGATGGTCTCGATCTCCTGACCTCGTGATCCGCCCACCTCAGCCTCCCAAAGTGCTGGGATTACAGGCGTGAGCCACCGCGCCCGGCCAGAGTTCTTATTAGTACATCACTGGCCATGTGATTGGTCTTACCCTTCAGGCCCCCTCCCCTCCCTGGGGGTTGGGCTGGCTCAAAATCCCAACCCTCTAATCACAAGGTTGGTCTTTCTGGTGACCAGGCCCTATCCTGAAGCTACTGAGGGCCTGCCATGAGTCACCTCATTAGCAAAAACTCAGGTGTTGGCTGGGCACAGTGGCTCACGCCTGTAATCCCAGCATTTTGGGAGGCAGGGGTAGGTGGCTCACCTGAGGTCAGGAGTTCGAGAGCAGCCTGGCCAACGTGGTGAAACCCTGTCTCTACTAAAAATACAAAGATTAGCTGGGTGTGGTGGCCCATGCCTGCAATCCCAGCTACTTGGGAAGTTGAGGTGGGAGAATGGCGTGAACCCGGGAGGAGGTGGAGGTTGCAGTAAGCCAAGATCGCGCCACTGCACTCCAGCCTGGGAGACAGTGAGACTCTGTCTCAAACAAAAAAACTCAGGTGTTACATAAGGAACTTCTGAGTAACAGACATTTCTATGACTCAGGAAATTCCAAGTGTTTTGGAAGCTCTATGCCAGGAACCTGGGACAAAGACCAGCCAAATTCTTTTCAAAATTTTATTTATTTGGCTGGGCATAGTGGCTCACACTTGTAATCCCAGCACTCTGGGAGGCCAAGTCGGGCAGATCACTTGAGGCTGGGAGTTCGGGACCAGCTTTGCTAACATGGTGAATCCCCATCTCTGCTAAAAATACAAAAATTAGCCAGGCCTGGTGGCGCACGCCTGTAATCTCAGCTATTCGGGAGGCTGAGGCATGAGAATCACTTGAATCCAGGAGGCAGAGTTTGCAGCTGGTGAGCTGAGATCATACCACTGCACTCCAGCCTGGGTGACACAGCAAGACTGTTTCTCAAAAAAAAAAAAAAAAAATCATTTATTTGGTTTTTTTTAGAGACAGGATCTTGCTGTGCATGATCTTGGCTCACTGCAACCTCTGCCTCCCTGGTTCAAGCCGTTCTCATGCCTTAGCCTCCCGAGTAGCTGGGATTACAGGCATGGACCACCCAACCTGGCTAATTTTTTTGTATTTGTTGTAGAGATGGGGTTTCACCATGTTGCCCAGGCTGGTCTTGAACTCCCAGCCTCGGGTGATTCGCCTGCCTCAGCCTCCTAATGTGTTGGGATTACAGGTGTGAGCCACCATGCCCAGCCTATTTATTTAAGTTTTATTTTAGGTTTGGGGATACATGTGAAGGTTTATCACATAGATAGACACCTGTCATGGGGGTTTGTTATACATGTCATCACTCAGGTATTAAGCCCAGTACCCAACAGATAAATTCCTTATTAAATGACAAAAGATCACTGGGCGATGAAAGCTGAGCTCATCAGACACCCCTGTTTTATTTGCTGTAGCTATTGGGAAAGCTATACTCTTTTTCTGCCAGGGTTGTTTAAGCTGGTAGAATGAGGCTTGGCTATTTTGCTACTTACGAGATGACAACCTCCCTGAGAATGAAGACAGTCCAGGGAGCCAGGCGTGGGTCATGCCTGTGGTCTCAGCTACTGGGGAGGCTGAGGTGAGAGGACTGCCTCAGCCCAGGAGTTCGAAGCTGCAGTAAGCTATGATTGTACCACTGCACTCCAGCCCAGGTGACAGAGCAAGACCCTGTATCAGGAAAAAAAAAAAGAGAGAGAGAAAAAGAAAGAAAGTCCAGGGAAAAGCAGAACTAAAAGAGACTGAGACCAAGTTCAAATCAACATTGTTTGAGCCTCTGGCTCCAGCCATGCCTGAAGTCATCCTATCTCTGATTTTTCAATTATTTAAACCAATAGACCCCCCCCCCCCGGCTGTTTTCATGTTTAAGTTAGCTGGAATTAGGGTTTCTAGTAGTTATAGCGGAAAGCATCCCGAGTTTTACATCCCTGCTTATGAGGAAGAAGGGTTTCTCCCCTTCATATTAATGCCTTGGCTTAACCTGGGCCCTGGATAACGTCCCCACCAACCTTCTCCGCAACCTTGCTCCTTCAGCGACCATCCTCTCTACTGATTCCTTTCCCCTTAATGTTTCCAACAAAATCAGATCTTCCTCAAGATAGAAACAAACAAGCAAACCTTTCTACCTTCTCACACTTACAACCTGCCTTATCTCTGTCCTCCCCTTTTCAGCCAAACTGTGTAGAACATCTCTCCACATTTTTCCTCCCACTTCTTGAATTTTTTTTTTTTTTTTTTTTACGATGGAGTCTTGCTCTGTCACCCAGGCTGGAATGCAGTGGCACGATCTTGGCTCACTGCGACCTCCACCTCCCAGGTTCAAGCGATTCTCCTGCCTCAGCCTCCCAAGTAGCTGGGATTACAGGTGCGTGCCACCACGCCTGGCTAATTTTAGTAGAGACAGGGTTTTGCCATGTTGGCCAGGCGGGTCTCAAACTCCTGACCTCAGGTGATCCGCCTGCCTTGGCCTCCCAAAGTGCTGGAATTACAGGCGGGAGCCACCGTGCCCAGCCTCCTCCCACTTCTTTACCTTCCACTCATTCCTCAAACCACTACCATTTGGCCTCTGCTGAAACTACTCTCACCAAGTCACGCAGCAGTCTCTTAGTTATCAATGCCTTCTAGAGACCATGGCAGCACACCCTGTGATCCCCCACGGATCCCTTTATATCATTTGTGTTTGTGTTTGCCCATTTCCCCCCGACACACACACATCTTATACTCACTCCCACACTCCCTGGTCTCTGGTATGTGATTTCTGTTCCAACAGTTAGGACTCCAGATTTGTTTTTTTTTTAATTTCTTGAGATGGAGTCTCGCTCTGTTGCCCAGTCTGGAGTGCAGTGGCATGATCTTGGCTCACTGCAACCTCCACCTCCCAGGTTCAAGCGATTCTCGTGCCTCAGCCTCCCAAGCAGCTGGGATTACAGGCACGCGCCACCACACGTGGCTAATTTTTTATATTTTTGGTAGAGATGAGGTTTCGCCATGTTGGCTAGGCTGGTCTCAAACTCCTGACCTCAAGTGATCTGCCCACCATAGCCTCCCAAAGTGCTGGGATTGATAACAGTGGGATTGATTACAGGACTGAGCCACCATGCCCAGCACTTTTTTGTTTTTTGAGATGGAGTCTCGCTCTGTTGCCCAGGCTGGAGTGCCGTGGGACGATTTTGGCTCACCACAGCCTCCGCCTCCCAGATTCAAGTGATTCTCCTGCCTCAGCCTCCTGAGTAGCTGAGATTACAGGTATGTGCCACCATGTCCAGCTAATTTTTGTATTTTTAGTAGAGGTGGGGTTTCACTATGTTGGCCAGGATGGTCTTGAACTCCTGAACTCATGATGCGCCCGCCTCAGCCTCCCAGTGTTGGGATTACAGGCGTGAGCCACTGCGCCCGGCCATCTTAGAACATTTTTTTTTTTGAGACGGAGTCTCGCTCTGTCGCCCAGGCTGGAGTGCAGTGGTGCGATCTCGGCTCACTGCAAGCTCTGCCTCCCAGGTTCACGCCATTCTCCTGCCTCAGCCTCCCCAGTAGCTGGGACTACAGGCACCCGCCACCACGCCTGGCTAATTTTTTTTGTATTTTTAGCAGAGATGGGGTTTCACCGTGTTAGCCAGGATGGTCTTGATCTCCTGACCTCATGATCCGCCTGTCTCGGCCTCCCAAAGTGCTGGGATTACAGGCGTGAGCCACTGTGCCCGGCCTTGAACATTCTTAGGTGAGTCAGGATTTATCCGTCTTCCCCTCTTGGGTTATTTATTTGTCTTCGAGTTCCAGGATGGGCACTTGATCCAATCAGCTACTCAGTTCTGGAAATTTCATTGGGAATCTCAGAAAAGAGGCATGCTCCTTCTAGGAGAGTTGCTAAGCTATTAGGGTTTAAGCTTGGAGCTACAAGAAGCTATTTTGCCACTAAGAGAGGAGAGCCTGCCTGAGGGTGAAGCCAAATGCATAGGGAAGGCAGAACCAGAGATGGTGAGCCACAGGTTCCTGATATCTTCTGGCCCCTGTGTTCACCTGTCTGAATCTGTCCGCTCTGGACTTTTCGATTACTTGGGCCATAGCTTCCTTTACTGTTTAGGCCAGCTGGAGCCGGGTCAATCAGACACTGGATGGGTGGAGGATCTCACTGTGCTCATGCTTTCAACTACCCTCCGTACTTTAATTGTTCTCGATTTCTCTAACTGGCCTTGATGTCTCTTCTTAGCTCCAGACTATATGCCCACAGACGTCCCAAAAGCACGTCTGGAATTGACCTCATTATTATTATTGTTATTATTTTTGAGATGGAGTCTCGCTCTTTTGCCCAGGCTGGATTGCAGTGGCGCAGTCTTGGCTCACTGCAACTTCCGACTCTGGGGTTCAAGTGATTCTTCTGCCTCAGCCTCCTCTCAAGTAGCTGGGAGTACAGGCGCCTGCCACCAAGCCCGGCTAAAATTTTTGTATTTTTATTGCAGATGGGGTTTCACCATGTTGGTCAGGCTGGTCTCAAACTCCTGACCTCAAGTGATCCGCCCGCCTCGGCCTCCCAAAGTGCTGGGATTACAGGCGTGAGCCACTGCGTCCGGCCTTGACCTCAATTCTTTTTTTTTTTTTTTTTTTTTGATAGGGAGTCTAGCTCTGTTGCCCGCGCTGGAGTGCCGTGGCGCCATCTCGGCTCACCGCAACCTCTGCCTCCCGGGTTCAAGCTGTTCTCCTGCCTCGGTCTCCCAAGGGGCTGGGATTACAGGCGCCTGCCACCACGCCCGGCTAAATTTTTTGTATTTTTAGTACAGACGGGGTTTCACCATGTTGGTCAGGCTGGTCTCAAACTCCTGACCTCAAGCCATCCGCCCGCCTCGGCCTCCCAAAGGGCTGGGATTACAGGCGTGAGCCAGCGCTCCCGGCCCTGACCTCATTTTTTTTTTTTCTATTTTTAAAATAGGGATTCTAGTTCTGTTGCCTGGGCTGGAGTGCCGTGGCGCCATCTCGGCTCACCGCAATCTCTGCCTTCCGGATTCAAGCTATTCTCTTGCCTCTGCCTCCGGAGGGACTGGGACTACAGGCGCGCGCCACCATGCCCGGCTAATTTTTGTATTTTTAGTAGAGACGGGGTTTCACCATGTTGGCCAGGCTGGTCTCGAACTCCTGACCTCAGGTGATCCACCTGCCTCGGCCTTCCGAAGTGCTGGGATTACAGGCATGAGCCACTGCGCCCGGCCCTGACCTCATTATTTCTACCCACCCCCTCCCCCACCACTACCACCATCTTCATCTCCAGCCTCAGAGATGCAAACTCCTGGACCGCCTGCCCCTTTCCTCAGATAAACCAAGGTCGTAAGTTCAGGCTCCGCCTCCCCGCAGGGCCTCCCCAAGGTCACCCGCTTCTTTCCTCGCTCAGCTCCTTGGTGGCGTTGTCCGCGTGCCCCTCCACAGCGGGGCCGGCGCTCTAGGCTGCAGCGGGCCGTTCACACAGCCTCATCATCTCGCTGGTTTCCGGTGCTCGGCGGCTACTCTAGCCCTCAGCCGGGCCCTGGGACTCTATCCCCTAAGGCCGGTTCTCTATGGTCGACATCGCCCCTTTGTCCCGAATTTCCTCCGGGAGGACGCTCTGGTGGGATCCAAGCACTTCCCCCGCTGCGTCTGTGGTCGCTTTTAGGTGCAACTGGAGAAGGCACTGAAGCCCTACGAGATTCACACCGTCTTCGGTCTCCTGGGGTCGGCGCCGAGTGGGAGGATGGCGGAAGTAAGTATGAAGGTGCCCTTCCCTCCCGCCGCTGTTCTCTATGGTCTCTTCCTTCAGCGACGGGAAAGGGGGTCCTGACGCCTGCGCGGAACCGGGCTGGGCGCTCGTCGCGTAGTGGGTGGGGGCGCAGGGAGCGGGAGCCGCCGCCGCCGCCGCCGCCGCCGGAGCTAACCTCGGGGACCGAGATGCAGGTGGGACCGGAACCGGAACCCCCCTCTTCAAGTACCTTTTCCCTCTCCGCGACCCGGCCCTGGCGCCCGAGAGGATTCCTGGGTGGGGGTGGGCGTGGAGGGCCGGGGGCTGGAGAGGCACTCGGCCCCGGAGAGTGCAGCAGACAGGGCTGGTCCCGAGGTGGATGCGGCCCCGGAAAATGGGCGGCTGGGGGGTGTCCAGGGAGTAGGGTCGGATCGGAGTATATGGACCACCGGGCCCGGAGGGTCCGAGCCGAGAGCGGAGCCTGCACCCTCCACCTCCCGCCCTTCGGGAAATATCAGAACTGAGCCAGGAGGCAGGTGCACCGGGAAAATGTGTCTGAGTCCTGCTTGGCAGAAGAGAAACTGAGTCACCAGCTTAGGAGTCGCAGGGTCAGCGGGCCTGAAGGGGGCTGGGTCTGTCTGCGGTGCGGAGGATTGGGTGGGCCTGTGTGAGCCGAGGTGGCCGCTGGCTGGAGATTGGTTTGCACTTCTTGGCTGGGTTCCCCCGTGCTCCATGACTCCTGCATCTCCTGATTGTTTCTCGTTGGTTTGGAGTTGTCCCTGCGGTTGGAGCCATCTGAGCTTGTAGGGTCGAGGCCCAGGAGGAAGGGGAGGGTTCACCGACTTACAGCCTGGCTGTAGGTTTGAACAGGAGTCTGAGGTCGCTGAGGGTTTGGGGAGGCTTTCCTGAGCTGCTCTGGCCCCAGTCCTGGGGCTGTCACCTTCCAGTATTGCGTGGCGGGAGGAGCGCTAACAAGAGCCAAGGGTTGTAAATTCCACACCCAGCTCTGCCACTTTCTAGTTGTAAGACCTTGAGAGGGCTCCTCCTTTCTCTAATTTCTATTTTAGAAAATTGGAACAATAATATTCTTCTCCCACATGAAGATAGTAACAATGGCAGTCGTTCAGCGGATGCTTACTTTGCGTTCAGCGCTGACATACCCCATTCCATGTAATTCTCTCAACATTTCGAGGGGAGGGATCATTAGCTTTGTTTAACAGATAGAAAAACGGAGGCTCAGAGAGGACGTGGAATTTGTTCAAGATAACATCGCTCATAAGGTGGCTGGACTGGGTGCTCATAAGGTGGTTTGAGCCCTGGTCTGACTCAAGTCCATGGCCTTAACCAGAAGGCTAACCTGCCTTTAGGGCATACTCCCCAGTGGGAGAAGAGGAAGGTGAAAAATCCTAGGGCCCCAGCTCTCCCTGTGATGTTTTGTTTACGTGAGGCCAGCAAAGACTTGACCTGAGCCAACCCAGTTTCTCCTCTGGGGCCCCTGCGGCCTCTGGCCCCAGACTGAAGGGATACCAAAGAAGTGGGCTGTAGCTATTTCACATCTCCTTCACGCAGTGCGTGGGTGCTGGACTCTGGGGTCAGCTTTCAAGACAATTACTGTTTTGGTCCATCATGCATCCATCCTCATTAATGAATCGGCCCCCTCCAAAGAGTTGGACCCTAAGATGCGTGAGGCAGGCTCTCTAAGGTCTAGAATCCCAGCTCCTCTCTAGCCCCCTGCGAGCTGGGGCGGTGAGGTGCTATGGCTGAGGCTGGCCCAGCCGGGCCCTGGGGACAGGGACTATGAAGTGGGGAAAACAGTAGACTTGGAGTTCTGAAACTTTTCTGAGCTTCGGTTTCCTCATCTGTTCGAGAGGTCTTTGAAACCTCTCAGGGAAAGGTAAGATAACCAAGTGGGAGCCTCTAGAATGGCTCATGGGAAGTGTGACATGAATATTGGAGGATCCGATGTAGAGGGGGGGTGATCTGGAAAAGTTCCCTTTTTTAGGGGGAAGGTGCTCCAAAGCCCTCTACTGCTGGATCCAAAGCTAAGGAAAGTGGGGGCAAATGTGGCAGGCTCGGGGCAGGTTAGACGCTGGGGAGCCAGTTGGCTGGGGCCTGCAGGGTGCCAGGATCTGGGAGAGGGAAGGGAGGTGTTGGGCTCCCTTCCCCATTGCTCTCTGCGGAGTCTGAAGTAGGGTCGGACGTCTCTGGCTGGGGGTGGGATGCAGCCTCCGGTGCGCCCTCAGCAGTGACCCTCGTGTGTGCCTCTCTCTTCCTTTCGCAGCTGCTGCCGCCCACCCCTCGTCTTCTGGCTGCCTCCCTCTTTGTGCCCCACAGGCTCCCCCTCTCCACCTCCTGGGGCCCATCATGAATGGTGCCCCTTCCCCAGAGGACGGGGCCTCCCCCTCGTCTCCCCCGCTGCCCCCACCCCCGCCCCCTAGTTGGCGGGAGTTCTGTGAGTCCCACGCCCGGGCTGCGGCTCTGGACTTTGCCCGCCGTTTTCGCCTCTACCTGGCCTCCCACCCCCAATATGCGGGGCCCGGGGCCGAGGCTGCCTTCTCCCGCCGTTTTGCTGAGCTCTTCCTGCAGCACTTTGAAGCCGAGGTGGCCCGGGCCTCTGGCTCCCTGTCGCCACCCATCCTGGCTCCCCTGAGCCCTGGTGCGGAGATTTCGCCACATGACCTGTCCCTTGAGAGCTGCAGGGTGGGTGGGCCCCTGGCTGTGCTGGGCCCTTCTCGATCATCTGAGGACCTGGCCGGCCCCCTCCCTTCCTCAGTCTCTTCCTCCTCTACAACCTCCTCCAAGCCGAAGCTCAAGAAGCGCTTTTCCCTGCGTTCAGTGGGTCGCTCTGTCCGAGGCTCAGTCCGTGGCATCCTGCAGTGGCGGGGGACCGTTGACCCTCCCTCCTCCGCTGGGCCCCTGGAGACCTCGTCAGGCCCCCCAGTCTTAGGTGGAAACAGCAACTCCAACTCCTCTGGCGGGGCTGGGACCGTTGGTAGGGGACTGGTCAGTGATGGAACGTCCCCTGGGGAAAGATGGACTCACCGTTTTGAGAGGCTGAGACTCAGTCGGGGAGGGGGCGCCTTGAAGGATGGAGCAGGGATGGTGCAGAGGGAAGAGCTGCTGAGTTTCATGGGGGCTGAGGAGGCAGCCCCTGACCCAGCCGGAGTGGGCCGGGGAGGAGGGGTGGCTGGGCCTCCTTCAGGGGGAGGAGGGCAGCCTCAGTGGCAGAAGTGTCGCCTGCTGCTTCGAAGTGAAGGAGAAGGAGGAGGAGGAAGTCGCCTGGAGTTCTTTGTACCACCCAAGGTGAGGCCCCTTGGAGGGTGGGTGACTGAGAGCAAGTGAGAGAGTGCTCAGAGTGGTCACAGCCCTGCAGATAAGCTCTGGGGTTTACCAGCCCATGGCCCTGGTGTCGCTCACTTTTTGTTGGTAAAGCTGGCTCTTGGCTCTGTGTTAGCAGCTGCGGGCAGGACTGAGAAAGCAGTGTGACTGCCTTTTGTCTAACTTCCCGAGGATGTAGAAGGAAAGATGAATGTCTGGAGGGAGGGGAAGAGTGGTCTTTGGAAACCAAACACCCAGATCTGTTTCTTTCTCCTGACTTAGGCCTCTCGGCCCCGACTCAGCATCCCCTGCTCTTCTATCACAGACGTCCGGACAACCACAGCCCTGGAGATGCCTGACCGGGAGAACACGTTTGTGGTTAAGGTAGGAATTCAACTTCCCAGCCGCCGGCAGTGCTTGTGTTAAGGAGAAAGCCCTCAGCGCATTTAAGCAAGTGGCGTCGCCGAAAGGAGGTATATATATGTGTCCAGTGCCTTGAGAGTGTGTCCCTGGGGCTGCAGCTTTTCTGGGATAGCGGAAGACAGGGAAATGTTCTTACTCTCAAAAACAATGCCTCCACTTGAAAGAGAACTGTGGAGTTTTTGTTGTTGTGGTTGTTTTAGAGAGACAGGGTCTCCCTCTAAGTCAGGAGTGCAGCAACCTGATCATAGCTCACTGTAGCCTCGTGTAGCCTCGAACTCCTGGGCTCAAGTGATCGTCCTGCCTCAGCCCTCTAAGGAGCTGGGACTACAGGCATGTGACACCATGCCTGGCTAATTTTGTTACTTACTTACATTTGAGATAGAGCCTTGCTCTGCCGCACAGGCTGGAGTGCAGCGGCGCGATCTTGGCTCACTGCAACCTCTGCCTCCCAGGTTCAAGCGATTCTTGTGCCTCAGCCTCCTGAGTAGTTGGGATTACAGGCATGCACCACTATGCCCAGCTAATTTTTTGTATGTTTAGCAGAAATGGGTTTTGCCATGTTCGGCAGGCTGGTCTCAAACTGGCCTCAAGTGATCCACCCCACTTGGCCTCCCAAAGTGTTGGGATCACAGGCGTGAGCCACTGTGCCTGGCCTTATTTTATTTTATTATTTATTTATTTTTTTTGAGACAGAGTCTCGCTCTGTCGCCCAGGCTGGAGTGCAGTGGCGCGATCTCGACTCACTGCAAGCTCCACCTCCCGGGTTCATGCCATTTTCCTGCCTCAGCCTCCCGAGTAGCTGGGACTACTGGCGTCCGCCACCACGCCCGGATAATTTTTTTGTATTTTTAGTAGAGACGGGGTTTCACCAAGTTAGCTAGGATGGTCTCGATCTCCTGACCTCGTGATTTGCCCGCCTCAGCCTCCCAAAGTGCTGGGATTATAGGCGTGAGCCACTGCGCCTGGCCTATTTTATTTTATTTTATTTTTATTTTTTATATTTTTGAGACGGCATTTTACTCTGTCTCCCAGGCTGGAGTTGAAGTGGCATGATCTTGGCTCACTGCAACCTCCGCCTCCCGGGTTCAAGCGATTCTCCTGTCTCAGCCTCTCGAGTAGCTGGGACTACAGGCGCCTGCCACCACGCCTGGCTAATTTTTGTTTTTAGTAGAGACAGGGTTTCACCACATTGGTCATGTTGGTCTCGAACTCTTGACCTTGTGATCCACCCTCCTTGGCCTCTCAAAGTGCTGGGATTACAGGTGTGAGCCATCGTACCCGGCCTCGCCTTATTTTATTTTTCAATTTTTTTAGAGACAGGTTCTCACTATGTTGCCCAGACTGGTCCAACTCCTGGGCTCAAGTGATCCTCCAGAGGTGCTGGGATTACAGGTGTGAGCCTCTGTACCCGGCCTCCAGAGAGAATTCGAATGCATCTTGTTTGTAGACAGCCTGCATACATTGTTCTCATTAGGCATGGATTAAGCCTCCTCCCTGCCCCTGCCCCAGCTGAGGCGTCGTCTCATCTCTGTAGGTGGAAGGTCCATCCGAGTATATCATGGAGACAGTGGATGCCCAGCATGTGAAGGCCTGGGTGTCTGACATCCAAGAATGCCTGAGCCCAGGGTGAGAAGCCTGACTTCTGTCGCTAAGGGACATAGAGTGGGGTTGGGGAGCAGCCTTGCGCCTCTCACCTGGTGACTTTCCTCCCAGCACCATCTTCCCTGTCTCTGCAGACCCTGCCCTGCTACCAGTCCCCGCCCCATGACCCTCCCTCTGGCCCCTGGGACCTCATTCCTTACAAGGGAGAACACAGACAGCCTGGAGCTGTCCTGCCTGAATCACTCGGAGAGTCTACCCAGCCAGGACCTGCTGCTTGGACCCAGCGAGAGCAATGACCGCCTGTCGCAGGGTAAGGGTGGAGCCTTAGAGAGCTCGGAGCCTCGGAACCTGCCATGCGGGGCCCCTGCTGTCAGGCGCCATGCCCTCTCCAGACGCCACTGTGCCCCCATCCCTGTTTTCCAGATGCCCTACCCCAACCCCACCAAATGTTGGTCTTTGATCCCTGAACACAGCCACAGTTTGCTGTTTAGAATAATCATGACCCCACGCAGGCCCCAAGCAAACCTTAGCCAGGCTTCTGCACCCAGCCTCGCCACTTTTTCAGTCAGCGTCCTGCCAGCCACCGCTCTGGCTGGAAATAATGGTGGTTTTCTCCAAGCTTCTGGAACACTTTGTAGAAATCTTTGTTTTGTTCTTACTCTGCATCTCTGTGTCTGTCAGGGGCAATCACGTTTTCTCTTGACTCTGTACTTTTTGGTCTGACCAAACACACATACCCGACCCACACACACAAACACACAAAGATGTGTCACCCAGTCCCAACTCATATTTCTAGATTCGGCCTCCACTATAGCCTTTTCTCCTGACCCTCTGTTCTGAGTTCCAGCTGCACAGTGCCTAGCACACAGGCTGTATTCAGTGAATGAACACATGAATCATGGAATCTTAGATCTAGAGTGGACCTTGCATCTCATCAGATCTTAGTAGCTAAGACCAGGGAGAGGACACCTGAGGGTCACTGAGGAAGACAGGGGCTGCGCCACCCTGTTTCCCAAGCCATGCTGTCTGTGCACCACACGCCTGTCTTCTGAGCACTGCCTGCCTATGACATTTGTGTAGGCAGTGGCCTGCTGTTGGACAGACTTGGAGGATGGCCCTAGTGCATACCTGGCCCTGCTCTGTGTCCCGGGCCAGGATGGGGTAGCTAGGATGCCTGAGATGAGCTCCTTGTTCTCTAGAGGCTTTCAGCTGGGTTGACATCACTCCCTATAGAAAGCTTAGTGTCCCCTGAGCAGCACAAGCAGGAATCACGTTGGGAGCTCAGGAGGAAGAGAGCAGGGGAAGGTGGGAGAGACAGGGACTGCGACGCCGAGGAGAGGAGAGGACATGCCTGGGGACGTGAAGGGCAAGAGCAGAGACCTGCGGGGAGGGCCCAGGATATGGGGACAAATTGGATGGGAAATTGGGTTAAAGTGGAAGAGACATGAATACAAGGTAAGGTAAAGCTCAAGTTGGTGTGGGTTGGGGGAGTAATAGAAGGAGCATCTTTGATGCCTCTTAAGAGTTAGGGGCTTTGTCCTATAGTTCAACAAAGGACACCTTTTTTTTTTTGTTTGTGTGTTTAATTTTTTTATTTTTAAAAAATTATTGTTTGTGTTTTTGTTTTTGAGATAGGGTCTTGTTATGTCTCCCAGGCTGGAGTGCAGTGGTGCAGTCACAGCTTCCTGCAGCCTTGACCTCCCTGGCTCAAGCCATCTTCCTGCGTCAGCGGCTTAAGGTGCTGGGACCACAGGCGTGTGCCACCACCACACCTAGCTAATTTTTTATTTTTTGTAAGAGATGGGGTCTCACCATGTTGCCCAAGTTGGTCTTGAACTCCTGGGCTCAAGTCATTCTCACACCTCAGCCTCCCAAAAGGCTGGGATTACAGGCGTGAGCCACTGTGTGCAGCCAGAATTCCGTGTGTGTGTGTGTGTGTGTGTGTGTGTGTGTGTGTGTTTTGAGACAGAGGCTTGCTCTGTCGCCCAGGCTGCAGTGCAGTGAAACAATCTCGGCTCACTGCAACCTCTGCCTCCCGGGTTCAAGCAATTCTTCTGCCTCAGCCTCCCAGGTAGCTAGGATTACAGGTGTGCACCACTACGTCCAGCTAATTTTTGTATTTTTAGTAGAGATGGTGTTTCACCATGTTGCCCAGGCTGCTCTCGAACTCCTAAGCTCAAGTGATCCTCCTGCCTCAACCTCCCAAAGTGCGGGTATTACAGGTGTGAGCCACTGCGCCTGGCCCAGGACTCCTTTTGAATGTCAAAATATTTGAGGCAGCTGGGCACGGTGGCTCACGCCTGTAATCCCAGAGCTGAGGTGGGCAGATCACTTGAGTCCAGGAACTCAGGGCCAACCTGGGCTATTATATAGCGAGACCCCTTCTCTACAAAAACATGTATATATATATTTAAGGCATTCTGCTCTCCGTTTCTGCAACAGTCTTTCAGCTGTTGATTCAGAAAAAGATGGAGACACATTGGGACTTTAGAACCTCCTTGCAATAACTCTGCAGTCCCTCAGCAGCGCAGGAAGCATCAGTTAGGAGCCATTGGTAAAAGCATCAGGGGTCACTACCCACAGAGCTGTTTGGCATCTTGGCCAGCGACTGCACACAGGGTAGACTGCTGGTGAGGAGATGGGCCCAGGACAGTCCTTTAGAAGAGGAATTTCTTGGGTTCTCAGCTTTGCCCTTTTTTTTTCCAGGGGCATATGGGGGCCTCTCAGACCGCCCCTCGGCATCCATCTCCCCCAGCTCTGCCTCCATTGCCGCCTCCCATTTTGACTCGATGGAACTGCTTCCCCCAGAGTTGCCCCCCCGCATCCCCATTGAAGAGGGACCCCCAACAGGGACAGTTCATCCCCTCTCAGCCCCCTACCCTCCCTTGGACACTCCGGAAACAGCCACAGGTACCGGAGGTGTGAGTGTGCATGTCTCCAGGCCTGGGTGCCTACCTTCCTGACCACCTCTCCTGGGATCCCGAGGGAGCTGGCCCAGGGGAGTTGGGGACGCATGTGGGGAGCAGGCGCCTTGAGGGGAAGGCAAGGCTTTTTTCTCCCAGGATGGGGGAGGCTGCCCTGACACCCCGGTTTCCCTCCCTCTCTCCTTCCTGAAGGGTCCTTCCTGTTCCAGGGGGAGCCAGAGGGCGGTGAGGGGGACCAGCCCCTCTCAGGGTATCCTTGGTTCCACGGGATGCTCTCTCGGCTCAAGGCTGCACAGTTGGTGCTGACTGGCGGCACTGGCTCCCACGGTGTCTTCCTGGTGCGCCAGAGTGAGACAAGGCGGGGTGAATACGTCCTCACCTTCAACTTCCAGGGCAAGGCCAAGGTGAGCCACCCTGTGGGAAAGGCTCTGTTCTGTGCATAGTTGGCAGTGGGGTGGGGGAGCACTGCCGGGGGAGGGGGTTTGTACCTGGCAGGGCCTTTGCCTCCTACCTCACCTCCCCCATCCCGCCCTCAGCACCTGCGTTTGTCGCTGAACGAGGAGGGTCAGTGCCGGGTCCAGCACCTGTGGTTCCAGTCCATTTTCGATATGCTCGAGCACTTCCGGGTGCACCCCATCCCTTTGGAGTCGGGAGGCTCCAGTGATGTTGTCCTTGTCAGCTATGTCCCATCCTCCCAGCGACAGCAGGGTGAGCAGAGCAGGTCTGCAGGGGAGGAGGTGCCCGTGCACCCAAGAAGTGAGGTGTGTGTGCCAGAAAGATGGGGCGGGGAGGGGGGACTATCACAAGGAGAAGCTTTGCTTGGGAGAGCAGGGTAGAGGAGGCTGTTGTGCCTCGGGGTTTGGAAGGGAAAGAAATGCGCTGATAGGACACAGGAAGGCAGAAGGCTCCTGGCCGGAGCCGGGGCGGCAGCTGAGAGGTGGGCGGGCGCATCCCCATTCCATCGGATCCTCTGTTCCATTGTCTGTCTGTCTCCTGGACCCATCCTGGCCTCGTCTTTGCCCTCCGTCGCAGCCTGGCCTTGGGCCTGCCCTTCCCGGGGACACTCGGTCTGATCCCCTTCCCTCCTCCCTCAATGTCTCATGTCCCTGTCTGATCTCTCCCTTTCCCCTGCCCCACCGTCCCATCTGTCCCCACGTTGCCCCTCCCCCCAGGCCGGGAGCAGGCTGGGAGCCATGCGGGGGTGTGCGAGGGAGATGGATGCCACCCCGATGCCTCCTGCACCCTCATGCCCTTCGGAGCGAGTGACTGTGTGTAAGTGTGGTCCTCCTCTCACCACCGCCCATGATCCATCTTCCATGGATGGGGGGTTGCTCAGGAGATGGGATGTGGGGAGACAGCCACGCTCCTGGGGGGCTGAGTGAAGGGGAGGCCACGGCAGGAGCTCACCTGCCTCCACAATCAGTCTGTTTTCTTACCATTCCTATCCAGAACCGACCACCTCCCATGACCCACCCCAGCCCCCTGAACCCCCTTCATGGACAGATCCCCCACAGCCTGGGGCAGAAGAGGCGTCGAGGGCGCCAGAAGTGGCGGCAGCAGCAGCCGCAGCAGCCAAAGAGAGGCAAGAGAAAGAGAAAGCGGGCGGTGGAGGGGTCCCGGAAGAGCTGGTCCCCGTGGTTGAGCTGGTCCCCGTGGTTGAATTGGAAGAGGCCATAGCCCCAGGCTCAGAGGCCCAGGGCGCTGGGTCTGGTGGGGACGCGGGGGTGCCCCCAATGGTGCAGCTGCAGCAGTCACCACTAGGGGGTGATGGAGAGGAAGGGGGCCACCCCAGGGCCATTAACAACCAGTACTCCTTCGTGTGAGCCAACCCCACCCGCTCCACCCTTTTTAAACCCCCCAGCCCTGCTCGTGAGATTGGGCTGGGTAGGGACAGAGGAGGCCGAAATCCCTCCCCCATGCTTCCTGACCCTTGTTGGCCAAGGGCATCTTTGATGGTACAAGCAGAGGCTCGGGAGAGGCTCCCGTCACACACTACAGGTCCCCTCCCCAGGGCAGGGGATTTGGGCTCCATGAGCTCCTTGAGGGGCTCTTCTGGTCAGCCCCACCCTGGGGGCCATTTCCCCATTAACTACCCCCAGCCCGAGGCAGGGTGAGGGGGAAGGGCTGTCAGTTACATTAAGGTGGTTGTTGTTGTTGTTTTAAACAAAATGGAGAAGCATAAATAAATAAAAAGGTTTATCTCGGTTCTATCGTGATGGCTATGGCCATTGTTTGCTGTGGGGACTGGGGACAGTTGGGTTGGGAAGGCAGCCCACTCAGTGCCCACAGGCCAGAGGGCTGGCCCAGGCCAGTCCCCATCATTCTGCAGTGCTGTGCTTTCGGAGCCATCCCTGTGTCTGACAGCCTTGTTCGTGGAGCACTAAATGATGCTCTTGGGGTCTCCTGCGAGTTTTTGTCATGGGACAGTGCTGTGAATGGCAGGCATGGTGATCTCCAGCGGCCCTTCCTGAGTTATGGCTTTGTACCCTAGAGAGAGCTGGCAGTGAGAGATGGGAGGCACGGTGGCTGTGCTGGAAGAGATTGAACGTGGCAGTCACAGGGTAGCCGCAGAGGGGCCCAATGGCCCCCTTCTCAAAGCCAGGCTGGAGGGATGGCAGAGGGCACTAGCTTCTGTCCTGGCCTTGCCACTCACTGGCCTGGGCAAGGTGTAGCCACGCCGGGCCTGAGCATCCTCATCTGTGACATGTGAAGTTTCATCTTGAGTCAGAGCTGCTGACATGGTTTGCTTGGCCTGGACATGGTGTCCATTTGAGTTTCACATTAAAAATTCAGATCACAGGCCAGGTGTGGTGGCTCACGCCTGTAATCCCAGCACTTTGGGAGGCCGACGTGGGTGGATCACCTGAGGTCAGGAGTTTGAGACCAGGCTGACCAATGTGGAGAAACCCCGTCTCTACTAAAAATACAAAAAATTAGCCGGGTGTGGTGGTGCGCGCCTGTAATACCAGCTACTCAGGAGGCTAAGGTAGGAGAATTGCTTGAGCCCAGGAGGTGGAGGTTGCTGTGAGCCAAGATCGCACCATTGCACTCCAACCTGGGCAACAGAGCGAGACTCTGTCTAAAAAAAAAAAAAAAAAAAAAAAAATCACTGGCTTCTCTTAAAAATCAGAAGATCCAGTGATGTGGGTCCACTTCCACATCTGCCCCATCCCCACCAGCTCACTTTGCTCCCTGGGAGGGCCTGGCCCTGTGGGCATTTGAGTTTATAACACCACCCCCATTGTGGCACACCCCTCCACCCCGTAAAACACAGGCTCTGCTCTTGGAATCAGTCTTCCTGATCTGTGGCTGTGCCCTCCAACAGAGGGCACCCCTGGGCTTCCCAGCTCTGGGGGTAGTGGGTGCCAACAAGGAGGGGCCTGGGGCTGAAGAATCCCACCCGCTGAGCTCGGCCTTCTCCCTTCCCCACTGTCCAGCTCCGCCTTTCAGCATCCTGCCTCACTCCCCGCCCAGGCAGCAAGGAGCCCACACCCTCATGCCCCTCAGCTTCAGCCCCCACCTCCAGGAGGCCCTACCCACGCTCATGACCTTGCTATTCTGGGCCTTGTGTCCTGTAGGGAGATGGACAGGAGACAGCTGGGCTTCCAGGCCACCCAGGCGGGGGGCTAGCCGAGGGAAGCCTGCTGGCTCTCCTGCTTGCTCTAATTTCTGGGGCTCCCCAAACCTTGGCCTCAGGAGACTGGGGATAGGACCGGCCTTGAAAGTGGGGGAAGCTTTGGAGAGCCGGGTGCTGGGTTCTTAGTGAGATGGCCAGTGAAGGCTGTGGTGCCCCGAGGTAAGCAGGGCCTGATCCCCTCCTAATCTTCCAGCAGCAACTGGTGCTCTGAGGCTCCCCCTCCCCCAGCCCTGCCAGCCTTCAGGGACCTGCCTTCCAAAGATGGGCAGGGGAGGGGGACGAGGACACCCACCCACTCCTCAGACCAGCATGTCTTGGCTGTTGGGGCCTGAGAGACTTTCCCTCTAAGCCTTTCTTTACAGATGGTTAAACCGAAGTTCTGCACTCATCAGGGACTGGCCAGGGTGTCTCTGTGTCCCATGCTTTTAGCTCCAGCCCTCAGGTGTGACAGGAGGATCACTTTCCATCCCTGGGCGTGGAGACCCCTGTGGGAAGGGATCCCCGAGGGCGCCTCTGGCTCAGCCTCCCTCCATGGCAGTTCACACCCACAGCCTTCCCTAGAGCAGCCCTTCTGCAGCTCCTGGCGGGTGGCTTTCCCTCCCTGGCTTGTTTCCCCCTCTGGGAAGCCGGGGGAGGTAGAAATGAATAACCTTAAAGGCCTGTTGGCAGGAATGTGCTGCCAAGCCTGCCCCCTGCCCTCTGTCTCAGGCTCTCGACTCCCTCGAAGCTGCCCATCTCTCCGTCTGCCCCTCTCCATGTTTGGGCATTCCCACTGCTGTAAGACAGTAGCCCCTGTCACTCCTCCAGGTGCCGGTGGGGAGACGCCGGCCAGCGCCAAAAGCCTTGGCGGGTGTGAGCCTGAGTCCAGCGGAGACGGTGGGTGCTGGGCCGGGTGGAGGTGCCGGGGGCTGTGTCTCTTGGAAGAGAGGCTGCTAATGCTCTCCTGCACCCCCAATTCAGCCCACTGTCCCCCACTCCCCTCAGGTCACAGCAGGATTCTGCTTCAGGGGAGGGGTTTGTTGGAACTGTGAAAAGGAGGCAGGAAGGAGCACCTTGTCCTCAACTCACCCAGGAGGCCGCGCCTCACCCAAGTCCAGGCAGAAGGGATGCATCTGGGAGGCTGAACCCTCAAGTTCCATCCACCCCTGCTGCCATCCCCCTCCCCAAAAGTGGGGGCCTCCCTTTTCTTTGCTCTGCTGTCTCCTATTCTGTCCTCTGCTTCGGAGTTTGAGCCCCAGAATGGAAAGCAGCCTTAAGAAGCCACACTTAGGAAGTCCACATGCCTCTGCTCATTTCAGGAAACAGGCCTAGACAGAGGACGGACTTGAGCCCAGGGCACCAGGCCCCTTCCCCTCACTGACCTTTCACCCTGACTCTCATCCAGCCTTTCTGCCTGCCTGTCCTCCCCTTCCTGCACCCCTGGTACCCTCCCTCGGCTCCTCCAGCAGCTGCCCTGGTGGTAACCAAGAGACGCCCCCATCCTGGAGCAGGGGTGGGGAGGGGCAGCTCAGAGCAGCTGCTTCTCTGAGGAAGCTGACACCAAGGCCAGCATTCAGCAACAACTTGTGGCTTTGCACCCAGCGCCGGGGTCCCCGCCCACCTGGCTCCCTGCTGTCCCTCTTCCCCACTGCTGCTCGGACTTCCCTCTGACCCTGGTGGCTCTGTGTCTCTGCTCCCTTTCCCCCTAGGTCTAGACATCTGTCCTTATTTCCCCCAGACCTGTCCCCAGAAGTCCACCCTTCCCCATTCCTTTGGTCTGGAGCCCCTGCTTGGTCCAGCTTCCCCAGGCCCCGACACCTTTCTGTGGGGTCTGCCTAGCTCCTGCACGCACACAGCATGGGCCTGATCCTGTTCCCCTCGTGGACAGATGCAGCAGGGCAGAGTGCAGCGCAGACCACAGGCCTCTGGGGCTGGCCACAGAAACCCCGTTGGTTAGAGCACAGTGTGGGATGAGGTGACCCTCAGTGCACGACTTGGGGTGACCCCTGCCCCCATCCTGAGACAGTTACCCCTCCCCCTCTGCCATCAGCACATTCTGTAGCCTCTTGGGTTACTTGGCTGCCTTGGTGTCCCATTTTCTTGGGGGTGGGGTGGGGATTCCCTATCCAGGATGGGGGGGCCCTCAGGGCTCTGTTCCCAGAGGCTGAGTTAGAGCGATGGGGAAGGGGGGGGGCAGTTTTGGGGAGAGACAGGCAGTGCTGGCTTTGCTCACCAGGGCCTGGACACTAAATCCCTTGTTGATGGCTGTGGCAACCCCTCCCTAGGGTAGGGTTACCATCTTCGGCCCTGTCCCCTTGACTCTCTCCCCTCACTTCCCCTTGTCCCTCTAGGAGCCACTCACTTCCTCTAGCCCCCAAAAGATGTTCTCCCTTCATCAGTCCCCCAAAGGCTTGGGGTATCTCTGCCACTGCTTCAGCAAATGGGGTGAGGAGGAAGGAGACTGCGGCAATGGAAACAGGCTCCGGGCAGATGAGGCAGGAAGGGGGGTGTGAGGAAAGGGACAGGTGAGGCCGGGGATGGAAGAGGGCTCCGGGAAGAACTGGGGGGATGAGTTTGGAATGGGAAATTCAATGCAGCTGGGGAAGTCGAGGCAATGGGGGGGCAGGGTCAGTAGCAGATGACAGAAAGTGAAGTCTCTCCCTACCCCACTTCCCTGGGGCTGGGGCTACCTTTGCGTCCCTCATGAGTGACATCTCAGGCTGCAGCCCCACTGTTCCCCCTCTGTCAGCAGAAATATCTCTCTTTTCTGACCACCTCCTGCTGGAGTCTCAGCCAGCCAATCCCTGATCTGGTGGAGGGGGGAGCCCGGCCTCCCCCTGCTCCCTCATAAGGACCAGCTGGGGGCCGGGGGGTGGCCGGCTGCTCAAGTGGGACGGGGGTCAGAGCTTTGTGGAGGGAAGAAAAACCTGGAGGGGGCAGGAGAGTAAAAAGAAGAAACCCAGGCAGACAGGCAGTTGGACACACTGAGGAAGACCCCCCACGAGTGGGAACCCCCTGGAAGGAACACACCGGCCCCGGCCCCCAGGAAGGGAGCACAATGGAGGCCGCTCATGCTAAAACCACGGAGGAATGTTTGGCCTATTTTGGGGTGAGTGAGACCACGGGCCTCACCCCGGACCAAGTTAAGCGGAATCTGGAGAAATACGGCCTCAATGGTAAGTGTCCCTTGGAAGAGCGGCTGGTAATTAATGCCCTCCTGCACCCCCAAAACACACGCACACGCATGCACGCGTTTCTCCCTTCAGGGTTTCTTAAGGAAGAGCTGGGCCGTTGTCCAATGCTCGCAGGGGGAAGAAGATACTGAGAAAACAGAGTCCCGAGATCCAGAGTTTTGGGAGGTTTTAATGGGATGAACTTGATGAACCTCAAGGTGGCCTGATTCTCTTAGCCACAAAGTCTTGGGTGTGGGGGGCATGAGGCTGAACCCCAAATGAATCTGTCCTTTTCTTCTTTTTCCTGGGTAGAGCTCCCTGCTGAGGAAGGTAAGTTACTGGAATCCCTGAACTCTCATAAATGACCACCCCCCACCCCGCCCTGTCCCACTCCCTCCTCCCTGCCTCTTTAGATTCTTTGAGCAAATATCCCTTCCCAAAAGGCAAATCTCCCTCCCTAAAGGTTAGAGTCCTGTCCGGGGCAGAAGTCTCCCAGGCGCTTTCTCCTTGAAGCAGCCAACCCTTGAACTGCCCCCCACTTTGCCGAGTCTGTTTCTGGACTCCAGGCGAGCTTCTTAGCCCTTCTCTGGGCACCAAGCTGTCTGCCCACCACCCTAGAGCCTCCCCACTGCAGGCCGGAGTCCAGGGCGCTCCATCCCAGACCTTCACCCACTAGACCTTAACCCGGGGCCCTCCCCTTGCCTCCTCCCCCAGGGAAGACCCTGTGGGAGCTGGTGATAGAGCAGTTTGAAGACCTCCTGGTGCGGATTCTCCTCCTGGCCGCATGCATTTCCTTCGTAAGTGTGGGAGGGTCTCTGGGGGCTGGCTGGGGGTGTGAGGCTGGGATCGGGCGAATGCGGGGCTCGCAGTCACTGGATCCTCCCGTCCGAGTCCCGAGCATCCCATTGTACAGACGGGGCGGGCTGGCGCGCAGCAGCGGGTGTGATTCGCGTCCTCCTCTCTCCTCCCCTGCACCCCAGAGGCAGGTTTTATTTTAAGCTTTAAGGGTGTTCTCAGCCAAAACACCGAAGCTAAGCCACCCTCGCGGCTTCAAGAGCTTGGAGAGCTCGGGTTACCCACCCGAACTCCGGGCTCCGGGTCCCGCCGCGATGCCGGCTGCGGCGCGGGGGGCCACTGCCACTCCCGGCATGCGCCGGGCGGACGGCCGCTCCACCAATCCCCGCGCCCGTCGGCGCCCCTGCCCCGCCCTCCCCAGCCTCCTGACGCTGATTGGTCGAGGGGAGGACTCGCTCCTAGTGGCGGGAAAGCGCGGCGGTGTGATGATGACTCCAAGGAGCCCGGCGCCCGGTCAGGGAGGGCACTGGCATCCCTCATTACCCGCCCAGCCTGGCCTTAGCCCTTCCCCGCGCTCCCTAGGCACCCCCACCCCCGCAGGGCATCTCCAGGGCTCTGCCTCCTCTCCCGCCCTGGGGGCTACTCCCCATCCCGCGGTCCATCTGCATGTCGCGGGTTCTTCCGCAGCATGTGAGCCTCGCTGGGGACTCTGGAGGCAACGAAAGCCTCCCTGTGCCTTGGTCTCCGAACGCAGGCCCCGTCGCGTTAAGCACAAGCTGGCAGGGCCTCTCCTCTCCCTTCTCAGATTTGCTCCTTGACATTTGCCTGCTGCCTGGCGGTGGCAACAGCTGGGGCGGGGCGCGCGCAGGAGGCCCCGTAACCCTATCCCCGCTCCGGCTCCCTCGTGAAACCGGAGCTTCCCTGCCTTGGCCGAGGGGGAGGGCTGCGGGGGCCAGACCGCCTGCGAAGACCACAGGGTTTTTCCTCTCGGGTTTTGGCTCCCGTGGGATGGATGTGGCTGTGCGGGGGGTTGGCCTGAGCTTCGCTTCTAAGCCAGCAGCTTGGTCAGGGAAACCTGAAAGCATTCCCAGCTAATCCCCCAAGTGGTGCAAGTCTGTGCGCGCCCATCCCGCTGAGTAAGGCGGTGGCAGGACCTGCAGTGGATGGACAGACCCTCAGACGGATGTGGGGCCACAGCGCCCCGACGGTGCCCGGCCCTCCTGCTGGCTCCTGCACTCTCCTGCACAGTTCTCCCCTTTGCAGTGGTCCACTTCCTTTCTCCATCTGTTTTGGGGCCTCATTACCTGTCATTCTCCTTTCCCCTGCTCCCCAGGTGCTGGCCTGGTTTGAGGAAGGTGAAGAGACCATCACTGCCTTTGTTGAACCCTTTGTCATCCTCTTGATCCTCATTGCCAATGCCATCGTGGGGGTTTGGCAGGTTAGCGTTGACCCTTCCTTACCCCTTCATGTCCCAACAGTGAAGAAGAGGCCAACCCTCCCTCCAGTCTCCTCCTCCTCCATCACCTCCCCCATACTTGCCTCTTCCTCTGGTCCTATCCCCTGGTCTGGAATGGGATGGAGTGTGGGGAAGAGGTGGGAGACTGTGACCCACTGTCACTTCCTGGCTATGTGACCCTGAGCAAGTTCCTTCATCCCTCTGAGCCTCAGTTTCTTCATCCATAAAATGGGGCTAGCAATCCAGTGTGAAATCGACTAAGATGATGCATGTTCCTGGCACACAGTAGGAATTCAATAGACGCTAGCTTGATTTCCTTCTTCCACTGACCTGACCACCCCCTACATGTCCTGTCCTCTGCTTCCTGGTTTGTTTTGTTTTGTTTTGTTTTTAGGTCATTTCCAAAGTGAAAACCCAAATGCTACCTTGCTTTGGTTTTAAGAAATGTCAGGCTATAAGCCATTTTTTGGTGCTCACTGGTTTCTGAACACTGAGGATAGAAATAGCCACTTTCATACTTTGGGAGGCCGAGGCGGGTGGATCAGTTGAGGTCAGGAGTTCAAGAGTAGCCTGGCCAACATGGTAAAACCCCATCTCTACTAAAAATACAAAAAAATTAGCTGGGCATGGTGGCAGGTGCCTGTAATCCCAGCTACTCAGGAGGCTGAGGCAGGAGAATCACTTGAATGGGGAGGCGGAGGTTGCAGTGAGCCAAGATTGCACAATTGCACTCCAGCATGGGCAACAGAGTGAGACCCAGTCTCAAAAAAAAAAAAAAGAGAGAAATAGCACTTTCTCTTTGCCCCAGTGTTACAGGCGCAGCAGAGCCACCTGTGTCTGTGGTGCTGACAGGTCCAGGACAGCATCTGCAGGGCAGCCTCTGATTTTCTTTGATTTTTTATTTAGATTTTTCTTTTTGAGACAGGGTCTCGTTCTCTTGCCCAGGCTGGAGTGCAGTGGCGTAATCTCATCTCACTGCAATCTCTGCCTCCAGGTTCTGGTGATTCTCGTGCCTCAGCCTCCCAAGTAGCTGGGATTACAGGCGCGTGCTACTACGCCCGGCTTTTTTTTTTTTTTTTTTTTTTTTTTGTACTTTTCGTAGAGACGGACGGGGTTTCACCATGTTGTCCAGGCTGGTCTCGAACTCCTGACTTCAAGTGATCCGCCTGCCTCAGCCTCCCAGAGTGCTGGGATTACAGGCGTGAGTCACCATGCCCGGCCTGATTTTCTTTGATTCTTCTTTGTTCCCTCCCCAAAACCCTCTCACCTGTTTTCACCTGTAGGTGACAGTTTCCTCAACATACACACACCCCTGCCTGTGTGGGGTTTTGTTGCCTCCCCCGTGCCAGGAGCCACAACTCCATAACTCTGCCTCCTGTGTATAACCCTGCCTCCTCCACCCTGTCTCCTCAGGAGCGGAACGCAGAGAACGCCATCGAGGCCCTGAAGGAGTATGAGCCAGAGATGGGGAAGGTCTACCGGGCTGACCGCAAGTCAGTGCAAAGGATCAAGGCTCGGGACATCGTCCCTGGGGACATCGTGGAGGTGGCTGGTGAGTGACAGGGACGGCTGGTCCAGGATGGGAGGCCTTGGGGCTGAGGCCTAGGAGATGCCGGGGGCTGGTCAGGCTCGGATCCAGGTGTCCAGGAGGATGACGGAGTCTGCTTCTCTTTCCGACTCCTCAGAAGGTCATCCCAGGCCACTCCGGCCACATCCCCCCCTCCCCAGCGGAGTCTCAGCAGGAACAGCCAGTCCTGTCCCTGAGGCTGCAGGCAGACCCCCTGCTCCCCATCCTCTCACCCTGCACTTGCACTCGCAGGCAACAGGTGGAACCCGGTCCCTGCCAATGGCCCCGTCTCCACCCCCTCCCGGGCCTGGCTTCCCCCTCCTTCCACCCACCCCAAGCTTGGTCAGCTTTCAGTCTTGACCTCTCTGTGCCCTTGAGGCCTCTCAAAGGGGAAGGAGCGAGGGCAGAAGGGAGGAGGGAGGCCGAAGGCTCGAGCCCCCGACCATGTAAGGGAAACTCAGGCCTGGCACAGAGCACGCGACCGGGGAGGAGGGAGCTCAAGGAGGGCCCCGCCCGCGGCAAGGGACACTTAATGCCTGGCCAGGGAGGGGTGGGGGCCGGGTGGCTAAGATTACTGGGATTCTGCCCCCTTCAGCGGTTTTTATGTTTGCCCTGAGCAGGCCTTCCCGAAGCTCCAGGCCCCTGCCAGGGGGAATGGCTCTTCAGAGGCCTCCTTCCCTGTAGCAGACATCCGAATCACCACCCCAGGGAGCTTGGGCAGAGGGAGTGAGGGCAGGCTGAAGACCCCAGCGCCCCATCACAGGGCAGCCTTGCCGCCGTGACAGCATGGAGTCAGCGCCATGAATGTCTATAAATATCACGCGGGCTTGGGTGACAGGGTGTCCCGCCCGACTCTATCCCGACCTCCCTCCTCCCTCCTCGGTCCATTTCCTCTGGCACAGGAGGGATCCTTAGAAACAGAGGGAAAGGAAAGCGATTGGACCCTGTCCCCAGTACCATCCGTGGGACCAGTGCGGAATTAGGCAGCGGCCCTGGGAGATTCTTAGCCTCCTCCTAAGGTCTCTGAGTCTGGCTGGGCATCCACCTCTCCAGCCCCCCGACAAGGTGGTTTCCATGGCCTGCCAGCCCACCTGTGCGTCTCCCTGGCCTCACCTCCACCCATTCACTCTCCAGCCTGTGCTGCCCGCCCCACTCTTCCACACCTGTTTCCTGCCCAACCCCCGCTTCTCTCCTGTCCCATCCCATCCTGTCTTGTCCATGTCCCCAGCTCACTCTCCCTGGCTCCCCGCCTCCCTGCCTCCCTGAGATGCTCAGACCGGGCTGTCAGGTTCCCGATATGTGGTCCTCTCCATGACCACCCTGTGCCCCCCGCTGCCTTGAGTCCTGCCCACTCATACCTTCCGCTCACTCCTCTCCTGCCTTGCCCTCCACTGTTCCTCTTGGTTGCCCTCGATTTTCTCAATTTCCATATTTTCCCGTTTCTCCTTGCCTTCCCTGGCTGTCCACTTCATTCTCTCACCCCGACACCCCTTCTCTCTAATGCACCCTGTTTTCCCTGAGTTCTTTCCTTGCCTTTCCTCCTTGCCTTTCTCACTCCTGTCTCCCAATCTCAATTATAGCTTCTTGTCCTACAGCTGGACTGTCCCTAATTTCCCCTCCAGTCATTCAGTGGGCATTTATTGAGCATGTACTATGTGCTGAGCAGTACACCTGCCCATCCCTTCTCAGGGCTCACAGCCAGTGGGAAGAGATGTGGGAGTTCAAGACCAGCCTGAGCAACAGAGCGAGACTCCATCTCGCCGTGGACACGGGGGCAGAAGGGATGGGTGTCACGATGAGGGGTTGCCAGCTTCAGGAGCTCAAGCCAAGGGCCTGATGCAAGCCCTGGGAGCCTCCCTGAGACCTGAAGGATGGATGAGGAGAACGAGTCAGACACAGATTGGGTTTTTCTTTGGAAGGAAGAAAATTCCATTCCCAAGTGACCTCCCTCTTCCCTACTCTCTCCACAGTGGGGGACAAAGTCCCTGCAGACATCCGAATCCTCGCCATCAAATCCACCACGCTGCGGGTTGACCAGTCCATCCTGACAGGTCTGCTGGCCTGGGTGGGAAGATGCATGGGGGTGGGACGTGGGGAGGAAGAGGCAACAAGGGGGAGGTGAGTGGAAAGACAGAGAACCCTCACTGTCTGAGCAACATAAAGAGACCCTGTCTCTACAAAAAAATTTTAAAAACTAGCTGAGCATGTTGTTGAGTGCCTGTAGTCCTGACTACTCAGGATGCTGAGGCAGGAGGATCGCCTGGGTACAGGAGGTCAAGGCAGCAGTGAGCTGTGATCACACCACTGCACTCCATCCTGGGCCACCCTGTCTCTGTCAAAATAAAAACAAAAGGCTGTGCGAGGTGGCTCATGCCTGTAATCCCAGCACTTTGGGAGGCCGAGGTGGGTGGATCACCTGAGGTCAGGAGTTAGAGACCAGCCTGGCCAACATGGTGAAACCCCATCTCTACCAAAAAATACAAAAAACACAAAAATTAGCCAGGCGTGGTGGCAGGCACCTGTAGTCCCAGCTACTCAGGAGGCTGATACAGTAGAACTGCATGAACCCAGGAGGCTGAGGCTGCAGTGAGCCAAGATCATGTCACTGCACTCCAGCATGGGCAACAAGAGCAAGACCCCATCTCAAAAAAAAAAAAAAAAGACAAAACAAAACAAAACCCAGCACTGGGGCCTCCCCCTGGCTCGCTAGTAGTGGCTGTGGCAGTGGCAGCACTGCTTGACATTTTCTTTTTTTTTTGAGATGGAGTCTTGCTCTGTCACCCAGGCTGGAATGCAGTGGCGCGATTTCAGCTCACTGCAACCTCTGCCTCCTGGCTTCAAGCAATTCCCTGCTTCAGCCTCCAGAGTAGCTGGGATTACAGACGTCCACCATCACACCCGGCTAATTTTTGTATTTTTAGTAGAGACAGGGTTTTACCGTCTTGGCCAGGCTGGTCTTGAACTCCTGACCTCGTGATCCACCCACCTCAGCCTCCCAAAGTGCTGGGATTACAGGTGTGAGCCACCCACTGCACCTGACCTGCTTGACGTTTCCATTCTGTCCCAAGCCTGAAACGGGACGGGTAGTGGGAGAAGGCTGGATGTTGTTGCCTACTCTCTAGATAGCCACCAGCCCACCCCTTCCACATGGACATAGGGCCACAGACACCTCGAGAACTGTCCTGTCTCCTTCAGCCTCCTCAAAAATCCTCCAGGGAGGAGCCATGAGATTCTAGGACAAGATAGGGGGTTCAGATACACTGAAAACCATGGCTGCTAGGCTGGGCGTGGTGGCTCATACCTGTAATCCCAGTGCTTTGGGAGGCTGAGGCAGGAGAATTACTTGAGGTCAGGAGTTTCAGACCAGCCTCGGCAACACAGCGAGACCCCATCTCTATAAAAAAAAAATTTTTTTAACTAGCTGGGTGTGGTGGTGTGCACCTGTAGTCCCAGCTACTTGGGAGGCTGAGGTGGGAGGATTGCCTAAGCCCAGAAGCTTGAGGCCACAGTGAGCTATGATTACCACGGCAGTCCAGCATGGACAACAGAGCAAGACCCCATCTCTATAAAATTTTTTTAAAAATTAGCTGGGCATTGTACTGCACACCTGTAGTCCCAGTTGTTTGGGAGGCTGAGGTGGGAGGATCACTTGAACCCAAGAGTTTGAGGCTGCAATGAGCTATGATCACACCACTGCGTTCCAGCCTGGGCAACAGAGCAAGACCCTGTCTCTGTAAAACCACCATAGCTGCTTCTGTTTCCGCACTGGCAGGGAGAAGCGAAGAAGAGGCAGAAAACATTCCCCATGGTCCCAGGGGGCAAGGGCTAGGCTGGCCCAGGCTTGCTGCTGAGCCCCTGCTCTTAGGGTGAGGGAGGCATGGTCGTAAGTGTAGGTCCCCCTTCCTCCCAGAAACATGCTTGACAGTTAAAAGTGTGGCTCCAAATATGTCCACTTATTTGATTTTCACCCAAGACATTGTTTTGCAGTGTACATGTCCTTGTCCCCATTTTACAGAGGAGCACATGGAAGTTAGGTGATCAAACACAGCTTGTTAGTGGTCAAGCTGGGGCTTGGGTCGAGGTCTTTTTAAGAGCCGTGGACTTCTGGCTGGGCACGGTGGCCTGTAATCCCAGCACTTTGGGAGGCTGAGGTGGGCGGATCACTTGAGGTCAGGAGTTCGAGACCAGCCTGGCCAACATGGTGAGACCCCGTCTCTACTAAAAATACAAAAAAAAAAAAAAAATTAGCCAGGTGTGACAGCATGTGCCTGTAATCCCAGCTACTTGGGAGGCTGAGGCAGGAGTATTGCCTGAACCCGGGAGGTTGCAGTGAGCTGAGATCTTGACACTGCACTCTAGCCTGGGTGACAAGACTGCAACTCTGTCTCAAAAAAAAAAAAAAAAAAAGGAGCAATGGACTTCCTAGCTGCCTTCAGTGGCTTCTTCCAGAGTCCAGACATCCCCCAGGATGGCTACTTGGTCCTTACCAGGAGCTGTCCTGCTGAGCAGGGAGAGAGTTAGGCACGGGAAGCCTGGGAGAAGGACATGATGTCATCCGAAAACCCCTTGGCCCCTTCTCCACAGGCGAGTCTGTATCTGTCATCAAACACACGGAGCCCGTTCCTGACCCCCGAGCTGTCAACCAGGACAAGAAGAACATGCTTTTCTCGGTGAGCAATCCGGGACCAGCCATCACACACTCAGTCAAGCCAGGTGCCCGGGTTGGAGAGAAACATGGCGTGTGAGAAGAGATGGCGTGGGGAGATGCGGCATGAGGGTCACCTCTTGCCTGATTCCCTGCCTCCTCTTTCCCTTCCCAGGGCACCAACATTGCAGCCGGCAAGGCCTTGGGCATCGTGGCCACCACTGGTGTGGGCACCGAGATTGGGAAGATCCGAGACCAAATGGCTGCCACAGAACAGGACAAGACCCCCTTGCAGCAGAAGCTGGATGAGTTTGGGGAGCAGCTCTCCAAGGTCATCTCCCTCATCTGTGTGGCTGTCTGGCTTATCAACATTGGCCACTTCAACGACCCCGTCCATGGGGGCTCCTGGTTCCGCGGGGCCATCTACTACTTTAAGATTGCCGTGGCCTTGGCTGTGGCTGCCATCCCCGAAGGTATGAAAGCCTTTCTTTTCTCCTCCCATTTGCTAATCCCATCTGCAAAGACCCCTTTTCTTTTCTTTTCTTTTCTTTTTTTCTTTTTTGTTTTTTGAGATGGAGTCTTGCTCTGTCACCCAGGCTGGAGTGCAGTGGCGTGATCTCGGCTCACTGCAAGCTCCGCCTCGCGGGTTCACGCCATTCTCCTGCCTCAGCCTCCCTAGCAGCTGGGACTACAGGTGCACGCCGCCATGCCTGGCTAATTTTTTTATATTTTTAGTAGATACGGGGTTTCACCGTGTTAGCCAGGATGGTCTCGATCTCCTGACCTCCTGATCTGCCCGCCTTGGCCTCCCAAAGTGCTGGGATTACAGGCGTGAGCCACCGCACCCGGCCTTGCTCAGTGCAACCTCTGCCTCCTGGGTTCAAGTGATTCTTCTGCCTCTGCCTCCCAAGTAGCTGGGATTACAGGTGCACGCCACCATGCCTGGCTAATTTTTGTGTTTTCAGTAGAGATGGGGTTTCACCATGTTGGCCAGGCTGGTCTCGAACTCCTGGGCTCAAGCAATCCACCCGCCTCGGCCTCCCAAAGTGCTGGGGTTACAGGTGTGAGCCACCACGCCTGGCCCAAAGACCCCTTTTCCAAGTAAGGTAACATTTACAGGCTCCAGGGATTAGGATCTGGTATCTTTGCGGACCATTATTGTTTGTTTGTTTAATAGAGACAGAGTCTCACTCTTGTTGCCCAGGCTGGAGTGTGGTAGCACAATCATAACTCACTGTAATCTCGAACTCCTGGATTCAAACAATCCTCTTGTCCCAGCCTCCTGGGTAACTGGTACCACAGGCAATCACCACCACACCCAGCTAATTTTTAAATATTTTCAGAGGAGTCTCACTGTGTTTTCCAGGCTGGTCTCAAACTCCTGGCCTCAAGTGATCCTCCCGCCTCAGCCTCCCAAAGTGCTAGGATTATAGGTGTGCACCAACGTGCCCAGCTGGGGGCTACTATTTAGCCCCTTGCAGGTTCCCTCACACCCTCCCCTTGCAGGTTCCCTCACACCCTCCCTCCCTCCCCACAGGTCTTCCTGCAGTCATCACCACCTGCCTGGCCCTGGGTACCCGTCGGATGGCAAAGAAGAATGCCATTGTAAGAAGCTTGCCCTCCGTAGAGACCCTGGGCTGCACCTCTGTCATCTGTTCCGACAAGACAGGCACCCTCACCACCAACCAGATGTCTGTCTGCAAGGTCAGGAGCAGTGTGGGCAGCGCGCTCAGTCAGAAGGCTGCCTGTGGGGGTTAAATGGGCCCTCCAAAGATAGAGGTCTCCCTTCATCACTGCTGGCTTCTCATCTGGGCCTGCAAAATGCTCAAAGGGCAGTAGAACGCCATCCTGTCTGCCATGAACGGGATCAGAGAGGACCCTTGTGCCCCAGCCAGACAGCTCACTCTGACCACCATCCACGCACCAGGCACTGCCACACATCGTCTCTCATCCCTCACAATAGCCCATTCAGAGGATGGTCTCATTATCTTCATTTTTTTAATTAAAAAAAATTATTATTATTTTGAGACAGAGTCTCACTCTGTCGCCCAGGCTGGAGTGCAGTGGTGTGATCTTGGCTCACTGCAACCTCTGCCTCCCGGGTTCAAGCGATTCATCTGCCTCAGCCTCCCTAGTAGCTGGGACTACAGGTGCCTGCCACCACGCCTGGCTAATTTTTTTGCATTTGTAATAGAGACAGGGTTCGCCATGTTGGCCAGGCTGGTCTTGAACTCCTGGCCTCAAGTGATGTGCCCCTGTTCGCTTCCCAAAGTGCTGGGATGATAGGTGTGAGCCACGGCACCCAGCCTAACTTCCTTTTTTAGAGGAGGAAAAAGCCTCTGAGAGATTAAATGACTTCCCCCAAGATGCACAGTTAATAAATAACAGAGTTGAGCTTCAAACCCGAGTCTGTGTGGCCCCAGAGCTTCTGCCTGTGAAGTAGATGGCTCTCCAGAATGGTCACTCATGACAGGGCCCGGCCAGACTGCCAACACTGACCGTGAACAGCATTTCCTAAAGCAGGGCTCTTAATCTTTTCTGTGCCTCACACCCCTTTGCAGTTGAGCTCTTGTCAGGATAATATTTCAAATGTATATTAATAAAATAAAACAGGCCAGGTGCAATGGCTAACGCCTGTAATCCCAACACTTTGGGAGGCCAAGATAGGCAGATCACGAGGTCAGGAGTTCGAGATGAGCCTGGCCAACATGGTGAAACCCCATCTCTACTAAAAATACAAAAATTAGCCGGGCATGGTGGTGCGTGCCAGTAATCCCAGCTACTGGGGAGGCTGAGGCAGGAAAATTGCTTCAACCCGGGAGGCAGAGGTTGCAGTGAGCCGAGATCGCGCCACTGCACTCCAGTGTGGGCGACGGAGTAAGACTGTCTTAAATAATAAAATGAAATGAAATGAAATAAAATAAAATAAGCCAGGGGTGGTGGCTCACGTCTGTAATCTCTTCAGGAGGCCAAGGTGGAAGGATCACTTGAGCCCAGGAATTCGAGACCAGCCTAAGCAACATAGTGAGAGTCCGTCTCTACCAAAAAAAAAAAAAAAAAAAAAAAATTAGCCTGATGTGGTGGTGCACACTTGTAGTCCCAGCTACTCAGGTGGCTGAGGCAGGAGAATCACTTGAACCCAGAGATTGCTTGAGCCAGGAAGTCAAAGCTACAGTGAGCTGTGATCACACCACTGCACTCCAGCCTGCATGACAGAGCGAGACCCTGTCTCACGCACAAAAAAATAAAATAAAATAGGGCTAGGTACGGTGGCTCACGCCTGTAATCCTAGCACTTTGGGAGGCTGAGGCGGAAGGATCACTTGAGCCCAGGAGTTTTAGACTAGCCTGGGCAACACAGTGAGACCCCACCTTTTAAAAGATAAAATAGAAAGTAAAAAATAAATAAACAAAACAGGATTCTGGGTTTTTTTGTTTGTTTTTTTTTGTTTTTTGAGATGGAGTCTCACTCTGTTACCCAGGCTGGAGTGCAGTGGCCCAGTCTCGGCTCACTACAACCTTCACCTCCCAGGTTCAAGTGATTCTCCTTCCTCAGCCTCCTGAGTAGCTGGGACTACAGGCACGCACCATCACACCCAGCTAATTTTTGTATTTTTAGTACAGATGGGGTTTCGCCATGTTGACCAGGCTGGTCTCTTAACTCCTGACCTCAAGTGATCTGCCCACCTCGGCCTCCCAAAGTACTGGGATTACAGGAGTGAGCCACTGCGCCCGGCCAGGATTCTGTTTTAAAAATACATAGGAAGCTGGGCACGGTGGCTCATGCCTGTAATCTCAGCACTTTGGGAGACCGAGGTGGGTGGATCACCTGAGGTCAGGATTTCGAGAATAGCTTGTCCAACATGGAGAAACCCCGTCTCTACTAAAAATACAAAAATTAGTTGGGCGTGTTGGCAGATGCCTGTAGTCCTAGCTACTAAGGAGGCTGAGGCAGGAGAATCACTTGAACCCAGGAGGTGGAGGTTGCAGTGAGCTGAGATTGCGCCATTGCACCCCAGCCTAGGCGACAAAAGCAAAACTCCATCTCGAAAAAAAATATAAAAGACCTGACGCAGTGGCTCACGACTGTAATCCCAGCACTTTGGGAGGCCGAGGTGAGCAGATCACCTGAGGTCAGGAGTTCGAGACCAGCCTGACCAACATGGAGAAACCCTGTCTCTACTAAAATACAAAATTAGCTGGGCGTGGTGGCACATGCCTGTAGTCCCAGCTACTTGGGAGGCTGAGGCAGGAGAATTGCTTGAACCTGGAAGGCAGAGGCGGTGAGCTGAGATCGTGCCATTGCACTCCAGCCTGGGCGACAGAGCGAGACTCCGTCTCAAAAAAAAAAAAAAAAAAGTAGCCAGATGCGGTGGCTCACACCTGTAATCCTAGCACTTTGGGAGGCCAAGGCGGACGGATTACCTGAGGTCAGCTTGGCCAACATGGTGAAAACCAGTCTCTACTAAAAATACAAAAAATTAGCCAGGCGTTGTGGTGGGCACCTGTAATCCCAGCTACTTGGGAGGCTGAGGCAGGAGAATCGCTTGAACCCAGGAGGCGGAGGTTGCGGTGAGATTGCACCACTGCACTCCAGCCTGGGCGACAGAGTGAGACTTTGTCTCAAAAAATAATAATAATAAAATAAAACAAAAATAAAAAAGTAAAAAAAAAATACATAGGAAAGATACATAGGGTTACAGAGGAAACCAATGATTGTGAAATACAGTTCTATCAAAATTTTTAAAAACAACTTTGTAATTTGGCAACACACATGCTTCTTTATTAAGGCATTAATTAGGGAGTTCTCGCAGTGGGTCTAAGCACTATCATAATGTTGAAGCAGTGGTGAGCATAAATTATGCTATTTTGAGAGATCTGCAACAGTGGTAATGTGATAGGAGGAAAGTATCTGTGATTAAATTGGTGACAGTCACAGGTTTTGCTAATACTAATGTGGTCTGTTGACAACATGCATAACTGGAAGGAAATGTCAAACGTCAGCTTGAGAACAAGAAAAGCTGTCGTTTTTTTCTTGGCTATCTCAGTTCTTGGGCTCCTTGCAGGGTCTTCCACTGACCTCAGGCCAAGAACCCCTGCCCTTCACAGAGTTTTGTGGAAGACTACACCCATGAACTAGAAATTGCTGTTCTGAGAAGCAAGGGCTGTGTGGTCAGATCAGGGTGAGAAAGGCTGTAACCTTGGCTCCTGGGCGAGACCCACAACATCTGCTGCTATTTGAAAGCCTTAGAGGAGGCTGACTGTGTAAAGAAGACGGATTCTGCTTTGCCCCAGAGGTTCCCAAGTTTTTTTTCTGACCACAGAACTTTTTTGTCTTGGAACCCATCTTAACCATCTCTCTTCTCGGGAATGAAAAGCCCAGTCTCTGTTGCGTTTGCCCAGGATTCAGGGTAGGCCACTCCTCCTGGGCACTGCGTTCTCCACATCCCTCTAACGCACAGGCCACAAAGCCAGACCACAGGCTCGTGTGACTTGGCTCCTGTCATGTTTCATAAAAATGAATTAATTCTCACGCCTGTAATCCCAGCACTTTGGGAGGCCAAGGTGAGTGGATCACCTGAGGTCAGGAGTTCGGGACCAGCCTGGCCAACATGGCGAAATTCCGTCTCTACTAAAAATACAAAATTAGCTGGGCGTGGTGGCGTATGCCTGTACTCCCAGCTACTCTGGAGGCTGAGGCAGGAGAATCACTTGAACCCAGGAGGCGGAGGTTGCAGTTAGCCGAGATTGCACCAGCCTGGGCAACAAGAGTGAAACTGCATCTCCAAAAAAAAAAAAAAGAATTGCCCATATATTTGAAAGTCAAGAGGCTGGGCATGGTAGTTGCCTGTACTCCCAGCATCATGGTGGGTGCCTGTACTCCCAGCACTTTGGGAGGCCAAGGCAGGAAGATCACTTGAGCCCAGGAGTTCAAAACCAGCCTGGGCAACATAGTGAGACCCAATTTCTACCAAAAAAAAAAAAAAAGAGAGAGAGAGAGAGCAAGAGAGACAGGCATGGTGGCATGTGCCTGTGGCCCCAACTACTTGGGTAGGCTGAGGTGGGAGGATCACTTGAGCCCGGGAGGTTGAGGCTGCAATGAGCTATGATCACACCACTGTACTCCAGCCTGGGCAACAGAGCAAGAACCTATCTTAAAAAACAAAAAGAAAAAGAAAAAGTCAAGAGATTTCATAGGAAGATAACCTGAATTTCTAGCTCTTCCTGCAAAACTGGAAGATCTGGCCACATGCAGCTGGAGCTGTAGATGGTCCAGGTGCCAATAGTTGGGCTGTTTGCCACAGTCCCCACCATACCTTATTGTGTTCCATCTTATTTTATTAACTGGTCTACAGAAGCTCCAGCACAGCACAGCCTGCGGTCACTCGTTTGTGGGTTTTTTTTTGTTTTTTTTTTTTTTTTTGAGTTTGGCTCTTGTCGCCCAGGCTGGAGTGTAATGGCACGATCCTGGCTCACTGAAACCTCTGCCTCCCAGGTTCAAGCGATTCTCCTGCCTCAGCCTCCAGAGTAGCTGGGATTACAGGCGCGCACCACCACACCTGGCTAATTTTTGTATTTTTAGTAGAGACGGTTTCATCATGTTGGCCAGGATGGTCTTGCACTCCTGACAGGTGATCCGCCCACCTCAGCCTCCTAAAGTGCTGGGATTACAGGTGTGAGCCACCTCGCCCAGCCTCAGTAACTATTGTTTTAAGGCTGTTGATAGAGAATGATTGCAACAGCTTGGTGGGAAGTGGGTAGGGTATACGGGGGGGATGAGGAGGGGTGAGTAGGAGGGAAATGGTGGGAAGGTAGGTGTTGGCAGTGCAGGCCTCCCTTGATGCAGGTGCCCACCTTGGGATGGGAAGAGGTGGACATCTGTGTGCCTGCCCTTCTCCCCTGCAGATGTTTATCATTGACAAGGTGGATGGGGACATCTGCCTCCTGAATGAGTTCTCCATCACCGGCTCCACTTACGCTCCAGAGGGAGAGGTGTAAGTCACCCAGGCATCTTCTCCCCAGCTCCTCACGCCCCTTCCCACACCCCCTTTCTCCCTGGGGCCCTCCATGTGGTTTTGCTCTCCTTTCACTCTCCTCTTCCTCCCCGACCTTGTTCTCTCTCCTGATATCCGAGTTGGCTCTCCCCACTGTCCTTCCTTACCCTCTGCTGCCTGCTCTTCCTGTGCCCTCTCTGCATCTCATTCCCTGTTCTTCTCCACTGTCTCTGTCCCTTCCTCCCCTGACCCTGCTGCCAGCTTGAAGAATGATAAGCCAGTCCGGCCAGGGCAGTATGACGGGCTGGTGGAGCTGGCCACCATCTGTGCCCTCTGCAATGACTCCTCCTTGGACTTCAACGAGGTAACCTCTCCTTCCCCTTCCAGTTGGCTCAGAGTCTGGGCCTCCTCCGAAGGCCAGGAGGAAAGGGTTGGAGGAAGGGGACCCAGTACACCCAGCCCTCTGCCAGGGTGCAAGGGAGGCAGTGGTTTGCTTCCTTCTTACGCTAGGTGGAAGGAGGGTATGACAGGTAGGAGCCTGGGGCACCGACTTCCTCTTCCTCCTCTGCCCATCTCAGGCCAAAGGTGTCTATGAGAAGGTCGGCGAGGCCACCGAGACAGCACTCACCACCCTGGTGGAGAAGATGAATGTGTTCAACACGGATGTGAGAAGCCTCTCGAAGGTGGAGAGAGCCAACGCCTGCAACTCGGTGAGCCTGCGGAGCCCCTGCCACAGGGCCGTCTCCACTCTATGCTGCATAGACTAGAGGAAGGCAGAGGCCCTGGTTGGGCAGAGCCTAGTGCCTGTGCTGGGACCCCACCCAGGCAGCAGACAGCCCCTGCAGCTTCTCCACAGGCTGATGTGGGTGGGACCCATTGTCCCTGGGGCTGCCTGGCGGCCATGCCCTTGATGAATCTATGATCACTTCTGCCCGCTGTGTCCTGATTTGAAGTGGACAAAGCTGGACACGGAAACCACAAGGGACCCATCCAGGAGCAGCCCCAACTTCATCTGTTATTCCTTTGTTTCTAGAAGCACACTTGTTTTCAGCAGATGATGAGTCCTGACTTAGGATTTGGGAAATGTGGCTACTGCACCTATAGGGAAAGCCTTTCCTTGCCCAGATGAACCCGGCCACTTCTAGGACTGTCACTCCCAGTTATTGCTATTGATACTTGCTGAACGTCTCCATTAAGCACTTCTCTCTGGGGAATTATATTCCCCACATTTCTCTCTTTCTCTCTTTTTTTGTATATGCAAAATGCTCATTGCTACTTTATTTAATATAACAAAAAAGCGGGCCAGACACAGAGACTCACGCCTATAGTCCCAGCATTCTGGGAGGCTGAGGTGGGAGGATCACTTGAGCCCAGGAGTTTAAGACCGGCCTGGGCAACATAGTGAGACCCGCATCTCTACAAAAAAAAACGAAAACAAAAACAAAGAAAGAAAGAAAAAAAAAAGAAAAAAATTAGTTGGGTGTGGTGGTGCAAAACTGTACTCTAGCTACTAGGAAGGCTAAGGTGTGAGGACTGCTGGAGCCCAGGAGGTCAAGGCTGCAGCAAGCAGTGATTGCACCACTGCACTCCAGCCTGGGCAACAGAGGGAGACCCTGTCTCCAAAATAAACAAACTGAAAGCAACTTAAATACCTGTCAATAGAGGACTAATTTTTAAAATTTATAAATGATAATGCAAACATAAATTTTTATTTATTTATTTTTGAGATGGGGTCTTGGCCTGTCGCCCAGGCTGGAGTGCAATGGCTATTCATAGGTGTGATCACAGCGCACTGCAGCCTTGAACTCCTGGGCTCAAACCATCCTCCTGCCTCAGCCTTCCAAGTAGATGAAGCTACAGGCATGCACCACTTTTCCTGGCTACTGATGTTTTGTTCTTTTTATTTTTGTTTTATTTTTTGGAGAAGTATCCATGATACATTTGGTGAAAAAGGCTTTCATTCTTTTTGTTTGTTTGTTTGTTTGTTTGTTTGTCTGTCTGTTTTGAGAGTCTTGCGGTGTCACACATTCTGGAGTACAGTGGCATGATCTCAGCTCACCACAACCTCCGCCTCCTGGGTTCAAGCAATTCTCCTGCCTCAGCCTCCCTAGTAGCTGGGATTACAGATGCAAGCCACAATGCCCAGCTAACTTTCTGTATTTTTAGTAGAGACGAGTTTTTTTTTTTGAGACGGAGTCTCTCTGCTTTGCCCAGGCTGAAGTGCAGTGGGGCCATCTCGGCTCACTGCAACCTCCGCCTCCTGGGTTCAAGCAATTCTCTTGCCTCGGCCTCCTGAATAGCTGAGATTACAGGCATGTGCCACAACGCCCAACTAATTTTTGTATTTTTAGTAGAGATGGGGTTTCCCCATGTTGGTCAGGCTGGTCTTGAACTCTTGACCTCGTGATCTGCCTGCCTCGGCCTCCCAAAGTGCTGGGATTACAGGCGTGAGCCACTGCGCCTGGCCTTCATTTTTTTTTTTTTTTTTTTTGAGACAGAGTTTTGCTCTTGTTGCCCAGGCTGGAGTGCAATGGTGTGATCCTGGGTTCAAGTGATTGTCCTGCCTCAGCCTCCCGAGTAGCTAGAATTACAGGCACGTGCCACCACGCCTGGCTGATTTTGTATTTTTAGTAGAGACGGGGTTTCTCCATGTTGGTTAAGCTGGTCTACTACTAAAAAATACAAAAATTAGCTGGACATGGTGGCGTGTGCCTGTAATCCCAGCTACTTGGGGGGCTGAGGCAGGAGAATGGCTTGAACCTGGGAGGCAGAGGTGGTAGTGAGCCAAGACTGCACCACTGCCCTCCAGCCTAAGCAACAGAGCAAGACTCCATCTCAATATAAATAAATAAAAATTAATTCAAATTAAATAATATACAGAGTACCTCCAATGCTCCACAGCAATTGCTCAGTTGCACCAATTGTACAGTGCAGATCACATAACATTTCTATCATTACTAAAAGTTATAGGGCCAGGTGTGGTGGTTCATGCCTGTAATCCCAATGCTTTAGGAGGCCAAGGCAAGAGGATTGCTTGAGGCCACGAGTGAGACCAGGCTGGACAACACAGGGAGACTCTATCTCTAAAACATTTTTTTAAAATTAGCCTGGAGTGGTGGCATACACCTGTGGTCCCAGCTACTCAGCTGGCTGGGAGGCTGAGGCAGGAGGATTGCCAGAGCCAAGGCTACAGTGGGCTATGATCACGTCATTGTACTTCAGCCTAGGAGACAGCGCAAGACTCTGTCTCTAAAGAAAAAAATAAGTAAATAAAAATAAATAAACAAACAATGAAAGTTTTTTTTTCTTTTTTCTGAGACGGAGTCTCGCTTTGTCGCCCAGGCTGGAGTACAATGGTGCGATCTTGGCTCACTGCAATCTCTGCCCAGCTAATTTTTGTATTTTTAGTAGAGACAGGGTTTCACCATGTTGGCCAGGCTGGTCTCGAACTCCTGACCTCAAGTGATTCACCCGCCTCAGCCTCCTGAAGTGCTGGGATTACAGGCATGAGCCACCGCGCCTGGCCAATAATGAAAGTTCTGTGGGACAGTGCCACAATAGGCCATCCTTTTCTTCTGTGCTTTAACCTAGGACCCTGAAGCACTGTGGCAACACTAGCCTTGGGATTTTCTCCTTTTGTGCTATAGGGACCAGACTTAGTGTTAGTCTCAGCCTTAGCTTGGGGTCTGCTCTGACCTCCAGATTCTTTTTGACCATTTTAAGAGGACTGGTCTCCCCTCCCTGTCTCCTCTCCAGGTGATCCGCCAGCTAATGAAGAAGGAATTCACCCTGGAGTTCTCCCGAGACAGAAAGTCCATGTCTGTCTATTGCTCCCCAGCCAAATCTTCCCGGGCTGCTGTGGGCAACAAGATGTTTGTCAAGGTCAGAAATCGGAATGTGCCTCAGCCCCCTCTTCTTCCTACTCCTAGCCACCTGTCACTGCCCTGGAAGGAAAGTGGTGGTCTCTGAATGCTGTTCTGGTCTCCTAGGGTGCCCCTGAGGGCGTCATCGACCGCTGTAACTATGTGCGAGTTGGCACCACCCGGGTGCCACTGACGGGGCCGGTGAAGGAAAAGATCATGGCGGTGATCAAGGAGTGGGGCACTGGCCGGGACACCCTGCGCTGCTTGGCCCTGGCCACCCGGGACACCCCCCCGAAGCGAGAGGAAATGGTCCTGGATGACTCTGCCAGGTTCCTGGAGTATGAGGTAAGCAGCTGGGAGCCTCCCACTGTCGTGGAGCTGGTGAAGGGCCGGGTCCCAGCCATCCACTCACAGCTCCACCACCCGGATCATTTCCTACCTCGTCAGTCAAGTTGATGGCTCCTTAGTACAGGCCATGGAATCACAGGACAGTAGAGTTTCAGAGAACCTTGGGAGGCCGGGTGCAGTGACTCACACCTGTAATCTCAGCACTTTGGGAAGCTGAGATGGGAAAAGCGCTTGAGCCCAGGAGTTCAAGACCAGCCTGGGCAATGAAGTGAGAACCCCATCTCTATTAAAAAAAAAATTTTTTTAATTACCTGGTTAAATTCATAGGGGTCTGGGTAAAAAGTAAAATACATTTTTAAAAATGTTAAAAGAAAAGAGATGAACTGGACATGGTGACACACACCTGTAGACCCAGCTACTGGGGAGCCTGAGGTGGGAGGATCACTTGAACCTAGGAGTTGGAGGCTGCAGTGAGCCATGATCCCACCACTGCACTCCAGCCTGCATGACAAGCAAGGCCCTGTCTCTAAAAACAAAAAACAAAAACACACACACACACACACAAAAGAGAGAAAGAATGAACCTTGGGAATCATCTAGCAAATGTGATCTGTGGTTGGTAACAAGGTGAGCCACTTGAACCAGAACAGGAGCCAATGCCACTCAGCACATAGGGGAGTTCAGCTGTTGTGTTTTCTGTAGCAAGACTGTCTCGAGACAGTTGATCTGTGTTCTGGCAAAGACTCCTTACTTCTACTAGACCAGCGCCAGAATGGCACCACAGTCCCTCCTTTCATTTTGTACAGAGGATTTCTTCTAAGTTGTGGGTCACGTAGTGGCACTGCCAAAAGCAGAAAGCAGTACCTCACTTCCAGTTCACGTTCTTTCTATGAAACACACATTTTGGCTGGGCATGGTGGCTCCCATCTGTAATCCCAGCATTTTGGGAGGCCAAGGCAGGCAGATCACAAGGTCAGGAGTTTGAGACCAGCCTGGCCAATATGGTGAAACTCCATCTCTACTAAAAATACAAAAATTAGCTGGGCTTGGTGGTGGGCACCTGTAATCCCAGCTACTCTGGAGGCTGAGGCAGGAGAATCGCTTGAACCTGGGAGGCGGAGGTTGCAGTGAGCAGAGATCGTGCCACTGCACTCCAGCCTGGGCAACAGAGCGAGACTCCATCCCCTGCGCCCGCCCCCCCCCCCCCGAAAAAGACACAATTTGGGGCCACGTGTCAGGGCTCACACCTATAATGCCAGCACTTTGGGAGGCCAAGCCTGGCAGATCACTTGAGGTTAGGAGTTTGAGACCAACCTGGCCAACATGGTAAAACCAAGTCTCTACTAAAATAAAAAAATTAGCCAGGCGTGGTGGTGCGCCCTTATAATCCCAGCTACTCAGGAGGCTGAGGCGGAGAATCGCTTCAACTTGGGAGGTGGAGGTTGCAGTGAGCTGAGATCATGCCATTGCCACTGCACTCCAGCGTGGGTGACAGAGCAAGAGTCCATCTCAAAAAACAAAACAAAAACAAAAACAAAAAAAAGGAAAGACACGATTTGGGCTGGGCGTGGTAGCTTATGCCTGTAATCGCAGCACATTGGGAGGCCGAGGCTGGAGGATCTGTTGAGCCCAGGAGTTTGAGACCAGCCTGGGCAACATAGCAAGATCCTTTCTCTACTAAAAATTAAAAAAAAAAAATTAGCTGGACATGTTGGTGCATGCCTGTAGTCCCAGCTACTTGGGAGGGTGAGGTAGGAGGATCGCTTGAGCCTGGTAGATTGAGGCTGCAGTGAGCTATGATCGCACCGTTGTACCACTGCACTCCAGCCTGGGTGACAGAGCAATACCCTGTCTCAAAAAAAAAAAGATACGATCTGACCCATGATGGGCCTGGCACCATCAGCACCTGCAGGTGCTTAGATGAATGAGATGTTTCCTGCCTCTGAGCTTCCAAGGCCCCACTGAGGTCTGACACCAGGCCCTGAGGCGGCAAGCCCAGGGTTCAGGCTTCCCACCCCTCCCCACCACTTCCTGACCTTTCACCCCATCCCCACCCCCCACCAGCTTCCTCCAGGGGAGTTTTCCAGATCCCCACCTGACCTGTGGCTCTCTGCTGTATCTCCCCAGACGGACCTGACATTCGTGGGTGTAGTGGGCATGCTGGACCCTCCGCGCAAGGAGGTCACGGGCTCCATCCAGCTGTGCCGTGACGCCGGGATCCGGGTGATCATGATCACTGGGGACAACAAGGGCACAGCCATTGCCATCTGCCGGCGAATTGGCATCTTTGGGGAGAACGAGGAGGTGGCCGATCGCGCCTACACGGGCCGAGAGTTCGACGACCTGCCCCTGGCTGAACAGCGGGAAGCCTGCCGACGTGCCTGCTGCTTCGCCCGTGTGGAGCCCTCGCACAAGTCCAAGATTGTGGAGTACCTGCAGTCCTACGATGAGATCACAGCCATGGTGAGAGGGCCCAGGCAGCTGCAGCCTTAGTGTCCACGGAGATGACCAGATGACTGTGCTGGGGAGAGTGGGGCCCAGGGCCAGAGGGCCCTGGTAAGATGCAAGAAGGGTGGGGATTCAGACCCCAAGGAAGAGTCTGAAGGAGGATTTGTGGGCTGGGCCTGGCACTTTGGGAGGCTGAGGTGGGCGGATCACTTGAGCAGGAGTTCGAGACCAGCCTGGGCAACATAGCAAGACCTCATCTCTACTAAAACAAAACTTTAAAAATAAATTTAGCCTCACAGTGGCACATATTTGTGGTCCTAGCTACTTGGGAGCCTGAGGTGGATCACTTGAGCACAGTTTGAGGGTGCAGAAAGTTATGACTGCACCACTGCACTTCAGCCTGGGCAATAGAGTGAGACCCTGTCTCAAAAAAAAAAAAAAAAAAAAAAGGTGGGCGGAGGGGCTCATGCCTGTAATCCCAGAACTTAAGGAGACTGAGGCAGGCAGATCACCTGAGGTCAAGAGTTTGAGACCAGCCTGGACAACATGGCAAGACCCCATCTCTACCAAAAAATACAAAAATTGGCCGTGCGTGGTGGCACATGCCTGTAGTCCCAGTTACTCAGGAGGCTGAGACAGAAGAACTGCTTGAACCTGGGAGGCGGAGGTTGCAGTGAGCTGAGATTGCGCCACTGCATTCCAGCCTGGGCGACAGAGTGAGACTCCGTCTCAAAAAAAAAAGTGTGCCGATCTTTGTTCTAAACTGAGTTTTTGGCCAAGTGTGGTGGCACATGCCTGTAATCCCAACACTTTGGGAGGCTGAGGCAGGAGGATTGCTTGAGCCCAGGAGTTCAAGACCAGCCTGGGCAACAGAGTGAGACCTCATCCCTAAAATAAAACCTTTTTTAAAAAGGAGGGATGTGTGAAGGTGCCCTAAGCCCACCTTCTCCTCCTCCCTCAGACAGGTGATGGCGTCAATGACGCCCCTGCCCTGAAGAAGGCTGAGATTGGCATTGCCATGGGATCTGGCACTGCCGTGGCCAAGACTGCCTCTGAGATGGTGCTGGCTGACGACAACTTCTCCACCATCGTAGCTGCTGTGGAGGAGGGCCGCGCCATCTACAACAACATGAAGCAGTTCATCCGCTACCTCATTTCCTCCAACGTGGGCGAGGTGGTCTGGTGAGCAGCTGGGTGGGCGTCCAGGAGGAAGCCGGGGTTAGGGTGGGGTGGCTGCAGGTCTGGGAGGCAGGACAGAGGTGTGACCACCTCCTTCCCACAGTATCTTCCTGACCGCTGCCCTGGGGCTGCCTGAGGCCCTGATCCCGGTGCAGCTGCTATGGGTGAACTTGGTGACCGACGGGCTCCCAGCCACAGCCCTGGGCTTCAACCCACCAGACCTGGACATCATGGACCGCCCCCCCCGGAGCCCCAAGGAGCCCCTCATCAGTGGCTGGCTCTTCTTCCGCTACATGGCAATCGGGGGTGAGCTGGAGGGGTTCCTCGATCCTCCCCACCCCTTGGGACTAACCCCCTCTCTGGGACACCAGCTCCCCCATGCAGGTGCTGAGAGGGTCTTCTTCCTTGGCCAGCCTGTCCATGGCCACATGAGGCCCTCAACCCTCGATGCCCCCTATCTCCCCAGCCCTGACCCCCGACTCCCCTCTCTCCACCACAGGCTATGTGGGTGCAGCCACCGTGGGAGCAGCTGCCTGGTGGTTCCTGTACGCTGAGGATGGGCCTCATGTCAACTACAGCCAGCTGGTAGGGGGAGGCCACAAAGGAGGGGACCAGGAGGGTGTGGGGATGCAGGAGGGTACCAGGAGGGTGGCATGGAGGTGGCCCTGGACCTCAGTCTCCCGTACCTTCCCTGCAGACTCACTTCATGCAGTGCACCGAGGACAACACCCACTTTGAGGGCATAGACTGTGAGGTCTTCGAGGCCCCCGAGCCCATGACCATGGCCCTGTCCGTGCTGGTGACCATCGAGATGTGCAATGCACTGAACAGGTGGGGGCCCCCCAGCTACACCCACCACCCTCCCCTGAGGCCACTGCCCACATCCTCCACTGTGCCGCCCACCTCCTTCCTCCTCACTGTGCCTTCTCCCTCCCCTTCCCCTCTGCAGCCTGTCCGAGAACCAGTCCCTGCTGCGGATGCCACCCTGGGTGAACATCTGGCTGCTGGGCTCCATCTGCCTCTCCATGTCCCTGCACTTCCTCATCCTCTATGTTGACCCCCTGCCGGTGAGGTTTCTTCCGCCCAGGGCCGCCCACCCCAGCACTGGGGAGCCCACGGCGGGCCCATGACCACTCCCACCAGGGGCGCCGATGTGGGAGGCTGGTGGGAGTGGGCTGGGCAGTGCTGGTCTCTGGCTCCCTCCCCACCCCCTCCTGAGAGGGCGCTTGTCCCCTGCCCCAGATGATCTTCAAGCTCCGGGCCCTGGACCTCACCCAGTGGCTCATGGTCCTCAAGATCTCACTGCCAGTCATTGGGCTCGACGAAATCCTCAAGTTCGTTGCTCGGAACTACCTAGAGGGTAAGGAGTGCCCTCTCTGTCCCAAGCCCTGGCCCCACCACAGCCCCTTCCCCATGACGCCGCCCCCGCCCCGCCCCGTACTTTGCAGGTGGTAAGTTTCTCAGCCCTGGCAGGACCTGTGTCCGCCCCGTTCCCCCTGCGCCTGCAGGGGCCACATCTCCGGGGCAGCCCCACTGCCTCCTCAGCCCCCACAGCCCCTATAGCCCCCATGCCACCTCCCTGCCTTGATAACAGTGCCTCTTGTCCTCTCTGGCCATAGGATAACTGTTCCCCCTCCTCCATCTCTGAGCCCGTGTCACAGGTATCACCCCCTTCTTGCCCTCAGCCCAGCTGCTGTGCCCCTGCCACCCGCGCCCCCTCAGCCCCTTGCGCGTCGCATCCAAGGTCACTTGTGCTCGCAGCTCCACCTGGAGCCGTTGCCACTGCTGCTGCTGCGCTTCCAGTCAGGGTGGGCCGCTGGCCTCCCACTGGGCGTCAGTTTGGCTCCCAGGCCCTGGGCAGTGCCAGCCTCTGGGCCCGTCTGCTGCGCTGCGTTGCGCTGGCTGTGTGCTGGGCTGTCTTTGCTGTGGGGCTGCAGTGGGGGGGGGCGGGGTGTCTGGGGACGCAGGTGAGTAGGGGAGAAACTGGCAGGGTGGTAAGCTTCTGAGCCTCCAGGTAAGTGCGTGCCTGGGAGATGCACCTGGGAGGGACCTCGCTGCCCTCCTGCCGCCTGCCTCATCCCTTCTCTTTCCCCTTCCAGATCCAGAAGATGAAAGAAGGAAGTGAGCATCCTTTTGCTCTGTCCTCCCCACCCCGATAGTGACACATCTTCAGGCAGAGCTGTGGCACAGACCCCCGTCCTGTCCCCCACACCCGTGTCATGTGTCTGTTTATAAACATGTCCCCTTCCCTTTCCTTCCCCCTCGGCCACCCGCCTCCCTCTCAACCTTGTAAATTCCCCTTCCCAACCCCGAGGGGCTTGCAGGGACAAGGCGACCGACTGCGCTGAGCTGCTTATTTATTGAAAATAAACGACGGAAAAGTCTGGCCTTGCCTCTGTGCAAGCTTGGAGGCCTGGGTCGCCGCTGTGGACAAGCGTCTTAGTGTCATGCAGACCAGAAGGCAGCTGCCTGTCCCAGGGCCGGGGCCCACCTCACTGCCTCTGATGGGGACTCCCAGCCCCCATGGCTCCGCTGTGCCCTGGGCAGGGGACGGGCTGGGGGCAGGGGAGGGCTGGAGCCCAGGAGGCAGCACAGCAGCCAGAAAGCCGCAGGCCTGAGCCTGCACCTTTGGTTCCGGGAGGGGCTTGGGCCCCTCACCCAGGTGTGATCCCTGAGAACAGGAGGCCCAGCCACCCTGGGAGGAGGCGCTGGAGGGCGGGGCGGTGGTGGCCCCCGTCAGTCCCCTCAACCCCAGTCTCAGGGACGGTGGAAAAGCCATCCAAGACCCCAGAGCGAGGCCTCATGGTTCAGGAGTGGGGAAAGGCGTCTTTCCCAGGGTGGGGGTGGGGATATCCTGACCCCTCAGGTGTCCTTGATGTCCCTGACGTCCGTGAGTGGCGCCTCATCCATGATGCTGCGCACTTGCTCCAGGGTCTCAGCCTGGCGGATCCGCTCTAGGCGCACCTGCCGGATCGGACGAGGGGAGCAGAGTGCACTTGTGGGGAAACGCAGCCCCTACCCCACCTGCCAGCCCCCAAGGGCGGGGCCTGGTACCAGTGGACCCAGGGGCCACCTCTAGGGGGCTGATGCCACAAATGCCCTGAGCGTCCACCATGCCCTGTACTGAGGGCTTCAGGTGACTGACCAAGGCTCACATGAGAGTTTCAGGGTTTTTTGAGTAACAGCTCAGGACAGGACCATGCCAGCCCCAGGAGGAAGAAAGGACTCCCCTAACCAGGGAACTGTCCTTGCAAGACCCAGGAGAGGTCACCCGGAGTGGAGCCAGCCAGCCTGGCGGGGCTGGGACAGGCCATACCTGCAGGGCCTGGGACAGTCGCACGAAATCCCTCTGCACCTGCTCACTGGTCTCCAGCTCTGCCTGCAGCCGCAGCACCTTGGCCCTCTGTTCTGAGAGGAGGTCTGGGAGCTGGGCCTGCGGGGACAGACACCACACTGAGCTGGGCCTGGCTCAGCCTGGACCAGATGGGAGGGTGCATGGCCAGCCGTTGCCCCAGGGCTTCCTCCACCTGGCCTGAGGGAGACACAGAGGGCGGGAGGGGTGGGGGAGGGTCTTTTCCACAGCTGGGTCCCTCTCCTCCCAGTCCCCCTGCCCTCCCCCTCACCTTGCTCTGTTCCTGCTGCACCCGCTCCATCTCTGTCCTCAGGCTGCACAGGGAGGCTGGGAAGTCAGGGCAGGGGGAGACGTCAGGGCCATGCCCTCTCCCTTTCCCCACCTAGCCCAGCCAGGGTGGGCGATCCCCAAGATCACCTCCAGCACACACTCACCCTCCAGCACCTCTGTGGGAAGGAAAGAAAGAGAGGTCAAGGCCAGCCTCTCTCCCCTCCCCGCTGCTGCCCACGCCTGGGCCCCGGTGGCTCCCTGCAAGGCCGACAGGGGCCCTGGGCCCGGGGCTGGGGGCTTGTGCCCCTCCCCTCACCTGTCTCCTCCCGCTGCACCCTCAGCTGCCCCTCCAGGCTGGCCCTGGCCACTGTCTCCTCCTCCAGAGCCTCCCGCAGCGTCACGATCTCGATCCGCAGGCGCTCGGCCCCGTGCTCCTGGGCCTGCAGCCGGGCCCTCGCCTCTTGCCGCGTGCAGCACAGCAGCTGCTGCAGCTCCTGGAAGGGACGGAGGAGTCACCTGCTGGGCTGGGGCAGGAGGGCAGGAGGGCAGGGGCCACCAGCCAGACGGGGATTGTCGGGAGGAACGGGGAAGGAAGGGAGGATGGAAGCAAAGGGCTAAAGTGGGGAAGAGCCCAAAATGCCCATCATCTGGGAGGAGGACAGGTGCGCTCCGGCCCAGGAGAGGAAGCTCAGGACACACGACCATGCCCCACACCGTGGAGAGCGCTCAGGAAGAGTCCCAACCATAAAGTTCAGCAGATTACCTACAGCAAGAGCCCCTTGCCGGGCGCGGTGGCTCACACCTGCAATCTCAGTACTTTGGGAGGCTGAGGTGGGAGGATCACGTGAGGTCAGGAGTTCGAGACCAGCCTGGCCAATATGGTGAAACTCCGTTTCTACTAAAAATACAGAAAATAGCCAGGCGTGGTGGTGCACGCCTGTAGTCCCAGCTACTCCGGAGGCTGAGGCAGAAGAATCACTTGAACCTAGGAGGCAGAGGTTGCAGTGAGCCGAGATCGCGCCACTGCACTCTAGCCTGGGCGACAGAACAAGACTCCATCTCAAACAGAAACAAAAACAAAAACAAACAACAACAACAACAACAACAAATTAGCCAGCTGGTGGCCGGCGCCTGTAATCCCAGCTACTCAGGAGGCTGAGGCAGGAGAATTGCTTGACCCAAGGAGGTGGAGGTTACAGTGAATCGAGATGGTGCCACTGCACTCCAGCTGGGGCGACAGAGCGAGACTCTGTCTCAAAAAATAAAAATAAAATAAAATAAACCCTTTTGTAAAGCTCAAGAACAATGAAAGTTAAGCATCGCACTGTACATGTAATGAAAACACCGAAGACCGCAAGGGCAAAGCAGAGCCAAGGAATGGGGAGGAGGTGCCCGGAAGTGGACAGATCTCAGGGTGGGGAAGGTGCCCCATGGATCTTTTTTTTTGTTTTTTGCCTTTGTTTTTTTTTTTTTTTTGAGACAGGGTCTCACTCTGTGGCCCAGGATGGAGTGTAGTGGCATGATCACAGCTCACTGTAGCCTCAACCTCCCAGGCTCAAGCGTCCCACCTCAGACACTTGAGTTGCTGGGACTGCAGGTGGAGGCCACCACACCTGGCTAATTTTTGTATTTTTTGTAGAGACAGGGTCTCAACTATGTTGCCCAGGCTGATCTTGAACTCCTGGACTTGAGTGATCCTCCTGCCTCAGGCTCCTAAGTAGCTGGGACTATAGGCGCAAGCCACCAAGCCCAGCTAATATTTTTATTTTTATTTTTTGTAGAGACAGGGTCTTGCTTTGTTGCCCAGGCTGGTCTTGAACTCCTGGGCTCAAATGATCCTCCTGCCTCAGCCTTCTAAACTGCTGTGATTACAGGCGTGAGCCACTGTGCCCAGCCACCAAGTGATCTATTTCTAATCAATTTATTAATAAGCCATATTATTATTATTATTTTGAGATGGAGCCTTGCTCTCTCGCCAAGGCTAGAGTGCAGTGGCGCGATCTTGGCTCACTGCAACTTCTGGCTCCCAGGCCAAGTGATTCTTCTGCCTTAGCCTCCCAAGTAGCTGGGATTACAGGCACGAGCCACCACACCCAACTAATGTTCTTTTTCTTTTGAGACAGAGTTTCACTCGTTACCCAGGCTGGAGTGCAATGGCGCGATTTCGGCTCACTGCAACCTCCGCCTCCTGGGTTCAATCGATTCTCCAGCCTCAGCCTACCGAGTAGCTGGGATTACAGGTGCCCGCCACCACACCAGGCTAATTTTTGTATTTTTAGTAGAGATGGGGTTTTGCCATGTTGGGCAGGCTGGTCTCAAACTCCTGACCTCAGGTGATCCACCCACCTTGGCCTCCCAAAGTGCTGGGATTACAGGCGTGAGCCACCGCGCCTAGCCCTGACTAATTTTTTTGTATTTTTAGTAGAGACAGGGTTTTACCGTTGGCCAGGCTGGTCTCAAATTCCTGACCTCAAGTGATCCGCCCGCCTCAGCTTCTCAAAGTGCTAGGATTACAGGTGTGAGCCATCGCGCCTGGCTAATAAGCCATATTATTAAGAAAAAGTTGACAAAGGCTAGGCATAGATCCATGATGGCAGCTTGCTATAAACCAAAGATTATGATAAATTCAATCTTGTGGCTCGCGTGTCACTTAAAAATAGCAAACCAACCAAATGACTGCTTCCTTCCTGCCAAGCATTCTGTTAATTCATTTTCTTTTGATGCCAATGCTGGAAAGCATGTATGGTTCCATTTCTCAGATGAGGAAACTGAGCCTTAGAGAAGGCAAATGAGTTAGCCAAGCAAATACACAGCACCCTGGCTGGTCGTGACCAACGCTCTGCCCTGCCTGGGAAGAAGGGGCCCTCACGGTGGCTCCAGGCTCTCAGTGCCCACACTCAGCTTACTGGCACAGAGCTGGGCAGTGATTCCTCCTCGCCCTGCTCCTGCTGCGAGCCCTGGGGGGCTGAGGATGGCAGCTGCTCGGCCCGGAGCCCTTGGTTTTCCTCATTCAACCGCTTTACCTCATGGTGCAGGCACTTGTGGGTGGTGACCAGCTCCGCCTATGGACAGACAGTTAGTATAAGGCAATGAAGAGGACAGGGCGTCTCCAGTCCCTAGGAGGCCAAACCTCCTTGAACCCTCCTCCCAGACTGACAGCAAGAGAGCCCATACCCTCTCTGTTCCTAAGCAAGGAAGGAGCACTTTTTGCTACCAAGCTCTTCAGACACCTCTGTCCCTGCTAACACGCAGATTACAGGCTGCTGCCAGGGCCCAAGCCAGATATTTTACTTGGTCTATATATATATATATATATATATACACATACACACACACACACACAAATATTTAAATATATATAAATTTAAATTTTAAAAAATATATATTTTTTTGAGACAGAGTCTCCCTCTGTCACTCAGGCTGGAGTGCAATAGAGTGATCTCGGCTCACTGCAACCTCCGCCTCCCGGGTTCAAGCGATTCTCCTGCCTCAGCCTCCCAAGTAGCTGGAATTACAGGCGCCCACCATCACGCCTGGCTAATATTTGTACTTTTAGTAGAGACGGGGTTTCACCATGTTGGTCAGGTTGGTCTCAAACTCTTGACCTCAGATGATCCACCTGTCTTGGCCTCCCAAAGTGCTGGGATTACAGGTGTGAGCCACCGTGCCCGGCCCATATATATTTTTAAAACCTTAAAGTAGTTGCCAATTCTAAAAATTAAGAGACAAGCCAGGCGTGGTGCCACACACCTATAACCCTGGCTATGGGGGAGGCCAAGGTGGGAGGGTCACTTGAGGCCAGGAGTTTGAGACCAGCCTGGGCAACATAGTGAGACCCCGACTCTACAAAAAAATTTACAAATTAGCTGGGCATGGTGGTGTGAGCCTGTAGTCCCAGCTACTCAGGAGGGTGAGGCTGCAGGATTGCTTGAGCCCAGAAAGTTGAGGCTTCAGTGAGCTCTGATTGCACCACTGCACTCCAGCCTGGCCAGCCTGAGCGACAGAGCAACACACCATTTCTTAAAAAAAAAAAAACAGGAGGCCGGGCTCAGTGGCTTACGCCTGTAATCCCAGCACTTTGGGAGGCCGAGACGGGTGGATCACGAGGTCAGGAGATCGAGACCATCCTGGCTAACACGGTGAAACCCCGTCTCTACTAAAAATACAAAAAAAAATATTAACCGGGCGTGGTGGCAGGCACCTGTAGTCTCAGCTACTCGGGAGGCTGAGGCAGGAGAATGGCGTGAATCTGGGAGGCAGAGCTTGCAGTGAGCCGAGATCGTGCCACTGCACTCCAGCCTGGGTGAAAGAGCGAGACTCCGTCTCAAAAAAAAAAAAAAAAAAAAAAATAGGAGACAATACACAAATATTCATATTTTTGGTTTCTCTTGAAAAATCAGAAAATCTGGCAGCAGGGAACCTGTGTTCCTAGGTGGCCACAGTCAGCAAAGCCCAGAGGCAGGAGCCCCTTGCAGGGGCCTCTGGTTCCAGGCCGCCTACTGCCCTCCTACCCTCCTGCCCTACACCTGGCCCTGTTCAATCACGTATGTCTCCTCCCCAGTCTTTGTCAGTATCTGATTTGCTTTTTTTTTTTTTTTTTCTTTGAGACAGTTTTGCTTTCACCCAGGCTGAAGTGCAATGGCGTGATCTCGGCTCACTACAACCTCTGTCCCCTGGGTTCAAGCGATTATCCTGCCCAGCCAAGTAGCTGGGATTATAGGCGCCCACCACCATGCCCGGCTAATTTTTGTATTCTTAGTAGAGATGGGGTTTCCCTGTGTTGGCTAGGCTCGAACTCCTGACCTCAGGTGATCCAACCGCCTAGGCCTCCCAAAGTGCTAGGATTACAGGTATGAGTCACCTCGCCCAGTCAGATTTGATTTTAATCCTCATGACTCTGCAAACTAGGGCCCATTATGTCAGTTTTATAGATGGTGAGGCAGAGGCTGGGAGTCTGGGATTAGCTCAAGATCAAACAGCTCTGTGTGGCTGCAGGGGCCCTGTTCTGGCCACGGCACCAGCTGCCCCAAAACCCTCTTACCTACCTGGCACCGGTTCCAGGGTGTGGCCTGAGCAGCTGGGGACAGGACAGGTTCCTTGACTTCCCACGTGCCCCCTTCCACCACGTGCAACTGATTCCTGCTGGACTCCTCGCCCTCCTGCCCTAGGGCCCCCAGGTACTCACCATCTGCAGCTGCACCCGCTCCTGGGCCTGGCTCACGGTCCCTTGCAGGGTCCGCAGCAGCTGCTCTGAGTTCTGGACCTGGGCCAGGAGCACCTGCATCTGGGTTGGAGGGAGGGCGAAAGTGAGGGCAAGGGCATGTCAGGGGGCGGCAGGTAGCCAGAGGCCGGCTGGGGCTGCAGCAGCGGCAGGGACCCACCTGCTTGGCACAGTCCTCATTGCTCCGTCTCAGGCCCTCTTGGAGCTCGTCCCGCTCGCGACTGACGCTCTCCAGGTCCTTCTGCAGCTGTCGGCCCTGCCACAGACCCTGCCTTCAGCCTGCATCTCCCAGGAACTTGGCCCCCCTCACCACACTTCTCGTGGCCCACCTCTGCAGGGAGGTGCCCTCATCCACACAGTCCGTCAAATTACAGGCCCAGCCATCCATTCTCTTCCCTTCACTCCCCACCCATCAGCAGGCCCTGCCAGGTCCACCTCCAAAGTGGATTCCACAGGACTGGGTGGAGTGGGGTCACGCCTGTAATCCCAGCACTTTGGAAGGCCGAGGCGGGTGGATCATTTGAGGTCAGGAGTTCAAAACCAGCCTGGCCAACATGGTAAAACCCTGTCTCTACTAAAAATACAAAAAATTAGCCGGGCGTGGTGGCGGGACACCTGTAATCTCAGCTACTCGGGAAACTGAGGCAGGAGATTCACTTAAACCCAGGAAGCAGAGGTTGCAGTGAGCAGTGAGCAGAGGTTGCCGTGAGTGAGATTCCGTCTCAAAAAAGAGAAAAAAAAAAAAAAAACAGGGCCAGGCATGGTGGCTCATGCCTATAATCCCACCACTTTGGGAGGCTGAGGTGGGTGGTCAGGAGTTCAAGACCAGCCTGACCAATATGGTGAAACCTTGTCTCTACTAAAAATACAAAAAAAGTAGTTGGACGTGGTGGCGGGCCCCTGTAATCCCAGCTACTGGGGAGGCTGAGGCAGGAGAATCGCTTGAACCTGAAAGACAGAGGTTGCAGTGAGCCAAGATCAGGCCACTGCACTCCAGCCTGGGTGACAGGACAGGACTCCATCTTAAAAAAAGTGGATTCCAGCCGGGCATGGTGGCTCGCACCTGTAATCCCAGCACTTTGGGAGGCCGAGGTGGGCGGATCACGAGGTCAGGAGATCGAGACCATCCTGGCTAACATGGTGAAACCCCGTCTCTACTATAAACACAAAAAATTAGCCAGGTGTGGTGGCAGGCGCCTGTAGTCCCAGCTACTCGGAAGGCTGAGGCAGGAGTATGGCATGAACCCGGTAGGTGGAGCTAGCAGTGAGCCGAGAACCACACCACTGCACTCCAGCCTGGGTGACACAGCGAGACTCCATCTCAAAAAAAAAAAAAGTGGATTCCACATCCACCCATTTCTTCCTGTCTCTGCGGCCATCCCCTGGTCCAAGGTACCACCTTCCTGTACACCACAGTCCCAGCCTCTCAGCTTCTCCTGTGTCCCCTACCCCAACACAGCCCCAAGTAAGCTTTCTTTCTTTCTTTTTTTTTTTTTTTTTTTTGAGATGGGGTCTCACTCTGTGACCCAGGCTGGAGTGCAGTGGCGCACGATCTCAGCTCACTGCAGCATCGACCTCCTGGGCTCAAGCAATCCTCTCATCTCAACCTCTCGAAGTAGCCTGGATCATAGGCATGTGCCACTGTGCCCAGCTACTTTTTTGTGTTTTTTTGTAGGACAGGGTTTCATCATGTTGCCCAGGCTGGTCTCAAACTCCTGGGCTCCAGCATTCTGCCCGCTTCAGTGTCCCAAAGTGCTGAGATTACACGCGTGAGCCACTGCACCTGGCCCCAAGTGAGCTTTTGAAAGCCTGGAGCCGGGAGGCTTCTCCGTTGCTTAACCCTGCAGGTGCTTCCCACGTCTCCTAAGACGCACAATGCACAACAGGCCCCCGAGGTCGGACTCATGTGGCCCTGCCTTTCTTTCTGGTCTCCTCTTCTCTCCTCCCCGGTGGCCTTCCTGTTCCTCAGACACACTGTGGTCTCTCCATCCTCAGGGCCTTCGAACTCACAGTTCCTTGTGCCCCGGTTTTTTTTTCTCTTTTTTTTTGAGACACAGTTTCTCTCTGCTTCTCTTCTTGCCCGGGCTGGAGTGCAATGGCGCGATCTCGGCTTACCACAACTTCTGCCTCCTGGGTTCAAGCGATTCTCCTGCCTCAGCCTCCCAAGTAGCTGGGATTACAGGCATGCGCCACCATGCTTGTCTCCATGTTGGTCAGGCTGGTCTTGAACTCTCAACCTCAGGTGATCTGCCCATCTCGGCCTCCCAAAGTGCTGGGATTACAGGCATGAGCCACCGCGCCCGGCCTGCCCCGGTCTTTAAGAGTACTTCCTCACGCCATCTGGGTCTCAGTTCCAGCCTGAACCCGGGTCAGTCTCCCTCACTGCCAGTCTCTATCCTATAAGCCCAGTTTTGTTTTTCTCTGGGCATCTCCCTGGTGACAATGTCTTCCCCATGCATCCATGTGCATTTTTTTTTAAAGCATCTTTATTGAGTTATAATTTCTTTACCACATAATTTACCCATGTTAAATATACAATTCATTTTTTGTATCACATTATTGTTATTATTATTTTGAGACAGAGTTTCACTCTTGTTGCCCAGGATGGAGTGCAGTGGTTTGATCTTGGCTCACTGCAACCTCCGCCTCCCCAGTTCAAGCGATTCTCCTCCCTCAGCCTCCTGAGTAGCTGGGATTACGGGCATGCGCCACCACGCCCAGCTAATTTTTGTGTTTTTAGATGGGGTTTCACCATGTTGTCCAGGCTGGTCTCAAACTCCTGACCTCAGGTGATCCACCCACCTCGGCCTCCCAAAGTGCTGGGATTACAGGCATGAACCACCGCACCCGGCCTCTTTTTTTTTTTTTTTTTTTTTGAGACAGGTTCTCACTCTGTGACCCAGGCTGGAGTGGGTGGCACGATCTCGGTTCACTGCAACCTCAATCTCCTGGGCTCAAGAGATCCTCCTGCCTCAGCCTCCCAAGTAGCTGGGACTACAAGTGTATACTTGGCTTTTTTTTTTTTTTTTAACTTTTGTAAAGAGACAGGGTCTTACTATGTTGCCCAGACTGGCCTTGAACTCCTAGCCACAATCTTCCCACCCAGCTTCCGAGTGGCTGGGATGGCAGGTGTGAGCCACCGCACCTGGCCCCTATGCATGTTTACATCTGCCTGCCTTCACCAGGAGGGGGGCCTCTCTTCTCCCTGTGGAAGCTCCGGCTCTAGTTCTGGGTCTGAACACAGGTGGTGCGGGGGAAGCATCCAGCAGAGAGGGGGATGGTACACCCCGCCACCCTGCCCACAACACTCACCTCTGTCTGCAGCTGCTCCCACTGAGTGTCTGGGACGAGCTGGTAGCCAGGAGGGGGCAGGTAGATGCCCTCGGGAACCAGGGTGCCCGTAGACACCAGCGAGGCCGTCTCTTCCTGTTCAGGGCTCAGGCCCTGGCGGCTTTGGGGCAGGGAGGAGCTGCTGCCGACCCCACCGCCAAGGGAGAAGGAGGAGATGGAGGCGCTGTCATCGCAGTTGTGAGCGAAGGCCTCAGCGGCTGGACCCCCATCTCCGCTCAGCTCCTCCAGAGGCTCCAGCGGGGGCGATGGATCCCGGGACAGGGGCAGCAACTCCGTGGAGCCGTGCAGGGAAGGGGCATGCCGGGGACGTCTCTAGGGAAGGGGGCAGGGAAGAGGCTGGGGGGCCAGGGTCCTCTGGCACCCCTCCTTCCCCAGCGCCCCCTGGCCGTGCCCTCACCTGGATCTCCTGAATCAGCTCCTCGGCCCTCAGCAGCTTCGCCTTCAGCTCCTCGATCTCCTTTTCCATGGGCAGTACGATCTCCCGCAGCTTCTCCGAGTCCTCGTGGGCCTGGAGGGAGCGGGGTGTGGCAGCAATAGTTCCCCCTCCAAAGTGCTGAAGCCCCGGGTCTGTTCAGAGCTTCCTCTCCAAGCACATCAGCTCTCCTAATCCTCCCTAGAAGGTGCTGTCCACCCTCATTCCAGAGATAAGAACACAGAGGCTCTAGAAGCTTCCACGACTTGCCCCAGGACATAAGGGCAAGGATGAAGGTCACGACTTCTTCCTGTGGTCCCGTCACTCACCATGTCTTCCTTCTCCAACATCCATTTTTTTCTTTCGTCATAGAACTTTACCTTTTTTTTTTTGAGATGGAGTCTTGCTCTATCACCCAGGCTGGAGTGCAGTGGCACAATCTCGGCTCGCTGCTACCTCCGCCTCCTGGGTTCAAGCCATTCTCCTGCCTCAGCCTCCTGATTAGCTGGGACTACAGGCATGTGCACCAATGAGCTAATTTTTGTATTTTTTTGTGGAGACAGGATCTTGCTATGTTGCCCAGACTGGTTTTGAACTCCAGGCCTCAAGTGATCCTCCCACCTCAGCCTCCCAAGGTGCTGGCATTACAAGTGTGATTCCCAGCATCTGGGTTGGGATTACACCAATGGCCAGCACACTTCACATTGTTAGTTGGGCATGTGGCCTAAATCCTAAAATACCATCCACATTTCTCAGCTTCCTTGCAACTAAACAGATCATCTGGCTAAGTTCCAGCTACTGAGATGGAAACAGATAAGCCAAGGGGACCTTCCAGGACAACTCTTTATTTTATTTGTATTATTATTACATTTTTTTGAGATGGAGTCTCACTCTGTTGCCCCGACTAGAGTGGAGTGGCATAATCTCGGCTCACTGCAACCTCCGCCTCCTGGGTTCAAGCGATTCTCCTGCCTCAGCCTCATGAGTAGCTGGGATTACAGGCGCTCGCCACCACGCCCGGCTAATTTTTGTATTTTTAGTAGAGACAGGGTTTCACTATTTTGGCCAGGCTTGTCTCGAACTCCTGAAACCACCCACCTCAGCCTCCCAAAGTGCTGGGATTACAGGTGTGAGCCACCGTGCCTGGCCCAGGACAACTTTTTTTCTTTTAATAAGAAGTTTCATTCTTGTTGCCCAAGCTGGAGTGCAATGGCACTATCTCTGCTCACTGCTACCTCTGCCTCCTAGGTTCAAGCGATTCTCCTGCCTCAGCCTCCCAAGTAGCTAGAATTACAGATGCGTGCCACCACGCCCAGCTAATTTTTTTGTATTTTTAGTAGAAGGGGGTTTAACCATGTTGGCCAGGCTGGTCTCGAACTCCTGAGACCACCCATCTAGGCCTCAAATGATCTGCTCGCCTCGGCCTCCCAAAGTGCTAGGATTACAGGCATGAGCCACCGTGCCTGGCCTAGGACAACTCTTCAAAGGAAGAGGGTGTGCCTTTCTTTATTCCTCCTTCTCCTCCTTTTTGCTGGCTGGAATGTGGACATGATGGCTGGCACTCAAGCAGTCATCTTGGACCATGAGGCAATGTGCTACCTATGGCAAAACAGCAATATAGGAGAAGCCTGCTTGACAACTTGTTGAGCTGCTATACCAGTCCTGAAATGTCTACCTCTGAACTTGAAAAAAACAAATTTCTGGGCTGGGTGCAGTGGTTCATGCCTGTAATCCCAGCACTTTGGGAGGCCAAGGCGGGCAGATCACCTGAGGGCAGGAGTTTGAAACCAGCCTGGCCAACACGGCAAAACCCTGTGTGTACTAAAAATACAAAATTAGCCGGGCGTGGCAGTGGGCACCTGTAATCCCAGCTACTCAGGGAGGCTGAGTCACGAGAATCACTTGAACCCGGGAGGTGGAGGTTGCAGTGAGCCAAGATCACGTCACTGCACTCCAGCCTGGGCGACAGACTGAGACTCTTGTCTCCAAAAAAAAAAAAAAAAAAAAAAAAATTTCTGGCCAAGTGCAGTGGCTCACGCCTGTAATCTCAGCACTTTGGGAGGCCAAGGTGGGCCGATCACAAGGTCAGGAGTTCAAGACCAGACTGGCCAACGTGGTGAAACCCCATCTCTACTAAAAATACAAAAATTAGCTGGATGTGGTGGTGCGCGCCTGTAATCCCAGCTACTTGGGAGGTTGAGGAAGGAGAATTGCTTGAACCAGGACCTGGGTGCAGAGGTTGCAATGAGCTGAGATGGCACCACTGCACTCCAGCCTGGGGACGGAGCAAGACTCCATCTCAAAAAAAAAAAAAAAAAATTATGTCACATTTAAGCCACTGTTAATTTGGGTTTTCAATCACATGCAGCCAAATCTCATCCTAATCGATTTGTTCTCCCACACTCCTATCACCACCATAGAGCTGACCATATTTTCCCACCTCTTTTCAAGCTTCGGATCCTGCTGATGTTGAGCAACCAACAGCCTCTACCTATCTCCGCTTATATGTCCCACAGGCTCCTCTAACCGTAGATACCCAAAACAAACCACTCAGGGACGCTGTTCTTCCTGCCACAAACACTCAGTCAGTGAAAACGGCCCTGCTGGCCACAAGTTGTTCAAGGCAGAAATCTGCCAGTCATCCCTGTCCACATCACTCCCTACTTCTAGTTCATGCCCTTTCCACTTCTTGAATCACTTGAAATCTTCTCAAGCAAGCTGTTTAATCCTCCAAATCTCTTTTTCTTTTTTGAGACGGAATCTTGCTCTGTTGCCCAGGATGGAGTGCAGTGGTATGATCTCGGCTCACTGCAACCTCCGTCTCCTGGGTTCAAGAGACTTTCCTGCCTCAGTCTTCCGAGTAGCTGGGATTACAGGTGCCCACCACCATGCCTGGCTAATTTCTGTACTTTTTTAGTAGAGACGGGGTTTCCCCAAGTTAGCCAGGCTGGTCTCAAACTCCTGACCTCAAGTGATCTGCCCACCTCAACCTCCCAAAGGGCTAGGATTACAGGCGTGGGCCACCACGCCCAGCCCTGATGCTCCCTTCACTGTGTTGGGCAGCTTTCATTGAGCGGGGCCCTCTCCTTTACCAACCTGCGGAGGTGCTCCCTGGGGAACACTCCGGATGCACGGGACAGCCCGGATGCTGGGAAGATGTGGCTTGAAGGTCTTTGTTTCATGGGCTCCTGTCTTCATCTTTCTTTCTAACTAGGTAACTGACACCATCCCTGAGCCTGTTTCCTTATGCATGAAATAAGAATATTAATTGAAGTATCTATCTCACAGGTCTGCTATAGGATCAAATGAAGTAACAATAAAAATTTGCTTTGAAAGATGAAGCGTTTGATAATAAATATGTGCTTCCTATAATTGTTTTTTTTTTTTTTTTTTTTTTTTTTTTTGAGACGGAGTCTCGCTCTGTCGCCCAGGTGGGACTGCGGACTGCAGTGGCGCAATCTCGGCTCACTGCAAGCTCCGCTTCCCGGGTTCACGCCATTCTCCTGCCTCAGCCTCCCGAGTAGCTGGGACTACAGGCGCCCGCCACCGCGCCTGGCTAATTTTTTTTCCTATAATTGTTAATAACAGCAATAATAAAGGAGGTGACATATCATAGAGATTAAGAACACTTTCGAACCAGCCTGGGCCGGGCGCGGTGGTTCACACCTGCAATCCCAGCATTTTGGGAGGCGGAGGCGGGCCGATCACTAGAGGTCAGGAGTTCAAGACCAGCCTGGCCAACACGGTGAAACCCCGTCGCTACTAAAACTACAAAAAAATTAGCTGGGCATGGTGGCAGGTGCCTGTAATTCCAGCTATTCGGGAGGCTGAGGCAGGAGAATCACTTGAACCCAGGAGGCAGAGGTGGCAGTGAGTCGAGATTGCGCCACTGTACTCCAGCCTGGGTGACAGAGCAAGACCCTGTCTCAATAATAAATGAATAAATAAATAAAACCAGTCTGCCTAGACTTTTTTTTTTTTTAAAGAGACAGGGTCTTACTCTGTCATCCAAGCTGGAGTGCAGTGATGTGATCATAGCTTGCTGCAAGCTTGATTTCTGGCTCAAGTGATCCTCCCATGTCAGCCTCTTGAGTAGCTGGGACTACAGGTGTGCACCACCATGCCCAGTTAATTTAACAAAAAAAGTTTTTAGAGATGGGATCTTGCTATGGTGCCCAGGCTGGAGTGCAGTAGTGAGATCATAGCTCACTGCAGCTTCAAGCTCCTGGCCTCAAGCGATCCTCCTGCCTTGGCTTCCCAAAGTGCTGGGATTATAAGCATGAGTTAGTCCTCTGCTTAGATTTTAAAATCTCAACTCCACTCCCTTCTATGTGCGTAAACAGGGGAAGTACTGAATTTCCCTGAGCCTTATCGTACTCATCTGATAAATGGATCTAACAGACCTCCCTTACAGGGAATGGACTGGGGAGGCTGACTCTGTCAAGCACTAAGCACAGTGCCTAAAGCATCAGAGGCATCCTTTTTTTAAGACGAAGTCTCACTCTATTGCCCAGGTTGGAGTGCAGTGGCACGATCTTAGCTCACAGCAGCCTCTGCCTCCTGGGTTCAAGTGATCCTCCTGCCTCAACCTCCTGAGTAGCTGGGATTACAGGTGTGCGCCGCAGGCTAATTTTTATATTTTGAGTAGAGACAGGGTTTCGCCATGTTGGCCAGGCTGGTCTTGAACTCCTGACCTCAAGTGCCCCACCTGCCTTGGCCTCCCAAAGTGTTGGGATTATAGGCGTGAGCCACTGCACCAAGCCAAGAGCTAACAATATATTACCAAGAGGTAATGTACACCAGAAGTCAATATTTAATAACAGTAAGAATTTTTTTTGTTACCCTTAAGTGTAAGTTCCCTTCCCTCTACATAACTTAAGTTAATTTTGGAGCTAAGCGAACTTGGTCACCCACTAATAAGGGGCAAGCCAGGACCCTACGGAGCACAGAGCCAAGCTCTCAACAACACCTGGTAACTCTGTGCTATTCCTAGAATCACTGCTGGGTGCCCCGCACCCCATGACCAGGGAATGGGACATCCACAGTCCTCAACATTCTTCCAAATCCCAGGGCAGCAGGGAAGCCATCCCAATCCCAACCTTTTCCATCTGCTTCTCCAGGGAGTCCAGGGGGTAGGCCCGGGACAGCAGCTGCTTCAGGCGGCCCAGCTCCCGCTCCTTCTCCTCACAGTCCTGCTGCTGCTGCTGTCGCTCCTGCTTCAGGGCGGTGATCTGGGCTTCATAGCTGCTGATGGAGTCTGGTGGGGGAGAGGGAGGGTGGGAGAGAGGGAGGGTCAATGAGCCAGCCCTGCCTGTGGGCGAGCAGGGGACTCTTGATGCACTGACTCTTTCTGTGAGACAATCTACCATAGCAGTTGCCATGGCAGGCTTTGCAGAAATTGACCTGGGCAATCACTCAGCCTCTCTGTGCATCAGTGTCCTTAGGTGCAAAATGGGGACACTACTGATCATCCTTCTGGTGGCTACAGACTAAATGAGATGACATATCTAAGATAAATAGTGTACAAAAAAATAAAATAAAATAAAAAATAAAAATAGATGAGATGACACAGGCAAGGTGTCCAGCCCTTTCTCAGGCACACAGAAGATGTGACACTGTTCCTATTAATATATACCAGGAACAGTCAATATTTAAGAACGGTAAGAATTTTTTTTGGTTATTATTATTATTATTATTATTATTATTATTATTATTTTGAGACAGAGTCTCACTCTGTCACCCAGGCTGGGGTGCAGTGGTGCAATCTTGGCTCACTGCAACCTCTGCCTGCTGGGTTCAAGTGATTCTCGTGCCTCAGCGTCCTGTGTAGCTGGGATTACAGGCGCCCACCACCACCCCTGGCTAATTTTTCTATTTTTAGTAGAGACGGGGTTTTGCCATGCTGGCCAGGCTGGTCTTGAACTCCTGACCTCAAGCGATCCGCCCGCCTTGGCCTCCCAAAGTGCTGGGATTATAGGCGTGAGCCACTGCTCCCAGCCCTTTTTTTTTGTTTGTTTAATTTTACTTTAAGTTCTAGGGTACATGTGCACAACATGCAGGTTTGTTACATATGTATACATGTGCCATGTTGGTGAGCTACACCCATTAACTCGTCATTTACATTAGGTATATCTCCTAATGCTATCCCTCCCCTCTCCCCCCACCCCACCACAGGCCTCTGTTTTTTTAATTTTTGAGAAAGGGTCTCACTCTGTTGCCCAGGCTGAAGTGCAGTGTCGCAATCATGACTCACTGCAACCTCAGCCTCCTGGGCTCAAGCAATCCTCCCACCTCAGTGCCCCGAGTAGCTGGGACTACAGGCACAAACTAGCATGCCTGGCTAATTTTTGTATTTTTTGTAGAGACGGGGTCTCACCATGTTGCCCAGGCTGGTCTTGAACTCCTGAGCTCAAGCAATCCTCCCGTCTCAGCCTCCCAAAGTGCTGGGATTACAGGCATGAGCCACCACACCCGGCCCTTAATCGTAGTAATAAATATTTACGCTGGATCAGACTCTGAGCTGGGCTCTGGAAATACAGAAATTAATCAAACACAAAGCCTGCCACCGGGAGCTCACAGTCCAATGAAGAGGGCGGCTGTGGCAATAGTTAGGATGCAGTATGGGAAGAGGTACAGGAGAGGACCCTTCCTGGGCTTGGATATCCCAGAGGAAGGAGCCCTCACTCTGCCTGCCTGGCCAGGCAGGAGAGGACAGTGGTAGACAGTGAAGGAGGGAAAGATGCATGAGTTAACAGGACCAGTGTGAGCAGCGGAAGAGCAGCTGGCGTGGCTGTGGCATGGTGGAATATGTTGGAGGGACTGGAACAGTGAAGGCGCCCAAGGAGAGACACTGGAAAGGAGGCAGTGGGTGGCTCCCAGGGCCTTGAATGTGACGCCAAGAGGTTTGGAACTTATTCTACAGGTCAGCAGGAGATGGAGGTGATGTTGGATAGAACATAGATTTTTTTTTTTTTTTTTTTTTTTTTAAGGGAGTCAGGTTCGGGCGCTGTGGCTCATACCTGTAATCCCAGCACTTTGGGAGGCCGAGGTGGGCAGATCATCTAGGTCAGGAGTTCGAGACCAGCCTGGCCAACATAGTGAAACCTTGTCTCTACTGAAAACACAAAATTTAACCAGGCATGGTGGTGGGCGCCTGTAATCCCAGCTACTTGGGAGGCTGAGGCAGGAGAATTGTTTGAACCCAGGAGGCGGAGGTTGCAGTGAACCGAGATTGTGCCACCGCACTTCAGCCTGGGTGACTGAGCGGGACTCCGTCTCAAAAAACAAAAAAACAAAAAAAAGAGAGTCAGGGTCTCCCTCTGTCACCCAGGCTGGAGTGCAGTGGTGCAATCATAGTTCACTGCAGCCTTAAACTCTTGGGCTCAAGTGAACCTCCCACCTCACCCTCCCAAGTAGCAGGGACCACAGGCACTTGCCACCATACCCAGCTAAGGGTCTCACTTTGGTGCCCAGGCTGGTCTCAAACTCCTGACCTCAACTGATCCTCCCACCTGAGTAACATGGACTTGTTTGATTTTTGGTAGAACGTGGTCATTTTTTGTTTGTATAGATATTGACCTATTATTGTGCACTAACAGTAGAAGTAAAGGTTCAGCTGGGCCGGGCGTGCTGGCTCACGCCTCTAATTCCAGCACTTTGGGAGGCCGAGGTGGGCGGATCACAAGGTCAGGAGATCGAGACTATCCTGGCTAACACGGTGAAACCCCATCTCTACTAAAAATACAAAAAATGGGGCCGGGCGTGGTGGGTCACCCCTCTAATCCCAGCACTCTGGGAGGTCGAGGCAGGCAGATCACGAGGTCAGGAGATCGAGACCATCCTGGCTAACACAGTGAAACCCCGTCTCTACTAAAAATTAAAAAAAAAAATTAGTCAGGCGTGGTGGCGAGCACCTGTAGTCCCAGCTGGTTGGGAGGCTGAGGCAGGAGAATAGCATGAACCCGGGAGGTGGAGCTTGCAGTAAGCCAAGATCACACCACTGTACTCCAGCCTGGGCGACAGAGTAAGACTCCATCTCAAAAGAAAAGAAAAAAAAAATTAGCCACGTGTGGTGGCACACGCCTGTAGTCCCAGCTACTTGGGAGGCTGAGGAAGGAGAATCGCTTGAACCCGGGAGGTGGAGGTTGCAGTGAGCTGAGACTGCACCACTGAACTCCAGTCTGGGTAACAGTGAGACACTGTCTCAGAAAAAAAAAAAAATAGGTTCAGCTGTTAGGCTGCTTGGTTTCCAACCTTTGGCTGTTTTCCAGCTATATGACCTTGGGCAAGTTATTTAACCTCTCCGGGCCTCAGAGCTTCCTCTGTAAAATGGAGATGGGTAATAGTTCCTGCCTCACAGAGTTTGTTATGAAGATTAGTTACTCATAAAGCATTTAGCTCAGTGCCTGGCACATAGTGAGTGCTCAAAACATGCTACCTGGCCAGGCGCGGTGGCTCACACCTGTAATCCCAGCACTTTGGGAGGCCAAGGCAGGCAGATCGTTTGAGCTCAGGAGTTCAAGACCTGTCTGGGTAACATAGAGAGACCCTGTTTCTACAAAAAAATACTAAAAATTAGCCAGGCATGGTGGCATGCACCTGTAGTCTTGGCTACTTGGGAGGCTGAGGTAGGAGGATCTGCTTGAGCCCAGGAGGTGGAGGTTGCAGTGAGCTGAGATCACACCAGCGTGCTGTGACGCACTCCAGCTTGGGCGACAGAGTGAAACTCTTATTGACTCAAGAAAAAAAAAAAAAGCTAGCTATTGTTATTATTTAGGACACACCTGGCTTTTCTTATATAGTAGATATAACAAGTTTCCCTTAATAAATGTATGTAAACTTTTAAAATGTGGATCTATTTAAAGAACAAATATTAAGTAAACAGCACAGTAAGTTGTACAAGGATGTGTCTACATTGCACAGGCAGGTGGATCCTGAAATGTGGGAAATACAGCCCCAGAGAAGTCTCCAGCCACCAGCAGCTGTTAGAAAGGGAAATCGCATGTTGGGAAGGGAATTTTAGGAAGTTTACTCTGGAAGCCAATGTCAAGGCCACACTATAGAGGAAGATCTGTGAGAAGGTTGGGACAAAAGTCCAGGAGAGAGTTGACGAGAGCCCCACCGCAGCAGGGGCATAGCAGCGGGGGCAGCTCTGACATCTGTTTCAGAGTCTCTGGCTTCTGCTAGAGGAAGGAGAGTAGAAAACAGGATCAGCAGCTGGGGCGTCTGGGGCCAGAGGACCAAGTACAAAGAACGTGGGGCGGAGGTGGGGAAGCTGGTGCATGGCGTGGGGTGGAGGGGGGAGTGTCTGGGGAAGGCTAGAGAGCAGAGCATTAGACTCACAGAGACTGGGCCAGGGCTGATTCTATTTCCCAGAAGTCCAGACTAAAATGAGGTTGGTTTGGGGAACTGAGAAGTTTCTCGCCCATCTTCAGGGTTGATCAATCATCAGTGAGGGACAAGAAATGACATGGGACAAGGCAACAGATAGAAGCTGGGAGCTAAACTTAGCTATAACTGACAGAGCTGCTGCTATCACATGGAGGGCCTCTATGCAAATTTTAAAAGGGCGGCCCTTCCTCTGGGCCATAGGCATGCCCTGTGCCAGGCAGCCCTGCTAACCTATCCCATAGCTTATCTGTGCCCCCAATCCCTTTCTCGTCATGCACTCCCCAGTATGGGGTTGATGGGGAGTCTAGGTGAGTCCCGCGTCTCACCTTTCAGGATGGCCTGCAGCGAGGCCACCTCCTCTTGGCACTGCCGCTGCACCGCAGCCACAGCCTCGGCCTTCGTGCTCTCGCTCACCTCTGCCACAGCCTTCATGGTTTCCATTTCTGCCAGGGCGCCTGCCAGCTCAGCCCGAAGCCGGCTGAGCTCACCTGACTCGGCCTCACCATTTGCCCCTTCCTGGGACCGGGAGTCCTCCAGTGCTGTGGGGGACAGGGATCAGCCTCTCTTCCCATCTCTTACCCCAGGCCACCTACCGGCTTAGCAAGTCCTGCAACCTAGTACTGTTGCCTTCATCTGGGGCCTCCTTCACCTGGGCCCGCCCGGCTCACCTGGCCCCGCCCCTGCCCCGCCCCCTTCCCACTCGCTCTGCCGGGTGCTGCCTACACTCCATCTCTTCGCGGTGGCCAGTTTCACTCAGTCCTCTCTTCGGTCCCACCTGGCCCCGCCCTCCTAGTGGCCGCGCCCCTTCCTCACCGGGCCCCACTTCGCACCTGTCACTGGCCCTACCCCTTCAATGGCCGGGCCACGCCCCCTTTTGCCTGTGGCTGTAGGCCCCGCCCCCTTTCCCGACGGCGTGGCCCCGCCCCTTCCTCCATCATCCCTCTCCACCCCCCATCCGCAGGTGGCTGGCTCGGCCCCGCCCCCAGCATCACCGTTCCCCGCTTGCACGGACGCCCCCTCACGTACCAGCCCCCGGCCGCCGCCGCCGCTCATCGTCGTCCGCGGCCACCGGCGCAGCTGCCGCCATTGCCTCAGCGCAAACGGCGGATTCCCGCACTCCCTGGTGACGGAGCGCACCGCTTCCGGGTCCTCTCGGCTGTTTCCGGATCCGCTCGGCTGTTTCCGGATCGGCCCCGGGCTGGAGGCCCCGGACGGAGGATGGGGGGATTGCCGAGCCTCGGCCGAAGATTCCCGAGTCGGCCCCCGGCCCCGGCCCCGGCCCCGCCCCGGCTCTTCTTGGCTGGGTCGCGCGGTTCGGGAGGACGCCTGCCTTTCAAGCCCGGAAGAGGATCCTTAAGAGGTCTTGCCCGGCGTCTCTCCGTGACCTTGGAAGCCCTGCTCCAATTATGCCTCCTCCGGGACACCGGCCTGCGGAGAGCTCCCCCTCGCTCCCTCGCTGCCCCTGCCCGGAGCCAGCCTTTGATCGGCTCCGGCCGCCCTTCCGCCCGAGCCTGGCTTGCGTTACCGCGAATTGTGGCGGGGCCCTCCCTGCACCTCCGCCCTCTTGGAGCGTCCCTCGGGGCAGGGCCGGGTCGGCTTCATTTTTCTGAGCGCCTCGGAGTCCCCGCGTAGTTAGTCGGAGTCTGAAACTTGCACGTCCCCACCCCCATTTTGTTACTCAGCCAGTCACCGCTTCCTGCTGGCCCCCCTTTCCTCCTCCCAACGCCCTCAAATCCCTCCTCTCCTCTCCGCCTGTGTCTAGATCAGGCTCTTTATCTGTGACCTCCACCCGGACGGTGACAGGCAATTCAGATTTATGTCCAGAGCCTTGGTTCCCCTTCCCTCAAACCTTTTTTCCCTCTGTAAAGGACACGCCAGGAACCTGGAAGTCCTTGATTCTACGTGTCCTCCTGCAAGTCCCGTAAACTCTACTTCCAATGTGCTGACTATTCCAGAATGTGCCCCTTTTTCTCCATCTCCAGCGCTAACACTCCGTCCCAGCTCCCATCACTTCTCCTGAACTTCCGCAGTGTCGACTCCACCCTTTAATTAATTAATTCTCCGTAAAGCAGCTGGAGCGATTTTTGTAAAACAGATAATGCAGTTTGAAAATGGCCAAAGGTAGAACGCTTTTACACTGTTGGTGGGAATGTAAATTAGTTCAACCATTGTGGAAGACAGTGTGGTGATTCCTCAAAGACCTAGAACCAGAAATACCATTTGACCCAGAAATCCCATTACTGGGTATATACCTAAAGGAATATAAATCATTCTATTACAAAGATACATGCACGAGTATGTTCATTGAAGCACTATTCAAAATAGCAAAGACATGGACTCAACCCAAATGCCCATCAATGATAGACTGGATAAAGAAAATGTGGTACATATACACCATGGAATACTATACAGCCATAAAAAGGAACGAGATCATGTCCTTTGCAGGGACATGGATGAAGCTAGAAGCTATTATCCTCAGCAAATTAATGCAGCAACAGAAAGCTAAACATGCATGTTCTCACTTATAAGTGGGAGCTGAACAATGAGAACACATGGACACAGGGAGGGGACCAACACACATGGGGGCCTGTGGGGTGGGTGTTGGGAGGGGGGAGGGAGAGCATCAGCAAGAGTAGCTAATGCATCCTGGGCTTGATACCTAGGTGATGGGTTAATGGGTGCGGTAAACTACCATGGCAGATGTTTCCCTGTGTAACAAACCTGCACATCGTGCACATGTACCCCAGAACTTGAAATAAAGAAAATGGACAAAGGATATGAACGGATATTTCACTGCTGTCACAGGTGGCAATATGTGCATGAAAAGATGTTAAACATCATTAGCTATTTATTCGGGAAATACAAATTAAAACCACAATTGCTTTCATCACTACGCACTTCTTGGAATGGCTAAAATAAGAATGCTAACACCAAATGCTGGTGAGTATGTGGAGAAACTAGGTTTCTCATATTTTGTTGATGGGAATGTGAAATGGTATAGCCACTCTGCAAAAAGAGTATGGCAGTTTTGAACAAAACTAAACACGCACTTACTTTTTCATCAAGTATAAAACCAAGTGTTTTCCACCAAGCTTGGAGCTGAGGTCTCGGCTCAAATGTTACCTCCTCAGTGAGGCCTTCCCTGATCACCCTAACTAAAATAACCACCTCTGGCTGAGTGTGGTGGCTTATGCCTATAATGCTAGCACTTTAGGAGGCCAATGGCAGGAGGATCACTTGAGCCCAGGGGTTCGAGACCAGCCTGAACAACATAGTGAGACCTCATCTCTACAAAAAATTAAAAAATTAGCTGGGCATGGCCGGACACGGTGGCTCACGCCTGTAATCCCAGCACTTTGGGAGGCTGAGGAGGGCGGATCACGAGGTTAGGAGATCAAGACCATCCTGGCTAACATGGTGAAACCCTGTCTCTACTAAAAATACAAAAAATTAGCCGGGCATGGTGGCATGCGCCTATAGTCCCAGCTACTTGGGAGGCTGAGGCAGGAGAATTGCTTGAACCCGGGAGGCAGAGGTTGCAGTGAGCTGAGATCATGCCATTACACTCCAGCCTGGGCAGCAGAGCAAGACTCTGTCTCAAAAAAAAAAAAAAATTAGCTGGGCATGGTGATGTGCATCTGTAGTCCAAGCTACTCAAGAGGCTGAGGCGGGAAGATCTACTTGAGCCCTGGAGGCTGAGGCTGCAGTGAGCATGATTGTGCCACTGCACTCCAGCCTGAGGGAGAGAAAGACCCTGTCTAAAAAAAAAAAAAAAAAATTAAATCCAGACTCCCTGTGCATGCAGCAGGGTTTCTGGGGAAGGGGCTGAAATAATGACTAGAAATCAGCCTCCAGTCAGTTTGGGGAGGGCCTTCCTGACAGCTCTCAGGTTTGAGTTTATCCTGCAGGCCCTGGGAGCCACTGAAGGCCATTGAACAGGGGAAGCACATGACTAACATCAAAGAAGTTCTCTTGACATGCGGAGTGTAGATGGGAACCAAAAGATATAGGGGACAGGGAGCCCAGGAGAGAGGCTGTTGAATTGCTTCTGATTGTGAAGGAAGGATTCAGAGGGGAAAATTGATTCCATCAATATTTAGGATATAAAATGGACTGGCCTTGATGATAGAGTGCATGTGGGGGAAGAGAAAAGAAAATTTCGACCAGATGCGGTGGCTCATGCCTGTAATCCCAGCACTTTGGGAGGCTGAGTTGGGTGGATCACCTGAGGTCAGGAGTTCAAGACCAGCCTGGCCAACATGGTGAAACCTTGTCTCTACTAAAAATAGAAAAATTAGCTGGGCGTGGTGGTGCGCACCTGTAATCCCAGCTACTCAGGTGGCTGAGGCAGGAGAATCACTTGAACCTGGAAGGCAGATGTTGCAGTGAGCCGAGATCGCATTACTGTACTCCAGCCTGGGCAACAAGAGTGAAACTCTGTCTCAAAAAAAAAAAAAGAAAAGAAAATTTTCTTTCAGCTAGGTACGGTGGCTCATGCCTGTAATCCCAGCACTTTGGGAGGCTGAGGCAGGAAGATTGCCTGGGCCCAGGAGTTCAAGACCAGCCTGGGCAATATAGTGAGAAAGGAGAATAAAAGGAGCTTTCCTCGCCTCTACAAAAAAAGGGAGAGAGTTTTCTTCCTAACTTCTTTTCCTTTTTTTTTTTTTTTGAAATGCTCTTGTCTCCCAGGCTGGAGTGCAATGGCGCGATCTTCACTCACTGCAACCTCCGCCTTTCAAGTTCAAGCGATTCTCCTGCTTCAGCCTCCCAAGTAGCTGGGATTACAAGCGCGCACCACCGCACCAAGCTAATTTTTGTATTTTTAGTAGAGATGGGGTTTCACCATGTTGGCCAGGCTGGCCTTGAACTCCTGACCTCAAATGATCCGCCCCGCTCAGTCTCTCAAAGTGCTGGGATTACATGAGCTACCTTGCCTGGCCCCTAACTTCTTTTCTTTCCTTTATCCAGCAAATACCTATTGAGTGTCTACTAGATGCCTGTGCACATCTAGGGATGGTAAAGATTTCTGTTCTCAAAGAACATTCTGGTGCAGGAGGCAGATGAGAAGACTAGCAAATACACATGCATAATTTGAGATTGGGGCAAGTGCTGGGAATGAAATAGGGGCATGCGATCAAAAAAGCATGTGAGTAAAGGGAATTTGAGAAGGTTTTCTTTTTCTTTTTTCTTTTCTTTTCTTTCTTTTTTTTTTTTTTTTTTTTTTGAGACAGAGACTCTGTCATCCAGGCTGGAGTGCAAAGGTGCAATCTCGGCTCACTGCAACCTCTGCCTCCCAGGTTCAAGCAATTCTCCTGCCTCAGCCTCCCGAGTAGCTGGGATTATAGGCATGAGTTAATTTTTTTGTATTTTTAGTAGATACTGGGTTTCACCATGTTGGCCAGGCTGGTCTCATTCTCCTGACCTCAAGTAATCCACCCGCCTCAGCCTCCCAAAGTGCTGAGATTACAGGCATGAACCACTGTGCCCAGTCTTTTTTTCATATTTTTTGTAGAGATGGTGTTTCACCATGTTGCCCAGGCTAGACTTGAACTCCTGGGCTCAAGTGATCCTCCCACCTCAGCCTCCTGAGTAGCTGAGACTACAGGTATGCACCATCATGCCCAGATACATTTTTTTTGGTATTTTTAGTAAAGACGGATTTCTCCATTTTGCCCAGGCTGGTTTCGAACTCCTGGGCTCAAATGATCTGCCCACCTGGGCTTCCCAAAGTGCTGGGATTACAGGCGTGAGCCACCGCGCCCAGCCGAGATATATATATATATATATATATATATATATATATATATATATATATATAGAGAGAGAGAGAGAGAGAGAGAGAGAGAGAGAGAGAGAGAAAGAAAGAGAGCAGGCTCTTGTTGCCCAGGCTGGAGTGCAGTGGTGCCATCTTGGCTCACTGCAACCTCCATCCCCCTGATCCTCCCGCCTCAGCCTCCCAAGTAGCTGGGACCACAGGCATGTGCCACCACACCCAGCTAATTTTTTGTATTTTTGGTAGAGATGGGTTTTGCCATATTGCCCAGGCTGGTCTCCAACTCCTGAGCACAAGCAATCTGCCTGCCTTGGCCCCACAAAGTGCTGGGAGGTGTGAGTCACCTCGCCTGGCCTGAGATATATTTTTTTAAATAATAATATATAGATTTTTGAAGCACTGGGGGGCACAGGGAAGGCCTCTTTGAAGAAGTACCATTTGAACTGAGACCTAAGTGATGAAAAGAACCAGTCCAGCAAAGAACCAGAGCCCCCAGCAGAGATCCAGGAAAAAGGGCTGCAAGTGCAAGGGCCCTGAGGCAGGGAAGCACTTGGCAAGGAGAGTGGTGGAGGCACGAGGTGGAAAATGTAGGTAGGTCAGCAACACTCGGCCTACTAGGCCTTGGGTTGGAGTTTTTATTTTAGCTAGATGAAAAGCAACTGACATTTTTTGTTTTTTAAAAAATTTCTATAGAGATGGGTTCTCGCTGTGTTGCACAGGCTGGTCTCAAATTCCTGTCCTCAAAGGATCCTCTCGCCTCGGCCTCCTAAAGTATTGGGATTACAGGCATGAGCCTCTGTGCCTGGCTGTAACTGACATGTTTTAAGCAGGGGAATGACATGCTCTAGTGAAAGCCAGTCTGGGCAGCTGGGTAGCTAATGAGGGGATTAGAGAGATTTTGTTGAATGAAAGGCAGATTGAGTCCTGCTACTCGCCCCCTTCATTCCCCTTCATTCATGCCTCATTCTTCCGCCTCCCAGCCGCCTCAACTGGCCAAAGGGAAGTGGAGGCCCTGCCACCTGTAGGGAGGGTCCCCTGGGGCTTGCCCACAGCAAACAGGAAGTCACAGCCTGGTGAGATGGGCCTGGGAATCAGCCACTGAGAAAGTGGGTCTCTTGGGTCCCTGAATTCTTTTTCTGAGTCCCTGCAGCAGTGAAAAAGACACAGAGGCACATAGAGAGTGACAGAGAAAGAGAGAGACAGAGAGGAGAGGCATGGGGCAGAATAAGAACAGATTTAGGAGTTAGAACTCCTGGGTTCTTTTAAAACAATTTTTCTTTTAGAGACAGGGTCTTGTTGTGTTGCCCGGACTGGAGCACAGTGGCTATTCCCAGGCATAATCATGGTGCACTGCAGCCTTGAACTCCTGGGCTCAAGCGATCCTTCTACCTCAGCCTCCCAAGGACCTGGGACCATAGGCGTGTACCACTGTGCCTGGCTTTTGCCTGGTTTTAAACTGAGGCAGTATGACTTGAGCTCTTAGGCATTAATTGAAGCTGTATCTCATTAACTGAGGGCTTATGATGTGCTGGACACTGGGCTAATAGTGCTGAACATATTGTCATTTTTAATCTTCACAAACAATATTTGTATAGGACTGTTTTCTTTTCTTTTTTTTTTTTGAAACAGAGTCTCACTCTGGTGCCCAGGCTGGAGTGCAGTGGTGTGATCTCGGCTCACTGCAACCTCCGCCTCCTGGTTTCCAGTGATTCTCCTGCCTCAGCCTCCTAAGTAGCTGGGATTACAGGTGTGCGCCACCATGCCCGGCTAATTTTTTTTTTTTTTTTTGAGAAGGAGTCTATGTGCCCAGCATTGTTCTAGAGCACTTGCAATTAGTGGTGAACAACACGGTCTCTACTCCAAGGGGCTCACATTCTTGTGCAGAAAACAGAAATGAACAAATAAACACACAAGATCATTTCCCGTGGTAGTGAGAGCTGGGATGAAAATAAAACAGCGTGGCAGGGAGGAGGCAAGTGTTGTGAGTCTGGAGGGTTCCTGGAGAATGGGGCCTGAGGCGTGACCACCGCCTTCCTCTCTGGGGGGACTGCCTGCCGCCCCCGCAGACACCCATGGTTGAGTGCCCTCCAGGCCCCTGCCTGCCCCAGCATCCCCTGCGCGAAGCTGGGTGCCCCGGAGAGTCTGACCACCATGCCACCTCCTCGCCTCCTCTTCTTCCTCCTCTTCCTCACCCCCATGGAAGTCAGGCCCGAGGAACCTCTAGTGGTGAAGGTGGAAGGTATGTCCAAAGGGCAGAAAGGGAAGGGATTGAGGCTGGAAACTTGAGTTGTGGCTGGGTGTCCTTGGCTGAGTAACTTACCCTCTCTGAGCCTCCATTTTCTTATTTGTAAAATTCAGGAAAGGGTTGGAAGGACTCTGCCGGCTCCTCCACTCCCAGCTTTTGGAGTCCTCTGCTCTATAACCTGGTGTGAGGAGTCGGGGGGCTTGGAGGTCCCCCCCACCCATGCCCACACCTCTCTCCCTCTCTCTCCACAGAGGGAGATAACGCTGTGCTGCAGTGCCTCAAGGGGACCTCAGATGGCCCCACTCAGCAGCTGACCTGGTCTCGGGAGTCCCCGCTTAAACCCTTCTTAAAACTCAGCCTGGGGCTGCCAGGCCTGGGAATCCACATGAGGCCCCTGGCCATCTGGCTTTTCATCTTCAACGTCTCTCAACAGATGGGGGGCTTCTACCTGTGCCAGCCGGGGCCCCCCTCTGAGAAGGCCTGGCAGCCTGGCTGGACAGTCAATGTGGAGGGCAGCGGTGAGGGCCGGGCTGGGGCAGGGGCAGGAGGAGAGAAGGGAGGCCACCATGGACAGAAGAGGTCCGCGGCCACAATGGAGCTGGAGAGAGGGGCTGGAGGGATTGAGGGCGAAACTCGGAGCTAGGTGGGCAGACTCCTGGGGCTTCGTGGCTTCAGTATGAGCTGCTTCCTGTCCCTCTACCTCTCACTGTCTTCTCTCTCTCTGCGGGTCTTTGTCTCTATTTATCTCTGTCTTTGAGTCTCTATCTCTCTCCCTCTCCTGGGTGTCTCTGCATTTGGTTCTGGGTCTCTTCCCAGGGGAGCTGTTCCGGTGGAATGTTTCGGACCTAGGTGGCCTGGGCTGTGGCCTGAAGAACAGGTCCTCAGAGGGCCCCAGCTCCCCTTCCGGGAAGCTCATGAGCCCCAAGCTGTATGTGTGGGCCAAAGACCGCCCTGAGATCTGGGAGGGAGAGCCTCCGTGTCTCCCACCGAGGGACAGCCTGAACCAGAGCCTCAGCCAGGGTATGGTGATGACTGGGGAGATGCCGGGAAGCGGGGGTCCAGAGACAGAGGGGAGGGGAAACTGAAGAGGTGAAACCCTGAGGATCAGGCTTTCCTTGTCTTATCTCTCCCTGTCCCAGACCTCACCATGGCCCCTGGCTCCACACTCTGGCTGTCCTGTGGGGTACCCCCTGACTCTGTGTCCAGGGGCCCCCTCTCCTGGACCCATGTGCACCCCAAGGGGCCTAAGTCATTGCTGAGCCTAGAGCTGAAGGACGATCGCCCGGCCAGAGATATGTGGGTAATGGAGACGGGTCTGTTGTTGCCCCGGGCCACAGCTCAAGACGCTGGAAAGTATTATTGTCACCGTGGCAACCTGACCATGTCATTCCACCTGGAGATCACTGCTCGGCCAGGTAGAGTTTCTCTCAACTGGGAGGCATCTGTGTGGGGGTACTGGGAAGAAGTGGAAGCCAGTCAATCTTAGATTCCCCCAACCCGAGGGCTACTCCCAGCCTCACCCCAAACCCCAACTTCCACACAGAACACTGACTCCAAGTCTTTCTTTTTTTTGACAGAGTCTCGCTCTGTTGCCTAGGCTGGAGTGCAGTGGTGCCATCTTGTCTTGGCTCACTGCAACCTCCGCCTCCCAGGTTCAAGTGATTCCCCTGCCTCAGCCTCCTGAGTAGCTGGGATTACAGGTGCCCACCACCACGCCTGGCTAATTTTTTTTTTTTTTTTGAGACGGAGTCTTGCACTGTCACCCAGGCTGGAGTGCAGTGGCACGATCTCAGCTCACTGCAACCTCCACCTTCCAGGTTCAAGTGATTCTCCTGCCTCAGCCTCCCGAGTAGCTGGGATTAAAGCCTGGCTAATTTTTTTTGTATTTTTAGTAGAGATGGGGTTTCATTATGTTGGCCAGGCTGGTCTCAAACTCCTGACCTCGTGATCCACCCGCCTCGGCCTCCCAAAGTGCTGGGATTACAGACATGAGCCACAGGGCCGGGCCAAGCCTAATTTTGTATTTTTAGTAGAGATGGGGTTTCTCCCTGTTGGACCAGGCTGGTCTTGAACTCCTGACTTCAGGTGATCTGCCTGCCTTGGCCTCCCAAAGTACTGGGATTACAGGCATAAGCCACCGCACCTGGCCTAGACTTCAAGTCTTTCTTCCCTCGCTTCCAAGACACTACTTTTCTGGGTCTTCACCTACCATTGCTTGCGCCTGCCCACCAGCTTGGGTGGAGTCTTCCTTCCTCCCCAACTCCTCACTCTTGGAGCCCTGGGCCCTCTTCTTATCCCTGTCTGCACACTTTCCTATTTGAACTTGACTCTCAATGGCTTCTTGGGTCACCATGCCTTGGTGACTCTATTCCAGGCTCCATACTCAGCCATCTCCTGTGCCATTTGATATCCCATGGACACCTCAGGCTCAACAGATACAAAATCAAACTCAATGTCTTCCCCAAGTATAGTCTTCTTGGTGGCCCAGTGTAAGCAGAGGGCACCACCACCTGCTCCCTCGCCCAGGCTAAGAACCTGGGCATCCTTCTTTTTCCTCACCCCGTCCAACAAACTGGTCACAGTGTTCTGCCAATTCTCTCTCCATGCAATCCTATCATGCTATCCTAACTGCAATTCACAAACCCAACCCCAACTTTCACTCCAAACTTGATCCAAGCAATGTGCTGGATCCCAACTGTAACCTTGCAAACTCAACTCTGCCCTTCACTTTGACCGTGACTATCCTTAATTGCAGCAGGAAACTGATCATTATGCTCCCCTCAATCCACACATTGCCTCTGAGTACAGCCATGGTTTGTCCACGATTTGCTCAAAGACACTGCCCCATGTCCTGTGCCAGGGTCTGTGACAATCCCTGACCTCCTGGGACATGGCTCCTTAGAGAGAGGAGAGCCTTTCTCACAGCTTGGGACTTTGAGTCTGTGTCTTTTTTTTTTTCTTGAGACGGAGTTTTGCTGTGGTTGCCCAGGCTGGAGTGCAGTGATCTCGGCTCACTGAAACCTCCGCCTCCCGGGTTCAAACGATTCTCCTGCCTCAGCCTCCCAAGTAGCTGGGATTACAGGCACCCACCACCATGCCCAGCTAATTTTTTTGTATTTTTAGTAGAGATGGGGTTTCACCATGTTGGCCAGGCTGGTCTCGAACTCCTGACCTCAGGTGATCCACCCGCCTTTGCCTCCCAAAGTGCTGGGATTACAGGCGTCAACCACCGCGCCCGGCCGAGTCTGTGTCTTGCCTCTGTGCCTCAGACTTGCGGTTCCTTGAGATCTCAGGATTGGGACGTAAGATGCCAGCCTGGGGTCCTCGTCTCATAGCCCCTTCCCCCTAGTACTATGGCACTGGCTGCTGAGGACTGGTGGCTGGAAGGTCTCAGCTGTGACTTTGGCTTATCTGATCTTCTGCCTGTGTTCCCTTGTGGGCATTCTTCATCTTCAAAGAGGTGAGTCATGTCCCCAGTGGGTCTGTCCAAACCCTACTCCATCTTCCCCAGGATAAGCCGGCTCTGGCCAGTCTGACAACCATCTTTCTTTCCTCCCATCCCTCCCTTCAAGACCCCAGAATCCTGTTCTCCCCAGTCTTCCTCTAGCCTCCCTCAAACTTCCCAAGCCTCTTGCAATTTTTTTTTTTTTTTTGAGACAGGGTCTCATTCTGTCACCCCAGCTGGAGTGCAGTGGCACAATCTGAGCTCACTGTAACCTCTGCCTCCCAGGCTTAAGTGATTCTTGTGCTTCAGCCTCCCGAGTACCTGGGACTACAAGTGTATGCCACCACACCCGGCCAATTTTTTATATTTTTAGTAGAGACGAGGTTTCACCATGTTGGCCAGACTGGTCTCGAACTCTTGACCTCAAATGATCCGCCCACCTCGGCCTCCCAAAGTGCTGGGATTACAGGCACGAGCCACCGCGCCCGTCCGCCTCGCAATTTGAACTCCTGTCTCCTTTGTTGAACCAAGTGACCTCCCCAGCACCTGGCCCCACAAATCCTCACCCTGCCAAGCAGCCCCTCCTCTGATCACGCCCTTTAACTCCCACCAGCCCTGGTCCTGAGGAGGAAAAGAAAGCGAATGACTGACCCCACCAGGAGGTAATGCAACCAGTGCACCCCGCGGTAACACCCTCCACCTTCACTTTATGCCTTGCACTTACTGTTTCCTCTGCCCAGGGGTTCTTTGCTCCGTCTCTACTGTTTCAAATACTGCCCAACCTCAAAGCCCAGCTCCAAAGCTACCTCCTCTGTGAAGAACTCCTTGGAAATGATCATCTCAGACTCCTCTATTGGCTGTCCCAGCACAAGTGATCACGTTTAACTTCTGAAGGCCTGGACAGAATCTTGAGTGGGTCCGCCATTCCATTCCAAGTCGGCCCTCACCGTGCACTTCCTCTTCTCCCGCCAGATTCTTCAAAGTGACGCCTCCCCCAGGAAGCGGGCCCCAGAACCAGTACGGGAACGTGCTGTCTCTCCCCACACCCACCTCAGGCCTCGGTAAGAGGCACCGCCCCTCCAGCCTATAGCTCCGCCCCAGATCCGGGGCTCCACCCCCACTCTCCTCATCCCTCCAATCCGCTGTGCGCCAAGCCTTCTGGAGCTCGGAACTCCGCCCCCGGGGCGGGGAGTCCCGCCCAGCTATGAGCCCCGCCTCTAGAACCAGACCCCGCCTCCAGGGCTCAGAGCCACGCCCCCAGGACCCAGAGCCTGAAGTCGTAATCAAGAGCAGAACTTCGCCCCAGAACTGAAGGCCTCGGCCCTAGATTTAGATTCCGCCCCAGGGTTCAAGGCCGGGTTCCTAGACCCAGAGTCCATTCGCAGAGCCCAAAACATCCTCTTCCCGTGCCCCGCCGCGCGGACCCTTAGCCTTGACCGCCCCCATCTCTTCTGACCCCGTCTTACAATGCCCCTCTCACCAGGACGCGCCCAGCGTTGGGCCGCAGGCCTGGGGGGCACTGCCCCGTCTTATGGAAACCCGAGCAGCGACGTCCAGGCGGATGGAGCCTTGGGGTCCCGGAGCCCGCCGGGAGTGGGTGAATGACTGGGAGAGGGAAGGGTCGTTCCCCACATGGAGGGGGTTGGAGCGGTCTGTGGCCCGAATAGTGGACTGGGCCCTGGAGGAGAGGGGGCATGACTCGGTTCCCCATCCCCATCCCCAAACCCCCAGGCCCAGAAGAAGAGGAAGGGGAGGGCTATGAGGAACCTGACAGTGAGGAGGACTCCGAGTTCTATGAGAACGACTCCAACCTTGGGCAGGACCAGCTCTCCCAGGGTAAGGCTGCCCTCCCCCGTGGCCCCCCACCTCTGCGGTGGCCTGTGGACTCCCATGGACACCCCTCCTTCTCCACCAGATGGCAGCGGCTACGAGAACCCTGAGGATGAGCCCCTGGGTCCTGAGGATGAAGACTCCTTCTCCAACGGTAACTTGGGGCCTTTGTGGGACCTCAGAGACTTAGGTGTAATTGCAGCGCTGTGACACTCCTAGAAGGGGTCCCTGGAGTTCTCTCTCTTCTGCCACAGCTGAGTCTTATGAGAACGAGGATGAAGAGCTGACCCAGCCGGTCGCCAGGACAATGGGTGTGTGTGAGGATGGCAACAGTCCAGGGGGGAGGCGGAGGACACCTGGAGGCCAGGAGGAATAGTAACCTCCCTCTTCCCTTTCCAGACTTCCTGAGCCCTCATGGGTCAGCCTGGGACCCCAGCCGGGAAGCAACCTCCCTGGGTGAGAGATGCTTTCAATCAGACTGCCTTGCCCAGCTTGGGTGACCTGGCCTCAGCTCTGACACCAGATCCAACTTTGACCTGACCCTGACCCCAAACCCGAACCCAATCCTGTGACTCCTCTCACCTCAACACTGAGCCCCATCCCCCATCCTGAGCCCCATCCCCCATCCTGACCCCCAATATTTACCCCCTCCCTAACTGTGAATATCAACACCGATCCCAATGCAGTATCAGCCTGGACTTGATCTCCACCTCACCTCAGCCCCAGTGCAGACCTCAACTTGGACCCCAGCTTACTCTGCAGCTTCTTCATGACTCTGACTCCGACTCCCTCCAGTTTCTTCTTTTTCTTTTTCTTTTTTTTGAGACGGAGTCTCCCTCTGTTGCCCAGGCTGGAGTGCAGTTGCCACCTCTGCCTCCTAGGTTCAAGCGATTCTCATGCCTCAGCCTCCTGAGTAGCTGGGATTATAGACGTTTGCCACCACACCTGGCTAATTTTTGTATTTTCAGTAGAGACAGGGTTTCGCCATGTTGGCCAGACTGGTCTCCAACTCCTGGCCTCTAGTGATCTGCCCGCCTTGGCTTCCCAAAGTGCTGGGATTACAGGCATGAGCCACCACGCCCAGCCCAGTTCTGTTCTTGACCCCTTCCTTAGCCATAATCTAACCCATATCTAACCCTGACCCTACAGCTAACTGGGGCCCCAAACTCAATGCTAACCAAATCACCCCTTCCCAGCACAGCATGGGTAATGCTCCTCACCTTCCTCTGCCCCTCAGTCTTCCTCCTTACCGTAGGCTGTACTTCCCATGCCCTAGCCTCCAATTCTCCATCCCCCGCCCAAGCAGGGTCCCAGTCCTATGAGGATATGAGAGGAATCCTGTATGCAGCCCCCCAGCTCCGCTCCATTCGGGGCCAGCCTGGACCCAATCATGAGGAAGGTGGGTGCTTCTGCCGCTGTCCCCTGCTGTCCCCTGGGCTGACTTTGCCTTCCAGCCTACTTCCAGTGCCACCCATGTTCTCCTCCTCCCTGGTCCTATCCAGATGCAGACTCTTATGAGAACATGGATAATCCCGATGGGCCAGACCCAGCCTGGGGAGGAGGGGGCCGCATGGGCACCTGGAGCACCAGGTGATCCTCAGGTGGCCAGGTGAGCTGGGACTGCCCCTAGGGAAAGCGGGGAGGGAGGGAGATAGGCACGGATGGCAGTGGCTGCTGGCTTTCAGGGAGGGAGAGGGAACAGGGTTCCTAGGGCCTGGTGGGCAGGGGGAGGACTGCTGGACCCCTCCCCATCACCGTTTCTTCTGCATAGCCTGGATCTCCTCAAGTCCCCAAGATTCACACCTGACTCTGAAATCTGAAGACCTCGAGCAGATGATGCCAACCTCTGGAGCAATGTTGCTTAGGATGTGTGCATGTGTGTAAGTGTGTGTGTGTGTGTGTGTGTGTATACATGCCAGTGACACTTCCAGTCCCCTTTGTATTCCTTAAATAAACTCAATGAGCTCTTCCAATCCTATGAAGTAGTGCCATTGTGTGGGAAGGAAGGGAAGGAAAGGAAAGGAAGGAAAGGGAAGGGAAGGAAAGGAAGGGAAGGAAAGGCGTCTTGAATCCCATGGAAGAGGGAGGGCTGCCTTCTGCATACAAAGGGCCTTTTCCCGGTGCGGTGGCCCACACTTGTAATCTCAGCACTTTAGGAGGCCAAGCAGGTGGATCATTTGAGGTCAGGAGTTCGAGACCAGCCTGGTCAACCTGGTGAAACCCCGTCTCTACTAAAAATACAAAAATTAGCTGGGTGTGGTGGCGAGCCTGTAGTCCCAGCTACTTGGGAGGCTGAGGTTGGAGAATCACTTGAACCTGGGAGGCAGAGGTTGCAGTGAGTGGAGATGGTGCCATTACACTTCAGCCTGGGCGACAGAGCGAGACTTCGTCTCAACAAAAAATAAAAATAAAAATAAAACAAAGGGCCTTTCCCCTTCCATGGCCTAGCCTTCACCTACTGCCCTCTTTTGCCCGCTGCCCACAGATCCGTCACGATCAGCCCCCTCCCACCATCCAGCTACCCAATTATCATTAATTCAGCAGTTACATGCTGGGTGCCCAGTGGAGAAACAGCCCAGGAATTAGCAGTCTAGTTAGAAGATGCTATTCATTGTCACTGAGTACTTATTTATTGAGCATCTACTATACTCTTCTTTTTTTTTTTGTTTTTGAGACAGGCTCTCGCTTTGTTGCCCAGGCTGGAGTGCAGTGGTGCAATCATGGCTCACTGCAGCCTCGACCTCCCAGGCTCAAGAATTTCTCCCACCTCAACCTCCCAAGTAGCTGGGATTACAGGTGCCCGCCACCATGCCCAGCTAATTTTTTGCATTTTTAGTAGAGACGGGGTTTCACTATGTTGGCCAGGCTGGTCTCGAACGCCTGACCTCATGATCCACCCGCCTCGGCCTCCCAAAGTGCTGGGATTACAGGTGTGAGCCACCGCACCCGGCCACAGCTCATTTTTTATTTTTTGTAGAGATGAGGTCTTGAATGCCTCATGCTGCCCAGGCTGGTCTTGAATGCCTGGGCTCCAGTGATCCTACCAACCTTGGCCTCCCAAAGTGCTGAGATTACAGGCGCCCACTATCACACCCGGATAATTTTGTATTTTTAGTAGAGACAGGGTTTCCCCATGCTGGCCAGGCTGGTCTCAAACTCCTGACCTCAGGTGATCCACCTGCCTCAGCCTCCCAAAGTTCTGGGATTACAGGCGTGAGCCACAGTGCCCGACCTTACTATGTTCTAAGCACTAATATCAATGAGCAAATTTTATCGTTACAATAACTTCACAAAGATAGTAAGCACTTATTATGTGGCAGGATTGTATTCAAATATTTTATGTATATTTTATGGACATGTTATGTATGTTTGTGTATATTCATTCATTTTATCTTTACGACCCTATGAGGTAGGTATACTATTAATATTATTTTCACCATTTCTTTTCTTTCTTTCTTTTTTTTTTTTTTTTTTTTTTTTTTGAGACAGGGTCTCACTCTGTCACCCAAGCTGGAGTGGGTGGTGCCATCTTGGCTCACTGCAACCTCTGCCTCCTGGGTTCAAGCTATTCTCCTGCCTCAGCCTCCCAAGTAGCTGGGATTACAGGCCTGTGCCACCACACCTGGCTAATTTTTGTATTTTTAGTAGAGATGGAGTTTCTCCATGTTGGCCAGGCTGGTCTCTATCTCCTGGCCCCCAGTTAACAGCTCCCTGCCTCGACCTCCCACCCTGTTTTTGTTGTAGAAATTTCTTCTTTATCTCTGAGCATGTAAAACTTACTTCATCTTTTTTTTTTTTTTTTTTTTTTTTTTTTTGAGACGGAGTCTCGCTCTGTCACCCAGGATGGAGTGCAGTGGCACTGTCTCGGCTCACTGCAACCTCTCTCTTCCCTGTTCAAGCGATTCTCCTGCCTCTGCCTCCTGAGTAGCTGGGATTATAGGCATGTGTCACCACACTCGACTAATTTCTGTATATTTAGTAGAGACGGGGTTTCACTATGTTGGCCAGGCCGATGTCGAACTCCTGACCTCAGGTGATCCACCCACTTCAGCCTCCCAAAGTGCTGGGATTGCAGGCGTGAGCCACTGCGCCTGGCCTTTTTTTTTTTTTTTTTTTTTTTGACAGAGTCTTGTTCTGTCACCCAGGCTGGAGTGCAGTGGCTTGATCATAGCTCACTGCAACTCCTGGCCTCAAGCAATCTGCCTGCCTTGCCCTCCCAAGGGTGCTGGGATTACAGGCACCCAGCCCCTAAAACTTCTTTCATCTGTATTAACATTACTACGATGTGCCAGGCATCGTACCGTTCTCCAGGTGGCGACTCATTTTATCTTTACCACTGTCCTATGAGGAAAGTACACTAAAAATTATTATTATTTTACAGCTAAGGAGATTGGGGCACAGATAAATTAAATACTTCAATTGCTAACTGACTTTAGGCAACTTAACCTGACCCTCCACTGCCTCAGCTATAAAATCCCATTAAGGCGGAGGCATGCTGTAGTTACTATTACTTTTACATGGCATGTAAAAGAAGTCAAAGAAACCTTCCATGGAGGCAGGGCACAGTGGCTTATGTCTGTAATCCCAGCCCTTTTGGAGGCCAAGGCAGGTGGGATCAACTGAGGTCAGGAGTTCGAGACCAGCCTGGCCAACATGGCGAAACCCGTTTCTACTAAAAATACAAAAATTAGCCGGGCATGGTGGCAGGCGCCTGTAATTACAGCTACTCGGGAGGCTGAGGCAGGAGAATTGCTTAAATCCGGGAGGCGGAGGTTGCAGTGAGCCGAGATGGCACCACTGCACTCCAGCCTGGGCAGCAGAGCGAGACTCTGTCTCAAAACAACAACAAAAACCTTCCATGGTGACCCCATGAGCCATGAGAATGGAAGTCCCCATGGAAGATTTCTTTGATTTCACGGAAGGTGTCTTTGACTTCTTTATGTTTCTCCTGCCTGTGACAGCCTCATGGGTTCCTGGGGCCCCACTGACAACCTCTGGGGCCGGCTTGCTTTGGCTCCTGCCACAGTCTTACAGGCTGCACAAGATTCTGACCATTTTATTTATGAGTTCCTCAGAACAGGTTTCTGCACCAGAGGTTTGGGCTAACTCCAAGCCTATACTTTGGTTAGCTTTGGGGTTCTGAGTGCCTGGATGGCTTTTTCCATTCATTCTCAGGCGGCTCGCTTCTACATTGTGAGCCAGGGCCTGGGGATGGATTTTTTTTTTTTTTTTTGAGATGACGTCTTGCTCTGTTGCCCAGGCTGGAGTGCAGAGGTGCGATCTCAGCTCACTGCAATCTCCGCCTCCTGGGTTCAAGCGATTCTCCTGCCTCAGCCTCCTGAGTAGCTTGGACTGTAGGCACGTGCCACTATACCGGCTAATTTTTGTATTTTTAGTAGAGACGGGGTTTCTCCATGTTGGTCAGGCTGGTCTCGAACTCTTGGCCTTAAGTGATCCACCCACCTCAGCCTCCCAAAGCCCAAAGTGCTGGGATTAAAGCCCAGGCTGGAGTGTAATGGTGTGATCTTGGCTCACTGCAACTTCTGCCTCTTGGCTTTAAGCGATTCTCCTGCCTCAGCCTCCTGAGTAGCTTGGATTACAGGTGCCTGCCACCATGCCCGGCTAATTTTTTATATTTTTAGTAGAGACGGTGGCGGGTCGGGGGGAGTTTCTCTATGTTGGCCAGGCTGGTCTTGAACTCCTGACCTCCTGATCCACCCGCCTCGGCCTCCCAAAGTGCTGGGATTACAGGCGTGAGCCACCTTGCCCGGCCCCCATGTGGGTGTTAAAATGCCAATCGTAGGGGATTCCTGCATTCCCACAGGCTGCTTGACTTCACTGTCCCCACTGCCCCCACCACTGTGGCTTTGATTTTCCTCCTTATTCTGGAACCAAGAAGATTCTGTCTTCCCTTTGAGCTTAGCTACCTATTAAAAAAAAAAAAAGCAGCACTCCTCATTATATTTTGCTTAGTGTATGCATGCATTTGGAATACAAACCTCTAGTACTTCTTTATGCTTGCATCTTGAACACAAGTCTCTGAGACTCCAAAAAAAATCCAGATCATCTGGTGCAGCATTTGTCTGCTCCCCACCAGCTGTTCACATTGCCATAATCCCCTACCTTAAGCTTCAGCTAAAATAAGCTCTCACATGGCTGTAATCCTTGCTGTTCCCTATTACCTTTTTTCCCAGCCTGCCTCATTCATCTTGGTTTCCTGCCTGTCTGAAGCACCTGAGCCTGTGACTCCTGGTGAAAATATCCTGCTGGCCAGGCTTGGTGGCTCACACCTGTGATCCCAGCACTTTGGGAGGCCGAAGCGGGTGGATCATGAGGTCAGGAGTTCGAGATCAGCCTGGCCAACATGGTGAAACCCTGTCTCTACTAAAAATACAAAAATTAGCCAGGCATGGTGGCTTGTGCCTGTAGTCTCAGCTACTGGGGAGGCTGAGGCATGACAATTGCTCAAACCCAGGAGGCGGAGGTTGCAGTGAGCCGAGATCGCGCCATTGCACTCTAGCTTCGGTGACAGAGCAAGATTCTGTCTCAAAAAATAGAAAACAAAAAGAACACATCCTGTCTTGCTGGGATCGGATCCATGTCCAAGTCATCTCTGTGCCCCTGCTCCCCAGCTGGGGGATGAGAAGGGTCAAGGAATGAGTGGGGAAGGAGGAGGAAGAGTGAATGAAGGGCTGTGGGAAGTGCTGTGATGGGTACTTTACGCATTTGGGGTGCAGAGGAAGGAGACACCCTTGTGGGCTCTGCCACTTTGGGGAGTCTCCCAGGAAGTTGAGGTTGGGACAGAGGTGTGCTGCCTCCCACCAAGTGCCCTGGAATCAGACTAGCTGTTTTTTGTTTGTTTGTTTGTTTGTTTTGATGGAGTCTGGTTCTGTCACCCAGGTTGGAGTGCAGTGGTGCAATCTTGGCTCACTGCAACCTCCACTTCCCAGGTTCAAGCAATTCTCCTGCCTCAGCCTCTTGAGTAGCTGGGACTACAGGCACACACCACCAAGCCCAGCTGCCCAGCTAGATTTTTTTTGTTTGTTTGTATTTTTAGTAGAGACAGGGTTTCATCATGTTGGCCAGGCTGGTCTTGAACACCTGACCTCAGATGATCCGCCTGCCTCAGCCTCCTAAAGTGGTGGGTTTACAGGCATAAGCCACTGTGCCTGGCCCAGACTAGCTGGGTTTATGTGAATCCTGGCTCCACCCCTTTCCAGCTACATGGCTTAAGCTCTCTGAACTGCAATTTCCTGGTCTGTAAAATAGACCATGAAATAGTAATTCAGAAAATGAGGACATTATCAATGAGTCTTAAATGACACGTAAAGCATACAACAGTGGCTTAGCAAGGACTCAAGCATGAGCTCTTATTATTTGACATCTTATTTATTTATTTATTTATTTATTTATTTATTTTGAGACAGGGTCTCACTAGGCTAGGCTAGGCCAGGTTAGAGGGTAATGGCACAATCATAGCCCACCGTAACTTTGAACTCCTGGATTTGAGTAGTTCTCTCACCTCAGCCTCCCTAGTAGCTGGGACTATAGGCGTGCACCACCACACCCGGCTGGCTAACTTCTGTATTTTTTGGTAGAGAAGGGGTTTTGCCATGTTGCCCAGGCTAGACTTGAGCTCCTGGCCTCAAGTGATCCTCCCACCTCGGCCTCCCAAAGGGCTAGGATTACAGTCGTGAGCCACTGCGCCTGGCCAAAAAATAATTTTTTTTTTTTTTAAGAGATGAGGTCTTGGCTGGGCACGGTGGCTCACACTTGTAATCTCAGCACTTTTGGAGGCTGAGGCGGGTGGATCACTAGGTCAAGAGATTGAGACCATCCTGGCCAACATGGTGAAACCCCGCCTCTACTAGAAATACAAAAATTAGCCGGGCCTGGTGGCACACGCCTGTAGTCCCAGCTACTTGAGAGGCTGAGCAGGAGAATCGCTTGAACCCAGGAGGCGGATGTTGCAGTGAGCCGAGATCACGCCACTGCACTCCAGCCTGGCAACAGAGCGAGACTCCGTCTCAAACAAAAACAAAAACAAAAAACAGAGATGAGGTCTCGCTATGTGTGCCCAGGCTAGCCTTGAGCTCCTGGACTCAAGCAATCTTCCCATCTCAAGCATTCCTAGTAGCTGGGACTTACAGGTGCACTTTCAGCTCTTGAGCAAGGTTTGGGGAAAGGAGACTTGAAAATTTTAGACTCTCAGGGCCACCTCCTGCTTGCGGTTTGCAGTGGTTTCCCGGGAGCGCCCAAGACTGGCCTGCCGCCTGGCTACAGAGAGAGGCTGAAGGCCTCCTGGGGCTGGGAAGTCGGTGGAGTCCAGGAGCCTCCGTTTCCTGGAAAACAGCTCCACCTGCTGGCTGTTGTGCGCCTGCAGTCCTGACCTTGGCGGAGTCTGCACGGGGAAGGGAAATGCATGCTGGTCCAGCGGGGGGCGCCTGCAGGGGACATCGGTGCCGCGGTTGGGATGGAGGCGTATGGGATGAGACTAGGGCAGAGGTGGACATGCCGTTCTGCGTGGATGTATGAGGCGCGAGTTTTGTGAGCACCGTGGGTGTGAGCAGCATGTGGTATTGGGTGTGTGCGGTGTGGGTATCCTGAGCGACGTGTGGCGTGGGACGTAAGTGTGAGGCGGCAGGTGGTTATACGGTTGGAGGCAAAGTGGGAAGAGTGAAGTGTTGAAGGGGCGTGTTTGTGTTGTGTTGGGATATATGTTGTGCAGGAGTTGCCAACGCTGTGGATGTGTGGAGGGCGTGTAGTCTCTGAGGTGCACAATATTGTTGGTAGGAGGTGTTGGCGAGTGTGTTTGGGAAATATAATTAAGAAACAAAATATCTAAACCCAACAAACTTCTCCACAAAGGTAGTAGAGACAGAAAACAGTTTTATTATTATTTTTGGTTAAAAAGTTGTAAAATGGGCCTGGCGTGATGGCTCACGCCTGTAATCCCAGCACTTTGGGTGGCTGAGGCGGGCGGCTCACCTGAGGTTGGGAGTTCGAGACCAGCCTGACCAACATGGTGAAACTCCATCTCTACTAAAAGTACAAAAAATTAGCCAGGCGTGGTGGCGCATGTCTGTAATCCCAGCTACTCAGGAGGCTGAGGCAGGAGAATCGCTTGAACCCGGGAGGTGGAGGTTGCAGTGATCCAAGATTGTGCCACTGCACTCCAGCCTGGGCAACAAGAGTGGAACTCCATCTCAAAAAAAAAAAAGTTTTAAAATGTATTATTATTTTTCGTAGAGTTGGGGGTTTTACTATATTGCCTAGGCGGGTCTTAACGCTCAGCCTGAAGTGATCCTCCCACCTTGGCCTCCCAAAGTGCTGGGATTACAGACGTGAACCACTGTGCCTGGCCTTAAATTGTATGTATTTATTTATTTTTAGAGAGAGGGTCTTGCTCTGTTGCCCAGGCTCGAGTGAAGTGGTGAGATCATAGCTCACTGCAGCCTTGAACTCCTGGGCTCAATCAGCCTCCCAAGTAGCTAGGACTACAGGTGTGCATCACGACACCCACTAATTATTATTACTTTTTGTAGAGACAGGGTCTTGCTATATTGCCCAGGCTGGCCTTGAACCCTAGACCTCAAGTGATCCTCCCACCTCAGGCTCCCAGTGCTGGGATTACAGGCATAAGCCAACATGCCCGGGCTGGTTTTATTATTGAATAAGCATAATTTTTCTTTCTTTTTTGACATGGAGTTTCACTCTTGTTGCCCATGCTGGAGTGCAATGGCACAATCTCAGCTCACTGGAACCTCTGCCTCCCGGGTTCAAGTGATCCTCCTGCCTCAGGCTCCGGAGTAGTTGGGATTACAGGTGCCCACCACAATGCCTGGCTAATTTTTTGTATTTTTAGTAGAAAAATACACCACCATATTGGCCAGGCTGGTCTCGAACTCCTGACCTCAGGTGATCCAACCACCTCAGCCTCCCAAAGTACTGGGATTAGAGGCGTGAGCCACTGCACCCGGCTTGAATAAGCATTAAGTTAGAATGTGATGCACATCACTGGCAATCTGGTAAAAGATTGCAAAGGCAAAAAGAAATATCCTTCATTACAGCCAAGCAGGTGTAAACCATTATCCTGTTTTCAAGATAAAATTTCAAATTCCATATTGTTACAGGAGCTGCAGGTTCATATGCCCACTGTGCAGTCACAGCTCTGTGACTCTGAGACGGTGGGGATGCAGCAGAGAGAGTTTAATGATTGCAGGGTGCCGAGCGAGGTGATGGGAGGAGACCCTCAAATCTCTCTCCAGGGAGTTCTGGGCTGGGCTTTTAAGGGGTTTGTGGGGAGTGATGGGCTGGAATATTGGGGTCATTGATTGGTTGGGAAGGGGGATGAAATTGTCAGGGTGTAGAAGCTGCATTTTGCGGGGAGTCAGCTCCTTGTGGGGTCCTTCAGGTCAGCTGAATCAGTAGTTCCATCAAGACCTGAAGGAATATCTCAAAGGGAACACCTAATGTAATGTCCAAGCCGTGATTCAAGAGCAGTTAAGGGGAACTATAATCTTCTGACAGGGGCTGTGTGACTGTGGGGCAACAGGCACCAGATGGCTTTGGGGAAGCAGGTCAGGGAGCAGCTGCCCTGAGATCAATGCTGAGTGCACCGCAAGTTTGGTTTCTTTTCATTTCTCCCTCTCCCTTCTTCTCAAGTTTATAGGGGTGGTTGCAATACCATGTTTTCAAGATAAACAATGACTAGTCCTCACGTAAGAGGACGTGACAACACCTTTAGTCAAACATAGTTCAGCCTTTTTTTTTTTTTTTTTTTTTTGAGACGGAGTCTCGCTCTGTCGCCCAGGCTGGAGTGCAGTGGTGCAATCTCGGCTCACTGCAACCTGCGCCTCCTGGGTTCATGCCATGCTCCTGCCTCAGCCTCCCGAGTAGCTGGGACTACAGGCGCCCGCCACCACGCCCAGCTAATTTTTTGTATTTTTTAGTAGAGACAGGGTTTCACTGTGTTAGCCAGGATGGTCTCAATCTCTGGACCTTGTCATCCGCCCGCCTTGGCCTCCCAAAGTGCTGGGATTACAGGTATGGGCCATCGCGCCTGGCTTTTTTTTTTTTCTTTTGCAACAGAGTCTGGCTCTGTCTCCCAGGCTGGAGGGCAATGGCTCGATCTCGGGTCACTGCAACCTCCACCTCCTGGGTTCAACTGATCCTCCTGCCTCAGCCTCCCAAGTAGCTAGGAATACAGGCGCACACCACCATGCCCAGCTAATTTTGTTTTGTATTTTAGTAGAGATGGGGTTTCACCATGTTGGCCAGGCTGGTCTCGAACTCCTGACCTCAAGTGATCCACCCGCCTCGGCCTCCCAAAGTGCTGGGATTACAGGCGTGAGCCACCACGCCTGGCCCCAGTCTAACTTTATGATGGTAAGTGGGGTGACCACCTGTGTTATTGAATTGGCTTGTATGGTAGGGGTGAGTAGACACAAACTTTTCATATCTTTAGGACAGGAGGTAGCCTGCATCTTGGAGCAAGACTGAAGCCAAGCTTTTCCCTCCTAGGGGAAATGGGAGACAAGAGAGCTAACTGCCTTGACGACGGCATTTCGTCAGGGCTCCCAGGTCCTTGAATTCCTGAATTTGGAGACTGGCAAGTGGCTTATGTAGCCATCATGAAGATTTACATATGCCAGGCTGGGTGCTGTGGCTCACACCTGTAATCCCCGCACTTTGGGAGGCCGAGCCAGGTGGATCACTTGAGGTCAGGAGTTCAAGACCGGCCTGGGCAACATGGTGAAACCCCGTCTCTACTAAAAATACAAAAATTAGCTGGGCAAGGTGGCAGGCAACAGTAATCCCAGCTACTCGGGAAGCTGAGGCAAGAGAATCCTTTGAACCCTGAAGGTGGAGGTTGCAATGAGCTGAGATCGCACCATTGCACTCCAGCCTGGGCAACAGAGCAAAACTCCGAATCAAGAAAAAGAAAAAAATAAAATAAATAGTCGGGCGCAGTGGCTCACGCCTGTAATCCCAGCACTTTGGGAGGCCAAGGCGGGGGCGGAGGGGGGTGGATCACCTGAGGTCAGGAGTTCAAGACCAGCCTGACCAACATGGTGAGACCCCATCTCCACTAAAAATACAAAATTAGCTGGGCATGGTAGTGCACGCCTGTAATCAATCCCAGCTACTTGGAGACTGAGGCACGAGAATTGCTTGAATCTGGGAGGCAGAGGTTGCAGTGAACCGAGATCGAGCCATTGCACTCCAGCCTGGGCAATAAGAGCGAAACTCCATCTCAAAATAAATAAATAAATAAAATTAAATAAATGAATAAAATAAAATTTAAAAATAAATAAATACATAAGATTTTTTTTTGAGATGGAGTCTCACTCTGTTGCCCAGGCTGGAGTGCAGTGGTACAATCTTGGCTCAGTGCAACCTCTGCCTCCTGGGTTCCAGCGATTCTCCTGCCTCAGCCTCCCGAGTAGCTGAGATTATAGGCGCCTGCCACTACGCCTGTCTAATTTTTGTATTTTAGTAGAGACAGGGTTTTACCATGTTGGTCAGGCTGGTCTCGAACTCCTGACCTCAGGTGATCTGCCCACCTCGGCCTCCCAAAGTGCTGGATTATAGGCGTGAGCCACCACGCCCAGCCTTATTATTTCTATCTTTCTTTCTTTTTTTGAGAGAGAGTCTCGCTCTGTCGGCCAGGCTGGAGTGCAGCGGCAGGATCTGGCTCACTGTAACCTCTGCCTCCCGGGCTCAAGCAATTCTCCTGCCTCAGCCTCCTGAGTAGCTGGGATTACAGGCGCACGCCACCACGCCCGCCTAATTTTTGTATTTTTAGTAGAGACGGGGTTTCACCGTGTTGGCCAGGCTGGTCTTGAACTTCTGACCTCGTGATTCGCCTGCCTCGGCCTCCCAAAGTGCTGGGATTACAGGCGTGAGCCACCGCGCGCGGCCAGCCTTATTATTTCTTTAAAGCATTTTTGAGACAGGGTCTCGCCCTGTCACCCAGGCTGGGGTGCAGTGGTGCGATCTCCGCCTCCCGGGCTCCAGCGAAACTCCCACCTCAGCCTCCTGAGTAGTTGGGACCACAGAGGGGTGCCACCACGCCCGGGTAATTTTTGCATTCTTAGTAGAGACGCGGTTTCGCCACATTGGCCAGGCTGGTCTCAAACTCCTGAGCTCAACCAATCTGCCCGCCTCAGCCTTTCAAAGTGCCAGGATTACGGGCGTGAGGCACCGCGCCTGGTTAAATCCGCGGTTTCCACAGGGAATTCCAGGCCCGCCTTCCTTCTCCCGGAAACCTTACCGCTCGAGGACTACATTTCCCAGGATGCCCTGCGACTAACCAAGCCGGAAGACGGTTGTCTTGGTTGGGCGGGTCCGGGAGAGGCTCGTCTGTGGAGAGGTGGCCCAGCCAATGGGTGAGGCCGACTGAATCGAAAGCTACGGTGATTGTGCCGAGGTGATTGGAATCTTTGGCGCCTTGGTTTCAGAGGTGGGCGCATGATGAGCGGGTACAGAGACCAATGAAAAGGCGGGAAGGCGGATCCCGCGCGTGGGGCGCGAAGAGTTGCTGACGAGCAGGCTGTTTGTCCAATGCAAGGCGAAAGTCGCTGAAGGGGGCGGGGCGAGGCGAGAGGAGGCGGGCGTGTGTTGTGGAGGAAAGTGTGCCATGGCGGAGCCTGTGGGGAAGCGGGGCCGCTGGTCCGGAGGTAGCGGTGCCGGCCGAGGGGGTCGGGGCGGCTGGGGCGGTCGGGGCCGGCGTCCTCGGGCCCAGCGGTCTCCATCCCGGGGCACGCTGGACGTAGTGTCTGTGGACTTGGTCACCGACAGCGATGAGGAAATTCTGGAGGTCGCCACCGCTCGCGGTGCCGCGGACGAGGTTGAGGTGGAGCCCCCGGAGCCCCCGGGGCCGGTCGCGTCCCGGGATAACAGCAACAGTGACAGCGAAGGGGAGGACAGGCGGCCCGCAGGACCCCCGCGGGAGCCGGTCAGGCGGCGGCGGCGGCTGGTGCTGGATCCGGGGGAGGCGCCGCTGGTTCCGGTGTACTCGGGGAAGGTGCGCCCGGTCCCGGGGAGGGGACCGGCGGAAGGGCCAAGGGCTTGGCCTCCAGGGAGGGGCCGGCGTTCGGGGAGGGTAGGGCTATAGGGGTGTTGAGGCTGGCGTTCTGGGGCTGGTCCTCGGGCGTTAGGGTGTTGGAGGCAGGGAGAGGCAGGGCTCCGGGACTTTCTGCAGACTGGGGTGGTGAAGGAGGGTGGGATGCGTTGGAAGTTTAGGATTCCTAGGAGCTAGAGTCTTGGGGGCACAGGGAGGCTGAAGAGCTGGGATTCCTGAGATTTTGGAGAGGGACTGGGAGGACCTGGGGCCGTTGGATTTTGAGGTTGGGGTCCATGGCAAATGAAGCCAGGGAGCTGCAGTATTGGGGGTTGGGGTCCATGCGGGTTCAGAGAGGACTGGGCGGCTCCAGAGGCTGGGGTCCCCCGATGGTCGTGTGAGCAATGGGCTGAGAGTCCCTAAGAGTCAGGGGTAGAGGGGCGGCTAGTAACCTAGTTAAAAAGGGCAAGGAAGCATACATTTCAGAGTGTCTTAGGCAGATGGAGGAAAGGGTGAAGGGTACTTCCATTCTGAATCCTGGGGAAGCTGGACTTCTAGGTTGCCAGGAGAGGGCCAAGGTGTCCACGATCTTAGGGAGGATTTGGGAGCTGGGTGTCAGGGAAGAATTACCCCCAATTTTTTCTTTCGGTAGGGGAAGGACTTGGGCCTGACCCCTCTCCCTTCTTTGTCTTTGCAGGTTAAAAGCAGCCTTCGCCTTATCCCAGATGATCTATCCCTCCTGAAACTCTACCCTCCAGGGGATGAGGAAGGTAAGGGAGGGCCTCCAGGGAGAGGCACGCAGCCGCTGGCTTCTCTTAAGAGAATTCCTGGGGTTTATATTCCTGCAGTCAGTTGTCTCCTGAGGCTCAAGGGAAGAGCGTGGGAGAGGGGACTCCTGCATCCCAGCCACAGGAGCTGGATTGTTAACAAGCATAGAATGTATTAATGTATACATTTCTGGTGCCACCTGAAGAGATGCTGATTCTGTAGTCCTGGGCGGGGCAGGAGGCGGTAAGGTGTTGAGAATCTGTGACATCTTGTTACATCTGCAGCAAGTTCTTTGGGAACACTGGAGCCAGCAGGGTGTTCTCTGAATCTTATCAGGGATGCCCTGTCTTTGTCCTCCCCCACTGATGCATTTTTTGCAAACAACTCAAGGGCGGGGAATAGGAATCTAGTCTAATAAGGAAATAATCCAGTGGGCAAATGGAGACCTTGGACCAAGACTCTTGTACCATGAGGGAGTACAGTGGGGTGATTAAAAGCAAACAGGAGCCATCTGGCCTGGGTTTGAATCTCAGTTCTCTCTTTTTTTTTTTTTTTTTTAGACAGAGTTTCGCTTTTGTTGCCCAAGCTGGAGTGCAATGGCACGATCTCGGCTCGCTGCAACCTCCACCTCCTGGGTTCAAGCGATTCTCCTGCCTCAGCCTTCCCAGTAGCTGACTAATTCCCACCACGCCTGGCTAATTTTTTGTATTTTTAATAGAGATGGGGTTTCACCATGTTGGCCTGGCTGGTCTTGAACTCCTGACCTCAGGTGATCCGCCCATCTTAGCTTCCCAAATTGCTGGGATTACAGGCGTGAGCCACTGTGCCCGGCCTCAGCTCTATCTCTTAATAGCTGTGTGATCTTAGGCGAGTTTCTTTTTTCTTGTTTTGAGACAGAGTCTCACTCTGTCACCCAGGGTGGAGTGTAGTGGCGCAATCTTAGCTCACTGCAACCTCCATCTCCCAGGTTGAAGCCATTCTCCTGCCTCAGCCTCCCGAGTAGCAGGGATTACAGGCGCCCGCCACCATGTCTGGCTTTTTTGTATTTTTAGTAGAGATGGGGTTTCATCATGTTGGCCAGGCTGATCTCGAACTCCTGACCTTAGGTGATCTGTCTGCCTTGGTCACCCAAAGTGCTGGGATTACAGGCGTGAGCCACCACGCCCAGCCTGGGCAAGTTTCTTAATTTCTCAGTGCTTCAATTTCCTCATTATCAAAGTGGGGATAATAGTAGACCCCATTTTGGTGCTGATTTTGGTGAGAATTAACGAAAGGGAATATAGAGAGAGCTGCCTCTTGGCTAGATATATGCTTTAGGACAGTACCTAGGACACAGAAGTGCTACGTAAAAGGTACCTCTATCCCTGATACTCAAAACGTGGGCCCAGCCATATATGGCATCCGTTGGAAGCTTGCTAGAAATGCAGGATCGGCTGGGCACAATGGCTCAAAGTGCTGTAATCCCAGCACTTTGGGAGGCTGAGATGGGAGGATTGCTTGAGCCCAGGAGTTCGAGACCAGCCTGCGCAACATGATGAGACCCTGTTTCTACAGAAAAATAAAAAATTAACCAGGCATGGTGATGTGTACTTGTAGTCCTAGCTACTCAGGAGGCTGAGGTGGGAGAAACACCTGAGCCCAGGAAGTCGAGGCTGCAGTGAGCCATGATCATGCCACTGCACTCCAACCTGGGTGACACAGTAGGACCTGGTCTCAAAAAAAAAAAAAGAAAAACGAAATGCAGAATCATAGGCCTCTTGCAGCTGCCATAGTTAGTTAGGACAGGATTTCATGACTTCAGCATTACTGGCATTTTTTGGACTGGAAAATTCTTTGGTGTTGGAAACTGTCCTGTGCATTGTAGAAAGTTTAGCGGCATCCTGACTTCCATCCCTGGGAAGTATTATACCTCAGCCCCCTCGCCCTCCACATTTTGATAACCAATATTGTCTCTAAACATTGCTATATGTCCCCGCAGAGGCAAAATTGTCCCTGGTTCAGAGCCACTGATCTAGGGTTTCTTATCATTTTTTAATTTTCACAGTATTTATTTTTGTGGTTTGTGATGATCTTTTATTGACAGCGGGCAAATAGAAATTTCTATATTATAGAAAATAATACCTGGTTTCCTTTCATGAGAAATTTAAGTTAATTTTAAGTTAATATGAGCTATCTTTATACTAAATAGCAGTCTCATCCCCTGCCCCCTTTCCCAATATTATCATGTGGCCCTGTGTGTGCCAGGGGCTCCGTGGTCTCCTCCTTTCCTAGGACCTTCTTGAAGCCTCTGACTTGTTTCTTCTTGGCCTTCGCTGGCCTCCCTTGGATAACCCCCTTCTACCTTCTCTTCCTCTGCCCCCAGAGGCAGAGCTGGCAGATTCGAGTGGTCTCTACCATGAGGGCTCCCCATCACCAGGCTCTCCCTGGAAGACAAAGCTGAGGACTAAGGATAAAGAAGAGAAGAAAAAGACAGAGTTTCTGTGAGTGAGGCCAGGGCCCTTGGGCCCTGGGAGCAGGAAGTGAGTTGGAGGGGTAAGCGGAGGCAGGCAGGACTCTTGGGTGACTCCTGAAAGGTTAAGAAGAAGGGATAGAAGGACTGTTGAGTTTCATGTGGGGAATGAATCGCTTGGGGAAAAGAGGTGGCTTACCCCGGAGGGTGACAGTGAACCCTTCAGGATCACCCTTGGGAGTGGATTCTGAGACCCTAGTAATGTGAGCTTAAGGTATGGTTCCAATCCAGCTTCCCTGTCCTCTCTGTGCTTCTCTTTCTTCATCTATAAAACCCCGTTTTATAGCCTGGGAAACATAGAGAGACCCTGTCTCTACAAAAAATAAAAAAAAATTAGCCTGGCATGGTGGCGCATGCCTGTGATCCCAGCTGCTCGGGAGGCTGAGATGGGAAAATCGCTTGATCCCAGGAGTTAGAGGCTGCAGTGAGCCATGATCGTGCCACTATACTCCAGCCTGGGTGACAGAGTGAGACCCTGTCTCTAAAAAGCAAACAAACAGACAGACAAAAAATACCCCCAAACCTGGGGATAATAGTGGCATTTGTGTCAATGAATTGCTGAGTCAATCAAGAGTTAACACTTGGCTAGGCACAATGGCTCTTGCCTGTAATCCCAGCACTTTGGGACGCCAAGGGGAGTGAATCACTTGAGCCCAGGAGTTCAAGACCAGCCTGGGCAACACTGGACATATGGTAAGTGCTTGCCGTCTGTCGGATATTATTGGACATTTTCCTGGGAAGTGACAGTCTCAAAAATGAGGCATTTTCTTCCCTAATATTCAGGTCATGTAAATATAAAAATGATGCCTCAGGCTTTCCCTCTCCCCTACCCCTGCCTTCCAGTGAAATGGGGGTTATTGGAAGCTGCTTCCTCTTTATTTTTTAAATGTATTTTTACATTTTTAGAGATAGGGCCTCACTCCATTGCCCAGGCTGGAGTGCAGTGGCGTGATCATAGCTTACTGCAGCCTCAAATTCCTGGGTTCAAGCGACCCTCCCACCTCAGCCTCCTGAGTAGCTGGGACTACAGCTGTGTTCTACTATGCCTGGCTAATTATGTAGAAATAGGGTCTCCCCATCTTGCCCAGCCTGGTCTTGGACTCCTGGGCTCGAGCGATCCTCCTGGCTCAGCCTCCAAAAGTGCTGGGATTACAGGTGTGAGCCATTGCGTCCGACTATGCTTGATTGTCCAAGGATCTGATTTCTAGGATTTGTGGGGCCAGTCTCTCTCCATTGCCTCCGTCCTGCTGTCTCTTGCTTCTACAGGGATCTGGACAACTCTCCTCTGTCCCCACCTTCACCAAGGACCAAAAGCAGAACGCATACTCGGGCACTCAAGAAGTTAAGGTGCCAAGTGCAGGGGCTCTGGCTGGGATGGAAGAGGGCAATCCGGGAGGGTGGCTGACTCCAGTTGACCCAGAGTCCTGTCTGCACTGCAGTGAGGTGAACAAGCGCCTCCAGGATCTCCGTTCCTGTCTGAGCCCCAAGCCACCTCAGGGTCAAGAGCAACAGGGCCAAGAGGATGAAGTGGTCTTGGTGGAAGGGCCCACCCTCCCAGAGACCCCCCGACTCTTCCCACTCAAAATCCGTTGCCGGGCTGACCTGGTCAGATTGCCCCTCAGGATGGTGAGTGCCTGAGGCCCATGGGAGAAGGACCCAGGAGCTGCTTCTGGAGAGATGGTGGTGTCCAGCAGGGGTGTCCTGGCAGAAGGGACTGTCATCCTTTTCCCATCCTGCTCTCTAGAGCTGCCCATCATTCTTTTCAGTCTGTCCTGCCTTCACACTTTTTGTTTCCTCTGTCTGCATTTTCCCAACGCTCCCCTCTCTTTCTGGCAAACTTTCTACCCATTCTTCAAGGCTCCTCATAAGCATCCTGTGTCTTTTTTTTTCCTTCAAAAAGTGGTCTTACTGTGTCCAGGCTGGTTCCGAACTCCTGGGCTCAAGTGATCGTCCCTCATTGACCTCCCAAAGTGCTGGGATTCCAGGTGTGAAGCATCCTGTCTTCTAAGAAGCTTTTTTTGGTAGTCTCTCTTGCCTTCCTCCCTAGGAACCTGGGCTTCCCTCCTGGGCTTGCTCTCACTGCCCTGGACACAGCAGATGTCACTCAGTCACCCTGAACTCCACCAGCTTCCTGGCGAAGCCTGATATTTTTGTAGGGATGACCCTGTTTCAACACCAGGAATGATAACAGACATTACCATTACTGATGCACAGTGCATCAGTCAAGCAACTAAGGCAGAGGCTGCAAACTGGCAGCCCATGGCTTTTCCAACAGTGTGTCTGCTTTCTTTGTAGACTTATTTTATTTTATTTTATTATTTTTTATTATTTTTATTTTTTGAGACGGGGTCTCACTCTGTCGCCTAGGCTGGAGTGCAGTGGCACGATCTCTGCTCACTGAAACCTCCGCCTCCCAGGTTCAGGCGATTCTCCCACCTCAGCCTCCCGAGTAGCTTGGACTACAGGTGCCCGCCACCATGCCCGACTAATTTATGTATTTTTAGTGGAGGCAGGGCTTCACCATATTGGCCAGGCTGGTCTTGAACTCCTGATCTCAAGTGTTCCCCTGTCTCAGCTTCCCAAAGTGTTGGGATTACAGGCATGAGCCACCGTGCCTGGCCTATTTTATTTTTTAAACATAGAGATGGGGGCCAGGCATGGTGGCTCATTCCTGTAATCCCAGCACTTTGGGAGGCCAAGGTGAGAGGATCACTTGAGGCCAGGAGTTCGAGACCAGCCTGGGCAAAATAGTGAGACCTTGTCTCTACTAAAAATAAAAAAATTAACCAGGCATGGTGGCACATACCTGTAGTCCCAGCGACTTGGGAGGCTGATGCAAGAGGATCTTCTGAGTCCAGGAGTTGGGGGCTGCAGTCAGCTGTGATCATGCCACTGCACTGCAGCCTGGGTGAGAGAGCAAGACCTTGTCTCTTAAAAAAAAAAAAAAATGGAGATGGGATCTTGCTTTGTTGCTCAGGCTGATCTTGAACTCCTGACCTCAAGCAAACCTCCCGCCTCGGCCTCTCAAAATGCTGGGATTATAGGTGTGAGCCATCATGCCTGACCAAGTGCTTTAAAAATATACGAGTTTGTTGTCACCTTTGTGATGGGTGATTTCATACAAAGGTCCAGATTTCTGGCCGGGTGCAGTGCCTCACGCCTGTAATCCCAGCACTTTTGGGAGGTGAAGGCAGGCAGATCACCTGAGGTCAGGAGTTCGAGACCAGCCTAGCCAACATGGTGAAACCCCATCTCTACTAAAAATACAAAAATTAGCTGGGCATGGTGCCACTGCCTTCCAGCCTGGATGAAAGAGCGAGACTCTGCCTCAGATCTCACCTGAGATCAGGAGTTCAAGACCAGCCTGGCCAATATGGTGAAGCCCGCCTCTACTAAAAATAGAAAGAAAAAAAAAAGGTCCAGATTTCTGGCTTCTCTTAAAAAATAAGAAGATGTGGCCAGGTGCGGTGGCTCACACCTGTTATCCCTGTAGTTTGGGAGGCCGAGGCAGGTGGATCACCCGAATTCAAGAGTTCAAGACCAGCCTGGTAGGAGAATCACTTGAACCTGGGAGGCGGAGGTTGCAGTGAGCTGAGATTGCGCCACTACACTCCATCCTGGTTAACAAGAGCGAAACTCCGTCTCAAAAAAAAAAAAAAGAAAAATATAGGAAGATGTCATACTGGCCCACGTTCCCACACAGTGCCAATCAGCTGGAGCTGCGTAACAGCCAGCCTGTCTAGGTGGCATGTGAATTCCAGTTTGCTGCAATCCCCACCACCCCTTTCTTTGTTCTAACCCATGGCTGCTATATTTCTTTGTGTTACTCGCCTGTACCCCTTGCTGACACGATTTTATTCTATACCTTGCCAGGTAAATATGATGAAACTCACAGCTGAGGAGCTTAGCAAGTAGCTAAGGCCAGAGCTTGTGTTTGGGTGGTGTGGCTGGGGGCATGGATTTCAAGGCAGGAAGACCTCTTTTGCTTGTTGTCCCCATCCCTAGTCGGAGCCCCTGCAGAGTGTGGTGGACCACATGGCCACCCACCTTGGGGTGTCCCCAAGCAGGATCCTTTTGCTTTTTGGAGAGACAGAGCTATCACCTACTGCCACTCCCAGGACCCTAAAGCTCGGAGTGGCTGACATCATTGGTGAGAGGAAGGCAGGGAGGTGGGGCCTTGAGGCATTTGCCAGGGGAAGGGGATATGGGGAGAGGTTCAGCACGGGCCCTGCTTCCAAGCCCCCACTTAGCCCTGGCTTCCTGATTCTGCCTCCCACAGACTGTGTGGTACTAACAAGTTCTCCAGAGGCCACAGAGACGTCCCAACAGCTCCAGCTCCGGGTGCAGGGAAAGGAGAAACACCAGACACTGGAAGTCTCACTGTCTCGAGTGAGTGGGAGAGATGGCTCTCCACGCCCCTCACCCTGTCCTCTGCTGCCTCTTGTCTCTCTTGTCAGTTAATGGAGGATGGATTCCCCTAATCTTGACTTGCAGGAGACACTGCCCTCCATGTTCTTGGGTTCCCAGCCATCCTAGGTAGTGGGAAAACCCATCGTTCAACTTCCCTCCCCGCTTCTACTGGTACCCTCTGCCCTAGTCTGGGTGCTCCCTCGGTCTCCTGACTCCTTCTGATTAAAACAGAAAGGACCCTTAGACGGTAATCAATAAAACCCATCAAAATAACAATGAAGGCCACACGGCTAAGTGCTAGTCCCCGTGCTGAGGATAATTTCCTCACATTCAGGATCTTATTTAATTTCACAACAATCTGATGTGGGCCACAAAGCACTGTTGTTATCCTCATTTGGCAATAAGAAGATTGAGTTCTAGAGAGGTGGAATAAGCAACTTGGTGCAGTCATTTTTTTTTTTTTTTTTTTTTTGAGATAGAGTCTCGCCCTGTCGCCCAGGCTGAAGTCTGGCATGATCTTGGCTCACTGCAGCCTCTGCCTTCCGAGTTTCAAGTGATTCTCTTTCCTCAGCCTCCCGTGTAGCTGGGATTACAGGTGCACGTGCTGGGCTAATTTTTGCATTTTTAGTAGAGACAGGGTTTCACCATGTTGGCCAGGCTGGTCTCAAACTCCTGACCTCAAGTGAGCCACCCACCTTGGCCTCCCAAAGTGTTGGGATTACAGGTGTGAGCCACCGCGCCTGGCCTGCTGCATTCATTTCTTAAGTCTACTGTTAACGAAATACACAAATTGGGTGGCTTAAAACAATAGAAACCTATTCCTGTACACTTCTGGAGCCTAGAAGTCTGAATTGAAGGTGTTGGCAGGGCCTGGTTCCGTCTGAGAATCTGAGTGGAAACCTTCCTTACCTCTTTCTAGCTTCTGCTGGTGGCCAGAGTTCCTTGGCTTGCAGCTGTGTCACTCCAGTCTCTCCCTCTGTGATCACACGGTGTTCTCCATGTGTCTCTGTCTGTGTTCGTCTCTCTTCTTGGAAAGACATAGGTCATGTTGGGCTAGCCCCACTCTAACCAAGCACAACCTCATCTCAACTTGATTATATCTGCAAAGTCCCTACTTTAAATAAGGTTACATTCACATTTACTAGGGGTTAGGACCACAAAGTGCCTTTTCAGGGGAATACAGTTCAACCCTTAACACACTGTTCTCTAGCCCCCACCAAATTCATGGCCTTCCCATCTGCAAAATATATACATCCCATTCCAATATCCCTACAAGTCTTAACCCATCCCAGCATCAACTCTTAAGCCCAAAATCTCATTTAAATATAATCAACTCAAGAAGTCCCAATCTTATTTTCTAAATCATTAAATCAGTTTTGGATGAGACTTGGTATGGTCCATTCTGGGACAAAATTCCTCTCTCTCTCTCTCTGCGGACCCGTGAAATCTAGAAAATAAGTTATTTGCTTCTAAAATACAGTGATGGGACAGACATAGGATAGACATTCCCATTTCAAAAGTGAGAAATTGGGCCAGGTGCAGTGGCTCACACCTGTAACCCCAGCACCTGTAATCCTAGCTCCCCAGGCGGCTGAGGCAGGAGGATTGCTTGAGCCTGGGAGATCAAGGTTGTAGTGAGCCATGATTGCGCCACCTTTATTGGAAACTTTTATTCCAGTTACCAATAACACATTCCTCATTTCCTCCAGAGACCTCACCAGAAACACCTTTAATATTCATATTTCTAGCAGCCTTCTGTTCATAACAATATATGCATCCTGTTAAGATGATAGGAGATTTCTCTGCACCTCTCCTCTTTGTGAGCCTGCAGGGACATTCCCTTTAATGTCCATATTTCTACCAGCAGTCTCTTCAAGGCAGTCTAGGTTTTTCCTAACATACACCTCAAAATTCTTGCAGCTTTGGCCAGGCACAGTGCCTCACATCTGTAATCCTAACACTTTGAGAGGCCAACATGGACAGATTGCTTGAGCTCAGGAGTTCAAGACCAGCCCGGGCAACATAGTGAAACCCTGCCTCTACAAAAAATACAAAAATTAGCCCAGCATGCTGGCGCAGGCCTATAGTTCCAGCTACCCAGGAGGCTGAGGTGTGAGGATCGCTTGTGCCTAGGAGATTGAGGCTGCAGTGAGCTGAGATTGGGCCACTGCACTCCAGCCTGGGAGACAGCAAGACCCTATCTGAAAAAAAAAAAAAAAAAAAAAAAAAAAAATTATTCCAGCCCTGATCCAATTTCAAAGCCACTGTTACATTTAACCATTTATTCCAGCAGCACCCCACTTTTGTATTTTGGCTGTTGTAACAAAGTACCACAAGTTGGGTGGCTTAAAACAACATAAATTTATTCTCTCATTGTTCTGGAGGGTAGAAGTCTGAAATCAAGGTGTTAGCAGAGCAAGTGTCTCTGAAGATATGGGGGAAGAAAACAAACTCAGGATTTTTTTCTTTTCTTTTGAAAAAAACAAAAAAGAGACAGGGCCAGACGTGGTGGCTCACGCCTGTAATCCCAGCACTTTGGGAGGCTGAGGTGGGCGGATCACGAGGTCAGGAGTTCAAGACCAGTCTGATCAACATGGTGAAACCCTGTCTCTACTAAAAATACAAAAAATTAGCCGGGCATGGTGGCATGCGCCTATAGTCCCAGCTACTCAGGAGGCTGAGGCAGAAGAATCGCTTGAACCTGGGAGGCGGAGGTTGCAGTGAGCCAAGATCAAGCCACTGCACTCCAGCCTGGGCGACAGAGCTAGACTTCGTCTCAAAAAAAAAAAAAAAAAAAAAAAAGACAGGGTCTTGCTCTGTTGCCCAGGCTGGAGTGCAGTGGTGCGATCTTGGCTTACCACAGCCTCAAACTCCTGGGCTCAAGCGATCCTTCTACCTCAGCCTCCTGAGTAGTTGGGACTACAGGTGTGTGCCACTACCCTTGGCTAATTTTTTAATTTTTTTTGTGTAGACGGGGTCTCACTATGTTGCCCAGGCTGGACTCAAACTCCTGGGCTCAACTGATCCTCCCACCTCTGCCTCCCAGAGTGTTGGGATTACAGGCATGAGCCACTGCACCTCGCCCCCTCCTTGGGTTTAATTTGCTAGAGCAGCTTACAGAACTCAGGGAGACACTTACTTTCATTTACTGGTTTATTATAAAGGATGTTACAAAGGATACAGATGAAGAGATGTGTAGGGCACAGCATGGGAAAAGGGCGCAGAGCTTCCATAGCTTCCCTGGGCACCATTCTCCAGGAATCACCACATGTTCAACTATTGGGAAGTTCTCCAAACCCTGTCCTCTGGATTTTTATGGAAGCTTTGTTATATAGGCATGACTGATTAAACCATGGGCTATTGGTGGTGACTCAACCTTCACTCTCTCCCTCCTTCTTGGAGGTTGAGGGGTGGGGAAAAAGTCCCAACTGTCTTATCCTACCTTGGTCTTTCTAGTGACCAGCACCATTCCTGAAGCTCTCTAGGGGCTGCCAGCCACCAGTCAACTCATTAGCATGCAAAAAGATACTTAACTCTTTCCCAGGGATTTTAGGAATTTTATACCAGGAAACATACAAAGACCAAATATATATTTGACAACATCACGCAGTCCCTCAGGGTCTCTTCATGGAATCTGCCCTGTCTCCTCCTGGCTCCTGCTGGCGGCCCACAGTCCTTGGCATTCTTGGCTTGCAGGTGCACTCCATTCTGCCTCTGTCATCACGTGTGTTCTCCCCTCATGTCTGTTTCTGTGTCTGTTCCATAAGCATACCAGTCCCAGGCTGGGTGCGGGGGCTCACGCCTGTCATCCCAGCACTTTGGGAGGCCAAAGTGGGTGGCTTATCTGAACTCAGGAAGTTTGAGACCAGCTTGGGCAACAGAGAAACTGTCTCTACCAAAAATACAAAAACTTAGCTGGGTGTGGTGGCCTGTGCCTGTAGTTGCAGCTACTCAGGAGGCTGAGGCAGGAGAATTGCTTGAACCCAGGAGGCAGAGGTTGCAGTGAGTTGTCTACCAGTCCCACGGCATTAGCACTCGTCCCAATCCAGTACAACCTCAACTTGATTGCATCTGCAAAGGCCCCGTCTCCAAATCACATCACATTCACACTTAACAGGGGTTAAGACCACAAGGTGTCTTCTCTGGGGAACATAACCTGTAACATTTTTCTAAGGTCACATATCTAATAGGTGGGAGAGCCTGGCCTCCAGCTCGACTCATCCTCACTCTAGAATCTGGGCTCTCTTAGTCATTGGTACACACTTCTGTTTCATAGGGAAGGAGGCTGAGGCTAGGAGGACTTGCCTGACTTAGAGCCTATACCCCTAAGCCTTGGGCTCGTGGCCCCCGTCCTCTACCTGAGCAACTTGGAGCCCAGAGGGATGACAGGATTCGTCCCAGCTCCCAGAGAGGAGCCTGGCTGGGCTGGCTTCTTTGTCCTCTCTCCTTTCCCCGCATGGGGCCCTGACTTTATTGTTTCCGCCCCTGCCGCCATCCTCCCTGTCCCAAGTTCCTCGTCTATCCCTACGGGATCCCCGCCCCCTTTCATGTTCTGACGTCCATTTTCTTTTGTCTCCATCCAGGATTCCCCTCTAAAGACCCTCATGTCCCACTATGAGGAGGCCATGGGACTGTCGGGACGGAAGCTCTCCTTCTTCTTTGATGGGACAAAGCTTTCAGGCAGGGAGCTGCCAGCTGACCTGGGCATGGAATCTGGGGACCTCATTGAGGTCTGGGGCTGACACCCCACTCCCTGTTTGACGGCCCAGCCTGGACTTGGGGAGAATGACTTTCCCTTTTTTGCCCCATAAGGGCTAGCATAAGCTGAGGTAGAACTTATCTTTAAGCTGCAGCAAAATCAAGGAGTGACTTTTGTCCCCTCTCCTGTTGACCCTGGTTTAGAGCCGTTAACCACTTGGTGAGTTATGTGGGTGTTGTTGCCCTGGGTGGCCTGTGGCTCCGTCCACAAGTCATGCTGAGTTTTGCAGCCTCTGTGACTTGGAGATGTCCCTTCACCCCTCCCCTTTCACCACCATCCTCTTTTCCTCATGGAAATGTCTGCTTTATGAAACTATGCACATATTGAAAGTGAGTTGAAACAAATGAGGGTTGGGTAGGAGCTTCCAGGCCTGGGATTTACACCACGCCTAGCCCAGCAGAGGCCTTAGTCCCATTTGGGGCTTGGGAGTGACATTTGCTTGAGGCTTATACACTGGTGTGGTTGCCTGGCTTGCAGGAAATGACCAAGCTCACACATGCTGGCTGAAGCGTAAGCAGACAACTGAGGTACTCTTTTGAAGGATGAAGGTGGTGGATTCTCAGCCCTGGGGGTCTTCCTCACCTGAGGACCCTTCAGAGCCACCCTTTCTAGTTTGCATTTCCTGGTGCACACATTTAAGGCATAACAGCACATTCATCCCTTTGGTTTGGGATCTCAGGAATACAGTCCCATGCAAAGATTCTCTGGTTTTATGGCTTTTTTCCCTTTCTTTACACCATCCTCTCCCATAAGCACCCATGTCTTTGAATATGAATGTATTTGTAAAATACCACGTTTCATGTGTGAATATGTGCTTTTACTGTACATAGTGCTATTGTGCAATAGGTCTTATGCTGTTTTCACTCAATGTGTGCTAAGATCTAGCCCCATTGACTCTTCTAGAAATGCAGTATTGCTTTGACCTGCCATGTGGCACTCCACAATGTCAATTGCAGTTTACACACATTGCCTAAAGTGGGGGACACCTGGGTGCCCCTGACCCCTTGGCACCGGATACAGGCCACGATAAACATCCTTTCGTGTGTTCCCTTCTGTGCTTGTGTGGCATGTGTACCCAGGATGGGCCTATAGGTCACAGAGGTCAGTTTCTCTTTGGTTTTCCAGATTTTCTTTAGAACGGTGACTGACCCTCCTACTTGAGGCCGCCCTTTTCTCCTTATCCTTGCCAGCACTTGTATTGCCAGACTACCTAATTTTTGCCAGTCTCATGGGTAGATAGTGGTGCAGTGCTTTAACATACATTCATCTGATCAGCATTAATTTGGGGAATTTTTTCACTTAGCCTTTCTGGTTTCCCTTCCTGTGCATTGCCCATTTTCTCATGGAGTTTCTTATCTTTTTTGGTTTATTCTCAGGAGTTGCTTGTACATTCTTGGGCAATTGCAGATAATTCCAAGAATGCATATTTGGGCTGGGTATGGAGGTTCACTGGTAATCCCAGCACTTTGGGAGGCCCAGGCAGAAGGATCGCTGCAGCCCAGGAGTTCGAGACTAGCCTGGGCAACATAGCGAGACCTCGTCTCTACAAAAAAAAATTAAAAAGGGGGCTTTGGGAGGCCAAGGCGGGCAGATCATGAGGGCAGGAGATTGAGACCCTCCTGGCCAACATGGTGAAACCCCGTCTCTACTAAAATACAAAAAATTAGCTGGGCATGGTGGCGCACACCTGTAGTCCCAGCTACTCTGGAGGCTGAGGCAGGGGAATCGCTTAAACCCAGGAGGCGGAGATTGCAGTGAGCCAAGGTTCCACCACTGCACTCCAGCCTGGCGACAGAGCAAGGCTCCACTCAAAAAAAAGATTTAAAGGGGAAAAAATTGAAATTTTCTTTGTATCTAGGGGTATCCGTCACTGAACAGAAATTCTTAATTTTGGCTAGGCGTGATGGCTCAGGTCTGTAATCCCAGCACTTTCGGTGGCCGGGGTGGGTGGATCACTTGAGGCCAGGAGTTCAAGACCACCCTGACCAACTTGGTGAAATCCCATCTCTACTAAAAATACAAAAATTAGCTGGGTGCAGTGGCGCATGCTTGTAATCCCAGCTACTCAGGAGGCAGAGGCAGGAGAATCACTTGAACCCGGGAGGTGGAGGCTGCAGTGAACAGAGACAGTGCCACTGCACATCAGCCTGAGTGACAGAGAGACTTTGTCTCAAAAAAAAAAGAAAATTTTAATTTTAATGTAGACAGTATGAATTATCTTGTTCTGCAGTTGGTTGCTTTTTGATTGCTTATTTAATAGAGTTGTTAAGATATTTTACATCTTCTCCTGTTAGCTGTTCAGCTTTTCCTTTCATATTGAGAACACTACACAGTGCTGAAGTCCAGCTGGTACACACCGGGGTGACACCTTGGCTGCATCTGTTCTCAACAGTCAGACACTTCTTCTAATTGGTTGATGCTGGGCTGTACTGGTTGCTAAATATTGCACATCATTTTAAAACTATTTGAGATGCACTTTTGTACTCAGGAGGCCAAGGCAGGAGGATTGCTTGAGCCCAGGAGTTTGAGACCAGCCTGGGCAACACAGCGAGACCTTGTCTCTTAAAAAAAAAAAAAAAAAAAAATGAGAGAAATCGGCTGGGCATGGTTTCTCATGCCTGTAATCCCAGAACTTTGGGAGGCTGAGGCAGGTGGATCACCGGAGGTTAGGAATTCAAGACTGAAACCTTGTCTCTACTGAAAATACAAAAAAAAAAAAAAAAAAAAATGAGCTAGGTGTGGTGGCAGGCGCCTGTAATCCCAGTTACTTCGGGAGGCTGAGGCAGGAGAATCGCTTGAACCCAGGAGGCAGAGGTTGCAGTGAGCCAAGATCGCGCCATTGCACTCCAGCCTGGGCGACAAGAGTGGAAACTCTGTCTCAAAAAAAAAAAAAAAAATTCAGTGAAATACACCTTTATATATGAGATCCAAGTTTCACTTTTTGTGATATAATGAGCCAGTTTTCTCAGTAATGTCTACTAAAAAAAAAGCCATTAACCTTTCTCTAATATTTGCATGATTCTAATAAAAGTATGTCAACTTCTTAAAATGTTTTATTGAAATGTGGCATTCCTTTGAATTTTATGACATTAAAATAATCCACGACATGGTACAGCTCTTCACTTTTTCAGCTTTTTAAATGTCCATTAATAAGTTTGAATACGTTAAAATTATATGTTTAACCTCAACAAAATAAATGGCAATATGTTCAACTTGTGTATACTGGAGGATTTTTGTCTTTGTGGCCCTCATGTGACCCCCACTAAGATCCTTGTGACAGAGACAGGAATAAGATCCTTATTCCTTCACATCCATTCTTCCTCCTTCTGTGGTACTAGAACCCATGGTTTTTAGCGAGGCACAGAGACACTCAGAATAAAAACAGTGGCCAGGCATGGGGGCACACACCTGGAATCTACCTAGCACCCTGGGAGGCTGACGTGGGAGGATCGCTTGAACCCAGGAGGTTGAGGTTGCAGTGAGCTATGGTTGTGCCAACCCACTCCAGCCTGGGCAACAATCAAGACCCTGTCTCAAAAAAAAAAAAAAATTAAGACAGTACTTCCTGGCTTCCACTGTAGCTAGATGTAGCCAAGTGCCAATACAGGCTCCTGGGGTGTAAGTGGAATGGGGTATCACTTCCCAGAAGTGTGCATAGCGGGCAGCTTGTCCCCTCTCTTTCACTTGCCTCCTGCCTGCTTACTGGAAGTGGAGCAGCCCTACTGACTTAAGGTGACCTCTGGAACAGAAACCACATGGGCCAGGATGGTGAGGGAAGGCGCCTGGATCACAGCATCCATGTAGCACCTCATTGGCCTGGCAGTGCTGACCTCGGCTTTCACATGAAGGAGGGACTGCTGCCCCTCTTTAAATCACTTATTTTAGGGTTTCTACCACTTATAACCAAACCCAGTTCAAATTCCAGGATGTTGCTATTGCAAGCAATGTAGTGTTCCCTTTGGGGTACCTGTGTGGGATTTTTCTCGGGGGCTTCCATCTGATAGTGGAATCACTGGTCACTAATTCTTGAATACTGTTAGATTGCTAACCAAAGTGCCTGTACATTTTTACATGTCCCCTAGCAAGTGCTGGAAGGTTCCAGTTTCCTCATACCTTCCCCTGACTTAATCTGGGAAGGGTATGGGAAAGACTGCATTTCTTTATCTTTTATGATGAGATTGTTCATCCTTTCACATGTCTAAAAGAATATCTAGGGTGATCTTTCTTTTTCTTTTTCTTTTTCTTTTCTTCTTTTTTTTTTTTTATAGGGTCTTGTTCTATCACCCAGGCTGGAGTGCAGTGGTGTGATCTCGGCTCACTGCAACCTCTGCCTCCGGGGCTCAAGTGATCCTCCCACCTCAGCCTCCTGATTAGCTGGGATCACAGGTGCATGACAGCATGCCCACCTAATTTTTTTGTATCTTTTGTAGAGGTAGGATCTCACTATGTTGCCCAGGCTGATCTTGAACTGCTGAGCTCAAGCAGTCTGCCTGCCTCTGCCTCCCAAAGTGCTGGGATTATAGGTGTGAGCCATCGTTCCCAGCCTTGTTTTGTTTTCTTGAGATAGGGTCTTCTCTGTCACCCAGGCTGGAGTGTAGTGGTGCTATCATAGCTCACTGCAGCCTCGATCTTGTGGACTCAAGCAATCCTCCCGAGTCTCCTGAGTAGCTGGGACTACAGGTGAATGACAACACACCTGCTAATTGTTAAACTTTTGTGTAGAGATGGACTCTCCCTAGGTTTCCCAAGCTGGTCTGGAACTCCTGGCCTCAAGCAATTTTCCTGCCTTGGCCTCCCAAAGTGCTGGGATTACAGGTGTGAACCACTGCAGCTGGCTCTGGATAATCTTCCTCAAACTCTCCTGATTAGAGACCCTTGAAACTTTAATGCTCCTTTACTCAGTGCCACATACCAACCTTGGCTCTTTTCATAACCTTATTCATCCTCAGAGCAATCCTGTGAGGTAGGTGTTCTTATTCCCATTTTACAGAAGAAAAACAGAAGCTTAGGGCTGGGCACAGTGGCTCACGCCTGTAATCCCAGCACTTTGGGAGGCCTAAACGGATGGATCATTTGAGGTCAGAAGTTCAAGACCACCCTGGCCAACATGGTGAGACCCTATCTCTACAAAAAGAAAGAAAAAAAAACCAGGTATGGTGATGCACGCCTGTAGTCCCAGCTACTTGGGAGGCTGAGGCAGGATAATTGCTTGGACCTGGGAGGCAGAGGTTGCAGTGAGCTGAGATCGCACCACTGCACTCCAGCCTGGGCGAGAGAGTGAGACGCTGTCTCAAAAAAAAAAGACAGAAGCTTAGAAAGATGAATGAACGTGCTCTAGACCACAGGGCCTCCCATTGCACAGCCCGGTGTAGATGCAGGTGGGTCTGATGTATGGCTCAGAATTCTCAAGGAGACCAGAGACTCTCGTCAGTGTGCACACAGGTTGTCTGGGGACCTTGTTAGTGTGCAGATGCTGGATCAGCAGCTCAGGTGGGGCGTGAGATGCTGCATTTCCAGCAAGGTCCCAAGTGATGGCAATGTAGCTGATCATACTTGAAGTTGCAACATACCATTTTGCCTTTTTTTCTCTATGCCTTTACTGTCTCCCACCTCCCTACCCCTGTCACCCCCTCCAACTCAGGGTCAGTTCTTCCATAAGGCTCCTCGTAGGACTGGTCACATTGTCTTTTGTGTGTCCCACCTCTGCTTGGAGTCTGGCTTGGTACACCCATCCACGCATCCAGGTTTTGCTTCCCTATGGGACTGTAAGTTCCTTGAAAATAAACTCTTCTTAAAAATCTCTTGGCTGGGCCGCAGTGGCTCATGCCTGTAATCCCAGCACTTCAGGGGGCTGAGGTGGGAGGATCACTTGAGGCCAGGAGTTCCAGACCAGCCTGGGCAATCTAGTGAGACCCCATCTCTACAAACATAAAAAAAATTAGCCAAGTGTGTGGTGCATGCCTGTAGTCCCAGCTACTCAGGAAGGAGGCTGAGGTGGGAGGATTGCTTGAGCCCAGGAGTTCGAGACTGTAGTGAGCTGTGATTGTGCCACTGCACACCAGCCTGGGCAACAGAGCAAGACCCCATCTCAAAAAAGTCTCTTGCTTGGTGTCTGACACCTTGACACAGTAGTATCCTAACAAATGTTTGTTGAATGATTAAACTCCTGTCTCAAAGAATCCCAGCATCATCCATCTCTGCGTGAGCCAGAAAAGCTTCACTCTTGATCCCTTTTCATCCCCCACACCCACTGCATCACCCGTTCAACTTAATAGCCCCAGCTCCCTCCCAAATCAGCTCCCTCTGCCCGTCTCCATGCTGTCCTAGGCCAAGCCACCACTGCCTGCAGCCTAGGCTAGTGCCACAGCCGCTTCACGGGTGGCTGTTTCCCCTCTGGCCTCTCAAATCCATCTTCCATGCTGCAGCCAGAATGATATTTTCTTTGGTTTTTTCTTTGTTTTTTTTTTTTGAGACGGAGTCTCAGTCTGTTGTCCAGGCTGGAGTGCAGTGGCGCGATCTTGGCTCACTGCAACCTCTGCAGTGAGGTTCAAGCGATTCTCCTGCCTCAGCCTCCCAAGTAGTTAGGATTACAGGTGTTCACCACCACGCCTGGCTAATCTTTGTATTTTTAATAGAGACAGGGTTTCCCCATGTTGGCCAGGCTGGTCTCAAACTCCTGAACTCAAGTGATCCTCCTGCCAAAGTGCTGGGATTACAGGCGTGAACCACCACTCCCGGCCTATTGTAGTTTAATTAATATGCCTAAACATTGACTCATTTTAAGCATACAGTTCAGTGAATTTTTTCAAAAAATTATTTATGTAGAGACAGGGTCTTGCTCTGTCACCCAGGCTGGAGTGCAGTGGCGCAATCATAGTTCACTGCAGCCTCAAACTCCTGGCCTCAAACATCTTCCCATTTCAGCCTCCCTAAGTGCTGGAATTACAGGCATGAGCCACCATGCCTGGCCTTCAGTGAGTTTTGGTAGATGTACACGGTTGTGCAAAAGTTTCCTTCTCTTGCCCATGACCCCAGGCAACCACTAATCTGCTTTCTGTCACCTTACTTTTGCCTTCTCTGGATGTTCATATAAATGGAATAACAGTATGCAGTGTTTTGTGTCTGGCTTCTTTTACTTAACACAATGTTTCTGCGTTTGTATCAGTAGTTCTGTTACAGGACAGGGGTCCCGATCCAGACCCCAAGTGAAGGTTCTTGGATCTCGTGCAAGAAAGAATTCAGGGTGAGTCCACAGTGTGAAGTAAAAGCAAGTTTATTAAGAAAGTAAACTGGGCCGGGCACAGTGGCTCACACCTGTAATCCTAGCACTTTGGGAGGCTGAGGTGGGCGGATCACCTGAGGTCAGGAGTTCAAGACCAGCCTGGCCAACATGGCGAAACCCTATCTTTACTAAAAATACAAAAATTAGCTGGGCGAGATGGTTGGGGCCTATAATGTCAGCTACTTGGGAGGCTGAGGCAGGAGACTCACTTGAACCTGGGAGGCAGAGGTTACAGTGAGCTGAGATCATGCCATTGCACTCCAGCCTGGGCTACAGAGTGAGACTCCGTCTCAAAAAAAAAAAAAAAAAAAAGTAAACTGGTGAAAGTACAGCTACTCCATAGACAGAGTAGGACATTCCTGAAAGTAAGAAGGGGAAGGCATCCACCTTATGTACAAGACTCATATATATGGGGAGATGTGCTCTGCTACAAGGGTTTGTGATAAAGGATTTTTTTTTTTTTTTTTTTTGAGATGGAGTCTCGCTCTGTCGCCCAGGCTGGAGTGCTGTGGCACGATCTTGGCTCACTGCAACCTCCGCCTCCTGGGTCCCAATTTAAGCAATTCTCCTGCCTCAGCCTCCTGAGTAGCTGGGATTACAGGAACACGCCACTATGCCCAGCTAATTTTTGTATTTTTAGTAGAGATGGGGTTTCACCATGTTGGCCAGGCTGGCCTTGAACTCCTGACCTCGTGATCCGCCTGCCTTGACCTCCCAAAGTGCTGGGATTACAGGCATAAGCCACTGCGCCCGGCTAATTTTCTTAATTACTATATTTAGCAAGAATCAATATTGTTATCTTTAAAGCAAAATTAGGAATGCTTTGTTCTCCATATATTGGGATATCTGGACACTCCCAAGTCTGGGTCTGTTTAGTAAACATTATATTATTATTATTTGAGATGGAGTTTTGCTCTTGTTGCCCGGGTGGGAGTGCAGTGGTGCTCTCTCAACTCACTGCAGCCTCTGCCTCCCAGGTTCAAGTGATTCTTCTGCCTCAGCCTCCTGAGTAGTTGGGATTACAGGTGTGTGCTACCATGCCCGGCTAATTTTTTTTTTTTTTTTTTGAGACGGTGTCTCACACGGTTGCCCAGGCTGGAGTGCAGTGGCACAATCTCGGCTCACTGCAGCCTCTGCCCCCTGGGTTCAAGCAGTTCTCTGCCTCAACCTCCCGAGTAGCTGGGATTGCAGACGCCCACCACCACGTCTGGCTAATTTTTTGTGTGTGTTTTTAGTAGAGATGGGTTTTCACCATCTTGGCCAGGCTGGTCTTGAACTCCTGACCTTGTGATCCACCCGCCTCGCCCTCCCAAAGTGTTGGGATTACAGGCGTGAGCCACTGCGCCCGGCCTAGTAAACGTTATTGTTTCCTTAACCATAAACATGTCGAGTCTAGGAATGCCTTACTTTCTGTAATTCAGTCCAGCAAGTCCCAGCCTTATTTTCCTAACCGTCACTCAAGATGGAGTCACTCTGGTCCGAACGTCTCTGACAGTTCATTCCTTTTTCTTGTTAAGCTATTCCCGTTGTATGAATAGATTATGCCCCTGTTGATGGACATGTGGATTCTTTTCATTTTTGGGCTATTATGAATAATGCATTTATGAACATTCATATACAGGTTTTTGTTTGGACACGTTTTCATTTCTCATTGGTGGTTACCTAGGAGTGGAATTGCTGGGTCATATGGGAAGTGTATATTTAATTTTTATTTATTTAGTTTTTTTGTAGAGATGAGTCTTGCTTTGTTGCCCAGGCTGATCTTGAACTCCTGGGCTGAAGTGATCCTCCCACCTCAGCTTCCCAAAGGGCTAGGATTACAGGCATGAGCCACTGTGCCTGGCCAAAAACACAATTTTTAAAATGGACAAAAGAGCTGGGTGCAGTGGCTCACACCTGTAGTCCTAGCATTTTGGGAGGATGAGGTGGGAGGATTGCTTGAGTTCAGGAGTTCCAGACTAGCCTGGACAACATAGCGATAACTCATCTCTACAAATATAAAAATTAAAATGACACTGGGCATGGTGGCTCACCCCTGTAATCCCAGCACGGTGGGAGGCTGAGGCGGGCAGATCACTTGAGGTCAGGAGTTCAAGACCAGCCTGGCCAACCTGCTGAAAGCCCATCTCTACCAAAAATACAAAAAATTAGCCGGGTGTGGTGGCACGTGCCTGTTATCCCAGCTACTTGGGAGGCTGAGGCACAAGAATCGCTTGGACCCCGGAAGTGGAGGTTGCAGTGAGCCGAGATCCCGCCACTACACTCCAGCTCCAGCCTGGGTGACAGAGCAAGCGTCTGTCTCCAAAAAAAGAAAGAAAGAAAAAAAAAAAGAGTTCTTTACATGGATACAAGTCCTTTGGCAGATAGATGCTTTGTAAATATTTTCATTCAACCTGTGGCTTGCCTTTTCACTTCAGAGGTGCAATTTACAATGCGTATCACTCTCTAGATAAGCTCCACGAGGGAAGGGAGTAAGTCTGCCTTTCCCTGAAACCTGGTAAAATGCCAGGCACATACATGTTCAATAATATCTTGTTGAGGGAATTAAATGCCTGCAACCTGAAGTTCCTGTCCGCCAGGGGAAACCAAGCTTAAGGTTCTGAAACACGAGGCACCTAATATGGGGGGGGGGGGGGGGTTAAAGCCAATTATGGGTATTCGGACTCGAAATAGTTTCTAACAAGGCGTTTTGGGGTTGGGGGATGCTCTCCCCACGAGATTCCAGGATTTCAGTAGAGGGCCTTTAAGGGCTGGTTGAAAGATGGGTCTTGAAGCTGTATTTGCACAGAACTATACTAATTTTACTTAGAGTGCTTTATTAGATGTAGCTTGGAGATTATAGGGTGCCACTAAAGAACCACTCCCAAGTTATCCCTTTGACCCTAGTCCTGCAGCTGGGAGTCTCCTTAGGCTAGGAGCTCCTGCCTGCCCTACAAAAGCCCACCGGAGGGCGCAAGGGCTCCAATCCCGATTGGAGTGAGGAAAAATATGCTCCAGGAGCGGCGGGTGGAGACGCTTCCTTTAATAGGTATTTAAGTGTCCACGGTGAAGGCTCAGGAGTTTACAAGGCTAGCAGGGTTGGGGAATCTCAACAAAGGGCGGGGCGTTGCTCAAGCTCCATCCGTCCGTCCGTCCATCCCTCCGTCCCTCCAATCCTCCATCCATCGCGCTGCTCAAGCTCCATCCATCCATTTATCCATCCATCCATCCATCCTTTATTGAGAGTAAAAAGCCGCCAACCAGACCCTGGGAGGAAGACAGGATGGTTCCCGAGAACTAGGGCTGCTCCTTGGCTTTTAGAGGTATCTACTACTTCCAAAACCTTTTGAGACCCCATTATCCCGTTTGATGAAGATGGAGTCTGCCACGTGGGGGTTCCAGATAAGACAGCTGAGATTCGGAAGGGCAGGCGACTCCACCTAGTCACGGGGACGCTCTTTTTGACGCTCCAGGGACCGCAGGGTCTGGGAAAGTTCCTGGTTACTCCGGCGACCGGCCGGCCGTCACATGACATGTGAGCCCGGGCGGAACGCCCAAGAGGCTTCCGTAGTCGGGTGGCAGGTCACGTGTCGAAGGCTTGCCCGCGGGGACCCCTTCCACCCTGGCTCCCGCGTCACATGACCGGCTTTAAGCAACATGGCGGCTGCCGTGGTGCAGCGCCCGGGCTGAGCGACAGCAAGTGCAGCGGGCTCCTACCCCGGGTGAGGGGTGGCCTCCGCGTGGGATCGTGCCCTCTTCAGCCCGCTCCTGTCCCCGACATCACGTGTATTCCGCACGTCCCCTCCGCGCTGTGTGTCTACTGAGACGGGGAGGCGTGACAGGGCCCGGGTCCCTTCTCAGTGGTGCTCTGTGCTTCAGGGCAAGCTCCCCGTCTCCGGGCGCACTTCCCTCGCCTGTGTTCGGTCCATCCTCCTTTCTCCAGCCTCCTCCCCTCGCAGGTGGGATCGTCGGTGGGACCGGAGCGCGGGCGGGCGCGGCCCCCCGGGACCATGGCCGGGTCCGACACCGCGCCCTTCCTCAGCCAGGCGGATGACCCGGACGACGGGCCAGTGCCTGGCACCCCGGGGTTGCCAGGGTCCACGGGGAACCCGAAGTCCGAGGAGCCCGAGGTCCCGGACCAGGAGGGGCTGCAGCGCATCACCGGCCTGTCTCCCGGCCGTTCGGCTCTCATAGTGGCGGTGCTGTGCTACATCAATCTCCTGAACTACATGGACCGCTTCACCGTGGCTGGTAGGGACTCACTTCTGGGAGGAAGATAGTCTAGGAGAGGGGAGCCAGGGTCCCGAGGGTGGCGCTGCTTTGCCGGACCATCCTGAATTTTCTCCTCAGGCGTCCTTCCCGACATCGAGCAGTTCTTCAACATCGGGGACAGTAGCTCTGGGCTCATCCAGACCGGTGAGTGGGGACCACTCCTGGTCACACAGCCGCTCCTCCTTCTGTTCTGTCTCAAGTGGGGCCACGCGCTGGCCTGTCTAGGGGCTCATTAATGGAGGTTTTGTGGCCAGTTAGGGGAGGTGATGGCCCTGATGTTGCTCGGGGGTCAGCGGGACACCACATTTAAAGAGGGAGTCAGTTTAGTATAACTAAGTATAACTTCACCCAGGTGAAGACAGACCTGGGTTTAAATCTCAGCTCTTCCACTTATTGTGTGATGGTAGGCAAGGCACTCAACCTCTCTAAGCCTCATTTTCCTTGTCTATAAGATGGAACAAGTAATAACACGAATCATCTCTTAGGACTGATGTGAAGATTAACTAAAAGATTGTCTGTGAAGGGCCTAGTGCAGTGTTTGGCACATGGTAGACACCCAGTAAATAATGGCAGGAGGGTTGGGTGTGGTGACTCACGCCTGTAGTCCCAGCACTTTGGGAGGCCAAGATGAGTGGATCACTTGAAGTTAGGAGTTCAAGACCAGCCTGGTCAACATGACGAAACCCCATCTGTACTAAAAATACAAAAATTAGCCAGGCATGGTAGCGAGCGCCTGTAATCCCAGGTACTTGGGAGGCTGAGGCATGAGAGTTACTTGAACCCGGGAGGCAGAGGTTGCAGTGAGCCGAGATCGCACCACTGCACTCCAGCCTGGGTGACAGAGCGAGACTCCATCTCATAAATAAATAAATAAGTAAAGGCAGGAGAGGGTGTCTGGAATGGGGAGAGGTGTGTTTTACTTGTTCACAACTTTGGGACTTGTGGGAGAGGCAAAGCTAGAGCCAAGCCCTTTTTCTTCCTTCCATCCTTCATTCATTTCTCAACCATTTCTGAGTACTCATTGTGTGCCAGGCCTGGAGGAAGTGATGATTACACCTGTAGGACTTTGCGAAGAACTTTTATGCCCCTTGTCTTCTAATCCTTCTATCAGTCAAAAATAGGTGTTACTGTTCCTATTTTATAGAGGAAGTAGGTAGTGATATCTACAGCTTATAAAGAAACTGAGGCTTGGAGAAGAGTTAAGACTTGCCCAGGGTCACACCACCAGTTGGAGGCGGAACAGGAATTTGAAACCAGGTCTTGCAGTGTTCTTTTCTCTACTCCAGGCCAATGAGGAACTGGAGGTATTTGAGGTGAAGTCTGGAGCAATGAGAATGGGATCATAGGGCAAGGTCTTCAAACCTCTGAAGAGTTGTTGAGTTAGAGCAGCAGCTCTTTCTAGGCAGCCGGATTTATTCACTCTCTTCACATGCTTATTGAGCACCTGTTTTGCACTAGGCTGTGTGTTAAGTAAGTGAAAGAAACACAGTCATGGCCAATACAGGCAAGGACCTTGCCTTGGGAGCTGATAGTACGCTATGCATGAGGCAGCAACAGCCAGTAAAACGCTAAACTAAAGTGGGACAGTTTTCCCATAGGGATAAGTGTTATGTAACAGAAAACAGTCCAGGCGCTGTGGCTCACACCTGTAATCCCAGCACTTTGGGAGGCCGAGGCGGGTGGATCACGAGATCAGGAGATTGAGACCATCCTGGCTAACATGGTGAAACCCCATCTCTACTAAAAATACAAAAATTAGCTGGGCGTGGTGGCACGCCCCTGTAGTCCCAGCTGCTTGGGAGGCTGAGGCAGAATTGCTTGAACCTGGGAGGCGGAGGTTGCAGTGAGCTGAGATCGCGCCACAGCACTCCAACCTGACAACAGAGCGAGACTTCGTTTAAAAAAAAAAAAAAAAAAAAAGAGAAAAAAGTAAATGTGAGAGTCAGGTACTGGATGTGTGCTCACCTGGGCAGCATGCTTCACCCTTGGCCCTGGGCAAGTATCTGAGCTGGAACCTGAAGGAACTATGCTCTGTGAAGTTTCAGGGGGAGAGGAGAGAATGTCCTTGATAGAGGAGGCAGTAGGTGCCTAAACCCCTAGTGGTATTGGCCTTGACAATTGGGCCATTGGGATGCAGACAGAGGAAGGGAAAAAGGCTGGCCATGAGTGTGGAGAGGTAGGCAGGGCCTAGATTGGACAGGGGCATTGTGAGCCATGGTATGCATGGAGTTTGGAGCTTGTTTTGGCTAGGTGGAAGGAATTGACAAGTAGTGGGACCATCCATTATACAATGGGAAATCTGGAAAGGTGTTCAAGATGGAGCTGGACCATCCGCCTGACAGGAAGCTCTGATGGGCTTCAGGCTGGGATGTGGGGGTGTTGTGAATTCTGTAAGGAGAAGGCAGGCATCTCCTGTGCTTTAGTGGTTCCAGCTGGGGTGGGAGTGGGAGGTAGGGGTACCTGGGCTGAGCTGTGACTCTCTGCTTCCCCCTAGTGTTCATCTCCAGTTACATGGTGTTGGCACCTGTGTTTGGCTACCTGGGTGACAGGTACAATCGGAAGTATCTCATGTGCGGGGGCATTGCCTTCTGGTCCCTGGTGACACTGGGGTCATCCTTCATCCCCGGAGAGGTGAGGCCCCAAGCTGGCTCCTGTTTCTGCCCACACCCCCTCCCTGTCAGTCTCTGCTGCTGCTCCTTGGAGCTATGGCAGACTGGGCCTCAGGGACTCCTGCAGTTTCCCTGGTCCATGCCATTTTATACCCCTCCTTGCCTGAGTTAACCTGCCCCACCCCATCCTCCCCTTTTCTTCCAGAGCATTCTCTGTCCATTATCCCCTCTTCCCCTGACCACTGACTCCTTCTACTCCATACCTAAACACTCCAAACCCTACCTGGCCTGCCCTCTCTCCCTCCTCTCATTCCTGATCAGACTTCCTGAAGGGCCCCTAGAGCGTGGTGCCAGTGTGGGTAAAAGAGCAGCCGGGGAGATGCCATCACTCTGCCTGCACTTCCTCACGCCTGCTCACCCCTCGAGCGCTGCCACTGACTTCTGCTCCCACCACTCCACGGACCCTGCTCTTGCCAAAGTTAACAGTGGCCTCCTAGTTGCTAAACACAGCTCCAACTTCCTGGTCCTGTTCATGCTAGGAGCCTCTGGCACTGTTGACCCACTCTTCCTTCCTGAAACTCTCTCCTACCTTTGCGATGCCACACTCTTCTGGCTTTCCTCCTGCCTCCCTGGCTGTTGCTTCTTTGTTCCTTTGAAGCCTCCTCTGTCTGTTCTCACTCCACCCCAGAACTCTGTCCTCAGCCCCAGGACCTACGTACTTTCCTTGGGTGACTGTACCCGTCCTTAGCTTCAGGTGCCTTTGGTAGACACATAAACTCCCATCTAAGGTCACTTATTCATTAAAAAAAAAAAATTAAAAAACTTTCCCCTACCAGGCAAGCAGGGGTTGTCTTATTTAGACCTTTTATTGTCTAGTCCTTGCAATAGCTCTGTGAAAAGTTGTTGTTATCCTCCTTTTGCAGATGAGGAAACTGAGGCTCAGAGAGGTTAAGTTATTTTCCCCAAATCGCAGCTAGTAAGTGGTGGAGCCAGGATGCAAGCTCAGGTCTGTGTGATTCTAAAACCCAGGCATCTCCCGCCATCCCTGCTGCCTCTTGGGAGCGGGCTGGTGAGGTAGCCCGGAGGCTGGTTGCAGGCTGGGGTGCCACCTCTCCCCGGTCTCTCTCCCCAGCATTTCTGGCTGCTCCTCCTGACCCGGGGCCTGGTGGGGGTCGGGGAGGCCAGTTATTCCACCATCGCGCCCACTCTCATTGCCGACCTCTTTGTGGCCGACCAGCGGAGCCGGATGCTCAGCATCTTCTACTTTGCCATTCCGGTGGGCAGGTGAGTGGGCCTGGGGCCTGGGGGAAGGCAGAAGGGCCTGGTGTGGGGGACTGGACTGACTGGCTGTCCCCCCTTTTTCCCCTCTCTCCCTCCCACAGTGGTCTGGGCTACATTGCAGGCTCCAAAGTGAAGGATATGGCTGGAGACTGGCACTGGGCTCTGAGGGTGAGTCTGGTCTTGGCCTGGGGGTAGGTCAGCGACGTTCTCACTGATCCCTGTTTCCTACCTTTGGACCCCTTCCCACCGCCCATTTTTCTTTTAAGAGACAGGGTCTTGTTGTGTCACCCAGGCTGCAGTGCAGTGGTGCAGTCATAGCTCACTGTAGCCTGGAACGCCTGAGCTCAAGTGATCCTCCCACCTCAGCCTCCCAAGTAGCTGGGACTATAGGTGCCCGCCACCATGCCTGGCTAATTAAAAAAACTTTTTCTTTTTGTAGGCTGGGTGTGGTGGCTAACACCTGTATCCCAGCATTTTGGGAGGCTGAGGCAGGTGGATCACTTGAGGTCAGGAATTCAAGACCAGCCTGGCCAACATGGTGAAACCCTGTCTCTACTAAAAATACAAAAATTAGCTGGGCGTGGTGGTGCATGCCTGTAATCCCAGCTACTCGGGGGGCTGAGGTAGGAGAATCACTTGAACCCAGGAGGCGGAGGTTGCAGCAAGCTGAGATTGTGCCACTGCACTCTAGCCTGGGCGACAGTGCGAGACTCCTTCTCAAAAAAAAAAAAAAAAAATTTTGCCAGGCATGATGGCTCACGCCTATAATCCCAGCACTTTGGGAGGCTGAGGTGGGCGGATCACCTGAGGTCAGGAGTTCTAGGCCAGCTTGACCAACATGGTGAAACCCTGTCTCTACTAAAAATACATAATTAGCCAGGCATGGTGACGCATGCCTGTAATCTCAGCTACTCGGGAGGCTGAGGCAGGAGAATCGCTTGAACCCGGGAGGCAGAGGTTGCAGTGAGCAGAGATCGTGCCATTGCACACACAAAATTTTTTTTTTTTGTAGAGATGGGGTCTTTGTATGTTGCCCAGGTTGGTTTTGAACTCCTGGCCTCAAGCAATCCTCTTGCCTTGGCCTCCTAAAGTGCTGGGCTTACGGGTGTGAGCCATGCGCCTGGCTCCAAATACCCCTTTTTTGGGGCAGCTCTCATTCTGCTGAGCCTGCAGGAGACTGGCTGCCCTCACCTGGAAGCCATGTGCTAGACAGAATTCTTGCGTGCAGGTGACAGAAGCCCATTGTAAAACTGTAAGCCCCCTAGAGGCCGGGTGCGGTGGCTCACACCTGTAATTCCAGCACTTTGGGAGGCCAAGGTGGGTGGATCACAAGGTCAGGAGATTGAGACCACCCTGGCTAACACAGTGAAATCCCGTCTCTACTAAAAATACAAAAAAAAATTAGCTGGGCGTGGTGGCAGGTGCCTGTAGTCCCAGCTACTCAGGAGGCCGAGGCAGGAGAATGGCGTGAACCCAGTAGGCGGAGGTTGCAGTGAGCCGAGATCGCACCACTGCACTCCAGCCTGGGTGACAGAGTGAGACTCTGTCTCGAAAACAAACAAACAAACAAACAAACAAACCGTAAGCCCCCTAAAGGGGCTGTCTTGGCTTTCTTCCTGAAAGTCCCAGGTGAGCTTCAGTCAGGTAAAGCTGGATCCAGGGCTCCCACACTGCCCTTCTCTTCTGAGCTTTACTTTCCTTTGTGTTAACATCATTCTTAAGGACGTGAGAACTCCAGATGATTACCTTTCCATTTAGCAACATTGGCACCTTGGACCCTGGGGCCGTGTTTCCAGGATAGCGTCTGACTAGATGAACATGCATCACGTGCCCTCTGCGGAATCCGTCACCGAGGCTGGGGTGGTTAACAGTCCTCTTGTTGGCCAAGCCTGGGATCCTATTTAAACCAAGTGGATTGAGAGAAGTAGGGGTACTGGTTTCCCAAAAGAAAATTACCAAAGAGGAGACAAAGCTAGGCTTGCAAAAATAGGGTGGCCCCTAGTGGCAGCCCCCTTCCCCCAGATTGCAGGTTCGGCTTCTTGGAGCAGGCACTTAACTGGGTATTTTAGGTCTCAGGCTGGAGTTATCTGTACCCCACACTCTCCTCCAGCCCAGGGCTTGAGTGTGTCTCTCCCTGTGCCTATCCTGAAGCCCTCTGTCTCCCAGGTGACACCGGGTCTAGGAGTGGTGGCCGTTCTGCTGCTGTTCCTGGTAGTGCGGGAGCCGCCAAGGGGAGCCGTGGAGCGCCACTCAGATTTGCCACCCCTGAACCCCACCTCGTGGTGGGCAGATCTGAGGGCTCTGGCAAGAAAGTGAGTTTATTCCCACCCTAGACCACCATCTGAGGCCCCCTGGCGTCTGGTTTGAGGTTTAAGTGGGGATGTTCCTGTTCCTGGCCACACCCCAAGGCCAGTAATTCGGTCGATACTGTCCCCTTGTGGCAGCTGCTTGAATTACAGGCCCAGATCCTGGGAGCCAGAACCACCTCTGCACGGTGTTGTGACCTTACTAAAATAAGCCAGGAAGGGAGAAGAGAGGTCCCCTCCTGCCTCGACACCTCCGTGGGGTCTTACTCTCTCCCTCCCAACTATCTGCAGTCCTAGTTTCGTCCTGTCTTCCCTGGGCTTCACTGCTGTGGCCTTTGTCACGGGCTCCCTGGCTCTGTGGGCTCCGGCATTCCTGCTGCGTTCCCGCGTGGTCCTTGGGGAGACCCCACCCTGCCTTCCCGGAGACTCCTGCTCTTCCTCTGACAGGTGCCCAGATGGGGCTATGCTGGGGGGCCTGCGGGTGGCAGGGCTGGAGTGAAGAGCATCTGTGGCTCAGACCCAGGCAGGGAGTTTGACTCCTGACTTCACAAGCTGCCTGCTCTCCTGGAATCTCCGTTTCCTGGTCTGGGAAATAAGTGATGGGATGATGTCTGCCACTCAGGGCTGTGCCAACCATGGGGTGCTGTGTCTGTAGGGACCTTGGTTGTGAGGGTGGCTAGGATGGACAGCGTAGGGGCCTTGGCAGGCACAGGGACAAACCCCCCATTCCCTTCCCTCACCCCTAGTCTCATCTTTGGACTCATCACCTGCCTGACCGGAGTCCTGGGTGTGGGCCTGGGTGTGGAGATCAGCCGCCGGCTCCGCCACTCCAACCCCCGGGCTGATCCCCTGGTCTGTGCCACTGGCCTCCTGGGCTCTGCACCCTTCCTCTTCCTGTCCCTTGCCTGCGCCCGTGGTAGCATCGTGGCCACTTATGTGAGTAGCCAGCAGGTGTCAAGGGGGATGGCGTGGGTCCAGGGTGGAGGAGCAGTCAGCGTAATGGCCACTCGAGGTGGAATGCCTGGTTTTGAATCACAGCTCTGGCTCTTCCCAGCTGTGTGACATTGGACAAGTGACTTAACCTCTCTGTGCTCAGTTTCATCATGTGTAAAATGGGGATATTAGTAGCACCTGTCTCACTGGGGTGTGATGAGGATTAAATTAGTTAATAGATGAGCTGGGAACATGGTCAACTTTCCATGTGTTAGCCCTTACTGTCATGAACCCCCGACCCTCTCTTCCCCCAGATTTTCATCTTCATTGGAGAGACCCTCCTGTCCATGAACTGGGCCATCGTGGCCGACATTCTGCTGGTGAGTTGCTGGGCAGCTCCAGGGTCAGCGCAGAGGCTGATGAGAGCAGAGTTGGGGTCAGGAGTGTTGCCTCTACCCCTCAAAGCCCAGCCTCAACCTACCTTCTGCAATAAATAACATCTGTAGCAGACCCCCGGCCTGCCCTGCGACCTCAACCCCAGGCACACCTCTGACCCCGGCCTAGGCGGATCCTTGGTGGTCTCCTGGCCCCCTGCCTCCTGCCCCCTGGAGCCCAGAGCATCCACTGAGCTCCACCAACTCCTCCACAGTACGTGGTGATCCCTACCCGACGCTCCACCGCCGAGGCCTTCCAGATCGTGCTGTCCCACCTGCTGGGTGATGCTGGGAGCCCCTACCTCATTGGCCTGGTGAGCATTATTTCTTGGCTGGCATGGGGTGGCTGGTGTCCTGAGCCTGGGCTGGATCAGAAGGCCTGGCCCTAGTGAAGTGTCTGTGTCCTGCGTGCTGGGCACTTCTCACCTTCCATTGTCAACTGGAGGAGAAAGATTTTGTCTTTGAATATTTCTACCAGTAAGGCCAGGGACCTCACCCTGGTGGTCCAAACTCCTCCTTTCTTTTCTCTTTTCTTTTCTTCCTGAGACAAGACCTCACTCTGTTGCCCAGGCTGCAGTGTAGTGGCACGATCATGGCTCACTGCAGCCTCGACCTCCTGGGCTCAAGCGATCCTCCCACCTCAGCCTCCTGAGTAGCTGGGATGATAGGCATGAGCCACTGCATCTAGCTCAAACCTCCTTCCCTTTCCTGGGCTCCACTTGTCTTTCTCCCTGGAGCTCAGGGGCGTGCCCTCCCTGGTTCATCCATGAGGCTGACTCCCCTGGCTTTCCTGTCTCCTCTCCCTGCAGATCTCTGACCGCCTGCGCCGGAACTGGCCCCCCTCCTTCTTGTCCGAGTTCCGGGCTCTGCAGTTCTCGCTCATGCTCTGCGCGTTTGTTGGGGCACTGGGCGGCGCAGCCTTCCTGGGCACCGCCATCTTCATTGAGGCCGACCGCCGGCGGGCACAGCTGCACGTGCAGGGTCAGTTAGGAGCTGTGCCCGGCCCAGCTTCTTGATCTGCCTGTCTGTCTGTCCATCTGTCTGCCCACTCCTGTGCACCTGGCAGCTCAGTCCACAGCCCTCCCCTTGTTTGGCCTCCAGTCTGTCTGCATCCACCCCTGGGGTGGCTCTGTGGCTGCCCCATCCATTTCCCGCTGCCTGTTTGCCCTTCTCTGGCTTTGTCTGTCTGTCCATCCAGCTCACCCTGGCTCTGACCCTCCCCCCTCAGGCCTGCTGCACGAAGCAGGGTCCACAGACGACCGGATTGTGGTGCCCCAGCGGGGCCGCTCCACCCGCGTGCCCGTGGCCAGTGTGCTCATCTGAGAGGCTGCCGCTCACCTACCTGCACATCTGCCACAGCTGGCCCTGGGCCCACCCCACGAAGGGCCTGGGCCTAACCCCTTGGCCTGGCCCAGCTTCCAGAGGGACCCTGGGCCGTGTGCCAGCTCCCAGACACTACCTGGGTAGCTCAGGGGAGGAGGTGGGGGTCCAGGAGGGGGATCCCTCTCCACAGGGGCAGCCCCAAGGGCTCGGTGCTATTTGTAACGGAATAAAATTTGTAGCCAGACCCCAGGTGCCTGCTCTCGTCTTTCTCTGGGTGGCCTCTGATCTTGCACCCCGTCTTCACCCCAGGGCTCCTGAAGACTGTGGGTCATTCCTCAGGGCTCTGGGTGAGTCTCTGCCCTTCTGGGCTGGGCGACTGAGATGGGGGACTGCTCTTCTCCGAGTGAGCTGGCTGAGTGTGACCGTGAGTCACGCCCCTGCTTCCCTGGAGCCTGTCCCTTGCCTCACAGGCCTGGCTGAGGTGGGGGTGGGCACTGCCCTTTGTACCCCAGAATTCCCACTGTCAGGGCCTCCCTGCTCGCTGCCTCCCCGGGTCCTGGATATGGAGGCCACGGCTGCCAGCTGGCAGGTGGCTGTCCCCGTCTTGGGGGGGGCCAGCAGACCCTTGGTGAGTGCCTGGGGTGGCTCCCGGGCCTCCTCCTGCCCCCTCCCCACTGGCGGGTGGGGTGGGAAGGGGGCGGGTGCAGCCGGCTGAGAGCTTGATGATTTCCTGCCCTCGCCCGGCGCTCACCACAGCTTCCTGCCGCAGGCGGGCGGGAGGGCGGGCACGGAGAGGCGGGCGCCGAGGAGGGGCAGGTAGGGCTGGGACGCAGGGGTAACTGGATCCCCCGACTTCAGCCCAGGCCCTGGTCTGACCACCCTGGGAGCAGGGACTTTCCACAGTCAGCTGGACGCACACTCAGCCCAGTAAAAGAGGGGACCCATCCCGGGAGCCCCGGGGAGGGCACAGCTGCCTCCTCCCGGGCTCCCCTGCCACCTGGTGCCTACCTGCCCCCTGCTCCCTGCCGGGTCCGGTCCTCACCCCATCTTCATCTGGCCTTGACTCTGCCCTTGAGGGGCCTAGGGGTGCAGCCAGCCTGCTCCGAGCTCCCCTGCAGATGGAGGAGGCCATCCTGGTCCCCTGCGTGCTGGGGCTCCTGCTGCTGCCCATCCTGGCCATGTTGATGGCACTGTGTGTGCACTGCCACAGACTGCCAGGTGAGTGGGAAACTGGTGGGGGTACCCAGGGCCCAGGGACACCGACGGGATCCTCATCCACTCCCAGCCCCTGTGTCTGTCCTGGCTCTGTCCCTGCCTCCGTCCTGATCCCAGCGCCTCTGAGAGTCCCTGGATCCCAGCACCTTCTGCCCTAAGCACCCCCTGTTCCTGCCTCACCAGCCCTCTCTTTCCCAGGCTCCTACGACAGCACATCCTCAGATAGGTGAGTCCGCCCCAGCCGCCCTGGGTCTCCCTCCACACCCCATGGCGGGGCAGGGCTGGGGCTTCCATCCTCCATCTTCCAGCCCCATCCCCAAGCTGTGTCTCCTTTACCAGTTTGTATCCAAGGGGCATCCAGTTCAAACGGCCTCGTGAGTACAAGGAGGGTCCCCTACCTTGGGTGCCAGGGAGAGGGTCCCCTGGTGTGGGAGTGAGCGTGAACCTTCAGACTTCCCCTGCCACCTTGGGGCTGCCCACATGGCCTTGACCTGAGCTGGGAGAGGGGAGATGGCTCCCCCAGGCCTGTCCAGGGTGTGGGGCTTTCAGGGGCTTAGTCTGTTCTTTGAGGCCTTGACGATGTCCGGAGTCCTTCTTTCAACTTGGTTCTGTGTCCTCAGACACGGTTGCCCCCTGGCCACCTGCCTACCCACCTGTCACCTCCTACCCACCCCTGAGCCAGCCAGACCTGCTCCCCATCCCGTGAGTAGCTGCTCAGCCCCTGCCCCTCCAAAGCTCAGCCCCTCCCCCTCCAAACTCCACTCTCTACCCCTTCACTTTTTTGGATTGGGGGCCCCTTTCCCTTTTGCAACTGCTGTTGCCCCCTGAGCCCCACCTCAGGCATGACCCCTGACCTTTGACTCCCAGAAGATCCCCGCAGCCCCTTGGGGGCTCCCACCGGACGCCATCTTCCCGGCGGGATTCTGATGGTGGTAAGTGTGGGGAAGGGTTCAGGCGGCGGGGGCTGGGAAGAAGATAGGCCTGGCCTGAGCTGACTTAGTCTCCCTCTCACCCTCTCTTTGAAGCCAACAGTGTGGCGAGCTACGAGAACGAGGGTGCGTCTGGGATCCGAGGTGCCCAGGCTGGGTGGGGAGTCTGGGGTCCGTCCTGGACTAGGCTGACCCCTGTGTCGTTACCCCCAGAACCAGCCTGTGAGGATGCGGATGAGGATGAGGACGACTATCACAACCCAGGCTACCTGTGAGTGGCCAGGTGGGAGGTGGGAGGTGAGGGCTGAGGCTGTGCGTCCCCCCTTGCTCACCGGCCCTTTTCACTTCCTTTCAGGGTGGTGCTTCCTGACAGCACCCCGGCCACTAGCACTGCTGCCCCATCAGCTCCTGCACTCAGCACCCCTGGCATCCGAGACAGTGCCTTCTCCAGTGAGTCAGGCATTTGTTTTTATTTTTAAATTTTTTTAGGGATAGGCTGGAGTGCAGTGGTGCCATTGTAGCTCGCTGCAGCCTTGAACTCCTGGGCTCCAGTGATCCTCCCAAGTAGGCTACTCGGCCTCAGCCTCCCAAGTAGCTGAGACCACAGGCGCATGCCACCACACCTAGCTTATTTAAAAAATTTTTTTTGTAGAGATGGTCTCACTATGTTGCCCAGGCTGGCCTTAAACTCCTGGGCTCAAGTGATCCTCCCACCTCGGGCTCCCAAAGTGCTTGGGATTATAGGCGTGAGCCACCATGCCCGGCCCTGTTCTTCTGATTTTCTCAGCTTTCTCTCTCTTCTTTCCTATCTCTGTGTCCTTTCCTTTATCATCTGGGAGATTTCCTTGTCTGTATTCTTCAACCCTTCCACTGCAATTTTATTTCTCCTATCCAGAAGCTCTTTCTCGTTCTCTGGCTGTTCTTTTTTTATAGCCTCCTGTTCTTGTTTCATGGATGAAACATCTCTAAGGATGTTAATTAGAGGCTGTCTTGTGTGTCTGTGTGTGTCAGTTTTCTTCTGCTTCCTGCACTGCCCTGTTTCCTTTGAGCTGGTTTTCTCCCTTCCTCATGGTCTCATCCTGCCTGGTCACATCCTCTGGGCTTTCCTCAATGTCCGGGATTCTTTAGTTTTCTGTTGCTTTGCTCTCTCTGTATATACTTGTCCTGGGCTATCACTTCTATACCCTGGCTTTGTTTGCCATCCAGATTCCCAGTTTGCTCTCTCCTGAGCTCCAGACTGTATCCAAGTACTTCTTTTCTTTCATTCATTCATTCATTCATTCATTCAGCATTTACTATGTGCCTCTGCTGGGCTAATGCTGTGGATATAACAGTTAAGGAGGCAGACTGTCCTGATAAAATAGCTGGCTGGGCATGGTGGCTCACTCCTGTAATCCTAGCACTTTGGGAGGCCGAGGCGGGAGGATTGCTTGAGCCCAGGAGTTCAAGACCAGCCTGAGCAACATGGCGAAACCTCATCTTTAAAAAAAAAAAAAAAATTAGCCAAGCGTGGTGGCACATGCCTGTAGTCCCAGCTGCTCAGGAGGCTGAAATGGGCGGATCATCTGAACCCCGCAGGCGGAAGTTGCAGTGAGACGAGATCATGCCACTGCACTCCAGCCTGGGTGACAGAGTGAGACCTTGTGTTAAAAAAAAAAAAAAAAGATAAAATAGCTAAGATTCACCGAGGGCCTCCTGCATGCCTTGCTAAGAGTCTGACATGTGTTCACTCACTAATCTGACTGCCCTGGGGCTCCCGGGCCTGCCCGCGCCCTCCTGTGCTCCAGTTGTCCCTTTTGTGGGATACAGGGTTTATCTGTTTAACAGCACTGCTGTGTGACAGGCCCTATTTTACAGAGGAGAAAACTGAGGCACAGAGAGGTAAGGTCCCTTGGCTGAGGTTATGTGGTTGGTTAGTGCTGGAGCTGGGATTGAACCGGGGCGGTCTTCAAAAACAAACAAGAAACACATAAAAGAACCAAATAGGCCGGGCACGGTGGCTCACACCTGTAATCCCAGCACTTTGGGAGGCCAAGGTGGGGGGATCACCTGAGGTCAGGAGTTCGAGACTGACCTGGCCAACATGGCGAAACCCAGTCTCTACTAAAAATACCAAAATTAGCAGGGCGTGGTGGCGGGCACCTGTAATCCCAGCTACTCAGGAGGCTGAGGCAGGAGAATTGCTAGAACCGGGAGGCAGAGGTTGCAGTGGGCCAAGATCACCCCACTGCCCTCCAGCCCTCTAGGTGACAGAGGGAGACTCCATCTCAAAAATAAATAAATAAACAAAATAAAAGAACCAAATAACCAGGCGTGGTAGCTGATGCCTGTGATCCCAGCACTTTGGGAGGCTGAGGCAGGTGGGTCACTTGAACCCAGGAGTTCAAGACCAGCCTGGGCAGCATAGGGAGACCCTATCTCTACAAAAATTCCAAAATTTAGCCTGGCCTGGTAGGAGCTGAGGTGGGAAGATCATCTGAGCCCAGGAGGTCAAGGTTGCGGTGAGCCGAGATTGCACCACTGCACTCCAGCCTGGGTAACAGAGCGAGACCCTGTCTCAAGAAAAACAAAAACAAACAAAAAGCTCCCAAATAACATGGATGGTGACAGGCGCCATGAAGGGCTGACATGGGAGTGAGACATAGGCAGTGGCTGGCAGGGGGCAGGTGGGGATGGGGGTCGGGGGGAGGAGGTGCCTGCTGGGCCTAGTGTGTCATGTCCCCTCCACACACGCCACCAAACTCCCACTGCTCCGAGCCGCACTACATCCCTGCTCCCCAGCCTAGGGGCTGTGCTGGGGCCTGACCCTTTGTGAGCTCTCCTCAGTCCCAGTCAAGTGGACCTCCTCCCTCCCTCTCCACAGCCCTTGCCCTTGTCCAGGCCACCATCACCATCACCAACACCATCCTTGCCAGCCTGGAGTCCCCTCTCTTCATTCTGTGGGGCTAATGGGGGTGGCTGTGTGGGAAGCCTCTGGGGTCTACCGTTGGGGAGCTCTGCATGGCTGAGGTTGGGGGTTCTCTGGGAACCTGTGGCCAAGGGTCTCTGGTCACAGTGCCGAGGTGGGCCTGGCTTTTCCACAGTGGAGTCCATTGATGATTACGTGAACGTTCCGGAGAGCGGGGAGAGCGCAGAAGCGTCTCTGGGTGAGTGACCGGTGCTTGTCGGTGCCTGCCCCTGCACCCCGCTGCCCCACCATGCTCTCAGTGTGACCAGATCCCACCCTGGGGCTACCCACACCCTCTGCCCCCTCTGTCTGGGCGTCCCCTTGCTCTCTCGCCCTCCTGACCCCTTTGCGTGGCTGCCCCTCCTTCTGATCTGTCCCCACAGATGGCAGCCGGGAGTATGTGAATGTGTCCCAGGAACTGCATCCTGGAGCGGCTAAGACTGAGCCTGGTGTGTTCTGCGGGAGGGGCAGGAGCTGGGGTAGCTGCTTTGGGCTTGGGGGGATAGCTTGCAAGCTGGAGACCAACCTCCCCTCCCTTACAGCCGCCCTGAGTTCCCAGGAGGCAGAGGAAGTGGAGGAAGAGGGGGCTCCAGATTACGAGAATCTGCAGGAGCTGAACTGAGGGCCTGGTGAGAGGCCTGCCCTGTCCCCACCCTGCCCTGGGCCCACAGGCTCTACTCCTTCCCTCCAGGACCCCCTTGCCCAACCCTACCTCTGGCTTGTCCCTCTGTCTCTGGGTACCTGCTGAACCCCGTCAGCCTCCTGATCCGTATCCCTCCCTGCCCTGGTGTGTTTCAGTGGAGGCCGAGTCTGTCCTGGAACCAGGCTTGCCTGGGACGGCTGAGCTGGGCAGCTGGAAGTGGCTCTGGGGTCCTCACATGGCGTCCTGCCCTTGCTCCAGCCTGACAACAGCCTGAGAAATCCCCCCGTAACTTATTATCACTTTGGGGTTCGGCCTGTGTCCCCCGAACGCTCTGCACCTTCTGACGCAGCCTGAGAATGACCTGCCCTGGCCCCAGCCCTACTCTGTGTAATAGAATAAAGGCCTGCGTGTGTCTGTGTTGAGCGTGCGTCTGTGTGTGCCTGTGTGCGAGTCTGAGTCAGAGATTTGGAGATGTCTCTGTGTGTTTGTGTGTATCTGTGGGTCTCCATCCTCCATGGGGGCTCAGCCAGGTGCTGTGACACCCCCCTTCTGAATGAAGCCTTCTGACCTGGGCTGGCACTGCTGGGGGTGAGGACACATTGCCCCATGAGACAGTCCCAGAACACGGCAGCTGCTGGCTGTGACAATGGTTTCACCATCCTTAGACCAAGGGATGGGACCTGATGACCTGGGAGGACTCTCTTAGTTCTTACCTTTTGTGGTTCTCAATAAAACAGAACTTAAAAAATTGTCTAAGTAACTGAAAAAGTTAATATGCAGCACAGCACTTTTGAGACTTTGATGGGTAGGTGACTCACCGGCAGACTTTGCTGTGGGGTGGGTTCTGACTCAGTTCGCCTAGGACGTGGCCTGAGACTTTGCATTTCTGAGCCTCTCCTGTGTGATTCTGATGCTGCTGTTCTGTGAACCTCATCCTGAGGAGCAAGGGCGTGGTGAGCATCTATTGCCTTTACTTGTCCGGGATCCATTTCCCCTTATTTTGGGAATTTCACCTTGGCTTTCCTCTGCAATTCACTCCTTTCCCAATCTCATTCCATGTAGTTTTAGAGATTGTGTGTTTGTTTTTTCTTTTTCCTTTTTTTTTTTTTTCTTTTTTTGAGATGGGGTCTCCCTCTGTCGCCAGGCTGGAGTGCAGTGGCGTGATCTTGGCTCACTGCAACCTCCGCCTCCTGGGTTCAAACAATTCTCCTGCCTCAGCCTCCTGAGTAGCTGGGATTACAGGCCCCCACTACCACACCTGGCTAATTTTTGTATTTTTAGTAGAGATGGGTTTCACCATGTTGGCCGGGCTGGTCTCACACTCCTGACCTCAGGTGATCCCACCCTCCTCGGCCTCCCAAAGCGCTGGGATTACAGGTGTGAGCCACTGCGCCCAGCCTGTTTTTTCTTTTTTGGAAATGAGGTCTCACTCTGTCGCCCGGGCTGGAATGTGGTAGTGCAATCATGCCTCAGTGCAGCCTTGAACTCCTGGGGTCAAGTGATCCTCCCAGCTCAGCTTCCTGAGTAGCTGAGACTACAGACGCATGCCACCATGCCCGGCTAATGTTTTATTTTTTGTAGAGATGGAGGTCTCACTGCGTTGCCCAGGCTGGTCTTGAACTCCTGAGTTCAAGTGATCCTCCTGCCTTGGCCTCCCAAAGTGCTGGGATCACAAGCATGAGCCACTGTGCTCAGTGTCTCCCTGGGATTTAAGGTGAATGATCGCATCTGGCCTGGAGATTGTTGAACACGTGACCCAGACCTGGGCCAAGGTCACCATCCTTTCCCTGCCCATCACGATTGGCTCAGGTATGGGCATGTCACCCGGCCTGGGCCAGTGAGGAGCAGCCCTGGGATCCAGGTGGGAAGTGCTGGGCAGGAGAAGCTCCATCTGTTCGGGGCAGTGATTAAGCTGGACAGATGCAGGCCTGGAGCCACCACTTGGAGAGCCTGCCTAGGAATGAAGCCAACGTGGAGGAGAGAGTGGCCCAGAGAGGGACAGAGCCAGCTTCCTAACGGTGTCATTAGAATTCCTGGAACTGGGCCGGGTGTGGTGGCTTCCGCCTGTAATCTCAGCATTTGGGAGGCAGAGGCGGGTGGATCACCTGAGGTCAGGAGATCAAGACCAGCCTGGACAACATGGCGAACCTTGTCTTTACTAAAAATACAAAAATTAGCCAGGCGTGGTGGCACGCGCCTGTAATCCCAGCTACTCAGGAGGCTGAGGAAGGAGAATCGCTTGAACCTGGGAGATGGAGGTTGCAGTGAGCCGAGATCACGCCTCTGCATTCCAGCCTGAGCAACAGAGCAAGACTCTGTCTCAAAAAAAAAGACTCCTGGATCTGGACATACCTGAAGCGTTGCGTGGGCCAATAAATGGCAGTTTTTCTTCAACCAGCTTTACTTGGGGTATCTGTCACTACAGCCAAAGTTGTTTTGCGATGAAAAGTTGGTGGTGGTTCTCTGTGGACTCCAAAAGTAATAACAGTGGCTCTGTTCAAGGTCAGCCAGGTGCAGTGGTGCATGCGTGTGATAGCGACTCCTCAGGGAGCGCCCATTGCATTGCCATGCTCATTACATGCAGTCATCATGACCCCTCTATTGTCAGTTACAGTTTAGTGTCCCCATTATGCAGGAGAGGAAACACAGGCTCAGAGAGGTGAAGTGACTTGCCCAAGGGCACACAGCTGAAGAGGTACACCTGGGATTAGATCTGTGGCTGTCGGTCCCATCGGGTCACTGCTGCTCTGACTGGCAGCCTCCTCATTCTGATGATGATGATGATGATTTTCTTGAGACGGAGTTTTGCTCTTGTCGCCCAGGCTGGAGTGCAGTGACGCGATCTCGGCTCACTGCAACCTCCGTCTCCTGGGTTCAGATGATTCTCCTGCCTCAGTCTCCCAAGTAGCTGAAATTATTATTATTATTATTTTGAGACAGAGTCTCATTCTGTGGCCCAGGCTGAAATGCAGTGGCACAATCTCGGCTCACAGCAACTTCTGCCTCTCAGGCTCAAGCGATCCTTCTACCTCAGCCCAAGCAGCGGGGACTACAGGCACGCACCACCATGCCCACCTAATTGTATTTTCTGTAGAGGCGGAGTCTCACCGTGTTGCCCAGGCTGGTCTCGAACTCCTGAGCTCAAGCAATCTGCTTGTCTTGGCCTCCAAAAGTGCTCGATTCCATGTGTGAGCCGCTGTCCCCGGCCAGAAACAATCTTCTTTTTTTTTGAGATGGAGTCTTGCTTTGTCGCCCAGGCTGGAGTGCAGTGGCACGATCTCGGCTCACTGCAACCTCCGTCTCCTGGGTTCAAGTGATTCTCTTGCCTCAGCCTCCCAAGTAGCTGGGATTATAGGCGCCCGCCACCACGCCCGGCTAATCTTTGTATTTTTAGTAGAGACAGGGCTTCACCATGTTGGCCAGGCTGGTCACCCACCTCGACCTCTCAAAGTGTTGGGATTGCAGGCGTAAGCCACCATGCCCGTCCTCATTCTGATTATTGTATAAAGTGCTGACTGCCCTGAATGGGGAAGCTCAGAAGAGGCCCAGGTGGAGAAGATGGTGGGAGGGTCTGGGAAGGGGATTGGACAGTCGGGCCATCAACACGTGGAGTTAAATCCTTTTCTTTGGAAGAAATAGACATGAGCAGAGGCACCTTTGTGCCTGGGCTGATAGATGAAGAACAGTTGACCAACAAGGGCTATTAGTGTAACCAATCTAGCAACATCTGGTGAAGCTGAAGCCATGTGTCTCCCTTTACCTAACAAATTCCTGGGTATAAACCTTCACCAACTCCAGGCCAGGCTCAGTGGTTCACACCTGTAATCCCAGCACTTTGGGAGGCCGAGGTGGGCAAATCGCCTGAGGTCAGGAGTTTGGCCAACATGGTGAAACCCTGACTCTACTAAAAATACAAAAATTAGCTGGGCTTGGTGGCGGGTGCCTGTAATCCTGGCTACTCGGGAGGCTGAGGCAGGAGAATTGCTTGAACCCAGGAGGCGGAGGTTGCAGTGAGCCAAGATTGCACCACTGCACTCCAGCCTGGGTGACAGGGTGAGACTCTGTCTCAAAAAAAATTCCTGGTTATAAACCTTTGTTAACTCTAGCACATGAGTCAAAGTGGCAGGTACAAGCAGACTTCCGTCAGGGCAGCATTGTAATGACTGTAGCTGGAGACAGCTTAGACACCCACCGCTTAAGAGCAGACAGAGAAGTCCCAGTGTGGCCAGGCACGGTGGCTCACGCCTGTAATCCCAGCCCTTTGGGAGGCCGAGGTGGGTGGATCACCTGAGGTCAGGAGTTCAAGACCAGCCTGGCCAACATAGTGAAACCCAGTATCTACTAAAAATACAAAAATTAGCTGGGCATGGTGGCGAGAGCCTGTAGTCCCAGCTACTCAGAAGGCTGAGGCAGGAGAATTGCTTGAACCTGGGAGGCAGAGGTTGTAGTGAGCCAAGACTGTGCCTTTGCACTCCAGCCTGGGCGACAAGAGGGAAACTCCATCTCAAAAAAAAAAAAAAAAGAAAGAAAGAAATCGCAGTGCAGTCAGATGACAGCTGCTCAGCAGCCGATAAAATGAAGGAACTGCGGGCCAGGCACAGTGGCTCACGCCTGTAATCCCAGCACTTTGGGAGGCCGAGGAGGGCAGATCACCTGAGGTCAGGAGTTCGAGACCAGCCTGACTAACATGGCAAAACCCCGTCTCTACTAAAATTACAAAAATTAGCTGGACGTGATGGTGCACGCCTGTAATCCTAGCTACTTGGGTGACTGAGGCAGAAGAATCGCTTAAACCTGGGAGGCGAAGGTTGCAGTGAGCTGAGATTGTGCCACTGCACTCCAGCCTGGGTGATAGAGACTCTGTCTCAAAAAAAAAAAAAAAAAAGAAAAAAAAAATGAAGGAACTGCAGCCGGGCTCATCACCACTGATGGATAGCACCAACAGATTGTGGTGATGTCACACACAGCAAACAAAACACGCAAAGCAAGTCATGCATGTAAAGTTAAAAACATGTACATGAGGCAGGGCGTGGTGGCTCACGCCTGTAATCCCAGCATTTTGAGAGGCCAAGGTGAGAGGATCATTTGAGTCCAGAAGTTCAAGACCAGTCTGGGCAACATAGTGAAGCCCTATATATATATATATAGGGTTGAACCCAGGAGGCGGAGGTTGCAGTAAGCCAAGATTGTACCACTGCACTCCAGCCTGGGCAACAGGGTGAGACTCCATCTCAAAAAAAAAAAAAAAAAATTCCTGGTTATAAACCTTTACCAACTCCAGCACATGGGCCAAAGTGGCAGGTACAAGCAGACTCCGGCAGGGCAGCATTGTAATGACTGCAGCTGGAGACAGCTTAGACACCCACCACTTAAGAGCAGACAGAGAAGTTGCAGTGTGGCCGGGCACGGTGGCTCACGCCTGTAATCCCAGCACTTTGGGAGGCCGAGGCGGGTTGTATATATATGTGTGTGTGTGTATATATGTATACACACACACACACAACCATGTACATGATTACGCCACTGCAGTGCAGCCTGGGCAACAGAGACCTGTCTCAAAACAAAACAAAACAAAAAAACCAAACCTATGTACAAATGCTGTATATTGTTCAGGGATGTGCATCGATGTAAAAGTATCAAGACAGCGCCAGGCGCCGTGGCTCACGCCTGTAATCCTAGCACTTCGGGAGGCTGAGGTAGGTGGATCACTTAGGGTCGGGAGTTCGAGACCAGCCTGACCAACATGGAGAAACCCCGTCTGTACTAAAAATACAAAATTAGCCAGGCGTGGTGGTGCATGCCTGTAATCCCAGCTACTCAGGAGGCCGAGGCAGGAGAATTGCTTGAACCCGGGAGGCGGAGGTTGCAGTGAGCTGAGATGGCGCCATTGCACTCCAGCCTGGGCAACAAGAGCAAAACTCTGTCTCAAAAAAAGAAAAAAGTATCAAGACAGGCGTAGGAGTGAGGAATTCCAAATTCAGGACAGTGGTCACCCTGGGTGGAGGCGGAGGCAGGAGACTGGGGAGGAGTTCGAAGAAGGCTTCAGTGAGATGTGCAATGTCCTATTCTTTTTTTTTTTTTTTTGAGACAGAGTCTCACTCTGTCGTCCAGGCTGGAGTGCAGTGGTGCGATCTCGGCTCACTGCAACCTCTGCCTCCTGGGTTCAAACGATTCTCATGCCTCAGCCTCCTGAGTAGCTGGGATCACAGGTGTGCACCACCATGCCAGGTTAATTTTTGCATTTTTAGTAGAGATGAGGTTTTGCCATGTTGGCCATGCTGGTCTCGAACTCCTGGCCTCCAGTGATCCGCCGGCTTCAGCCTTCCAAAATGCTGGGATTACAGGCATAAACCACTGTGCCCAGTAGCATTATTATTATTATTATTTTGAGACAGGGTCTCATTCTGTGGCCCAGGCTGGAGTGCAGTGGCACAATCTTGGCTCACTGCAACCTCCACCTCTCAGGCTCAAGCGATCCTTCCACCTTGGCCCAAGTAGCGGGGACTACAGGCATGCACCACCATGCCCACTTAATTGTTTGTATTTTCTGTAGAAGCGGGGTCTCACCATATTGCCCAGACTGGTCTTGAACTCCTGAGCTCAAGCAATCCACCTGCCTTGGCCTCCAAAATTGCCAGGATTCCAGGCGTGAGCCACTGTGCCTGGCCAGACACAGTCTTCTCTCTCTCTTTTTTTTTTTTTTTGAAATGGAGTCTCGCTCTGTCGCGCAGGCTGGAGTGCAGTAGCGTGGTCTCGGCTCACTGCACCCTCTGCTTCCCGAGTTCAAGCGATTCTCCTGCCTCAGCCTCCCGAGTAGCTGGGATTACAGGTGCCCGCCACCACACCCGGCTCATTTTTGTATTTGTAGTAGAGACGGGGTTTCACCATGTTGGCCAGGCTGGTCTCAAACTCCTGACCTCGTGATTCGCCCACCTTGGCCTCCCAAAGTGCTGGGATTACAGGCGTGAGCCACCGAGCCTGGCCAAGACACAGTTTTCTTTACTGGTTTGCAGATCTGAATGATTTCATAATAACCAAGTGAGATCAAGGCCCAAGGAGGGAATGAATTGGGGTGGAAGGGTGGGGCATAAACAGCTTTAGGAAACAGTGAACAGTACGCCAGGCCTCACTAGCTGGTTTGTGCCAAGTGGATACGTCGCATATGGCATTCCAGGCCTTAGGAAGTACATACGCAAAGGCCCTGTAGTATGTTTGAGGAATTGAGAGAAGTTCCCATGTTATGGGGTTCGAGAAAGCATGGAGAGGTGAGTGTGGATGAATACGGGACTGAGCAGGCCTAAAAACTTTATCCTGTGGCCAGGTGTGGAGGACAAGGTGGGAGGATGGCTTGAGGCTACAAGTTCCAGACCAGCCTGGGCAACATAGCAAGACCCTGTCTCTTTAAAAAATAAATTAAAAAATTAGGCCAGGCACAGTGACTCACACCTGTAATCTCAGCACTTTGGGAGGCTGAGGCAGGGGGATCACCAGAGGTCAGGAGTTCAAGACCAGCCTGGCCTGTTGGCCGTCTGAAGCCACCGTGCCCAGTCACATTATTATTATTATTATTATTATTGTTATTATTTTGGGACAGGGTCTCATTCTGTGCCCCAGGCTGGAGTGCAGTGGCACAATCTCGGCTCAGTGCAACCTCCACCTCTCAGGCTCAAGCAATCCTTCCACCTCGGCCGGGCGCGGTGGCTCACGCCTGTAATCCCAGCACTTTGGGAGGCCGAGGCGGGCGGATCACGAGGTCAGGAGATCGAGACCATCCCGGCTAAAACGGTGAAACCCCGTCTCTACTAAAAATACAAAAAATTAGCCGGGCGTAGTGGCGGGCGCCTGTAGTCCCAGCTACTTGGGAGGCTGAGGCAGGAGAATGGCGTGAACCCGGGAGGCGGAGCTTGCAGTGAGCCGAGATCCCGCCACTGCACTCCAGCCTGGGCGACAGAGCGAGACTCCGTCTCAAAAAAAAAAAAAAAAAAAAAAAATCCTTCCACCTCAGCCCAAGTAGCAGGGACTACAGGCGTGCAACATCATGCCCACTTAATTGTTTGTATTTTCTGTACAAACAGTTTTCTGTGACACCCCGTCTCTACTAAAAATACAAAAAGTAACCGGGCATGGTTTCACGGGCCTGTAGTCCCAGCTACTTGGGAGGCTGAGGTAGGAGGATCGCTTGAAGGAGGCGGAGGAACCTGAGATTGCACCACTGCACTCCAGCCTGGGTGACACAGTGAGACTCAAAAAAAAAAAAATTAGTCCAGGCACTGGCTCGTGCCTGTAATCTCACCACTTTGGGAAACTGAGGCAGGAGGATCTCTTGAGCCTGAGAGTTGAAGGCTGCAGTGAGCTATGATTGTGCCATTGTACCCAAGCCTGGGTGAAAGAGTGACTCTGTCTCCAAAAAAAAAAACAAAAAACAAACTCTATCTCGAGACCCATGAGCTGCCCTGGAGGCTTTGGAGCGAGGATAACATGAGATTTGGGTCTAGTAAATATCCCTGGCTTGGTTCATGTGGAGGATGGATCGCAAGGGCGGTTAGTTAGACTACAGTCAGGGAGACTGGAATAATCCATGCTGGAATAATCTGAGTGAGACAAGGTGGTGGGCTGGCTAATGAAGGGGCAGGCGCCATGGCGAGGAGTGGTAGAATCAGAAGATGTTTGGGAGGCGGAGTCATGGGAGCATGGTGGCCTGTGCCACACGGGGAGGGCCCATGCGACTCTAGTTGTTGCCTGGGTGGAGGGGTGTGGGGGTTTCTTCGAGGTGCTAAGCAGCTTCCCAACTGTGTTTCTTGGACCCAGCCAGGGGATGTGGCTTTCATCAGCCAATGAACCAGGCGGGACAAACAGAGCAGCCACTGCAATGAGATCTCCGGGACTGGGGCTGGGATTTCTTGGCTCATTGGGGTGGTCAGTGGGGAGACTCCCTACAGATGGAAGCTGGAGAGCAGAAAGAGATCTCCCTTCCCTTTTCCTTTCCCTTTCTCCCTTTCTGCCTTTTTTCTCCCTTTCTTCTCTCTTTCTCCCTCCCTTCCTCCCTTCCTCCTTCCCTTCCTTCCTTCTTTCTTTTTTTTTTTTGAGACAGGGTCCCCCTCTGTCACCCAGGCTGGAGTGCAGTGGCAAGATCATAGCTTCCTGCAGCCTTGAACTCCTGAGCTCAAGTGATTTTCCCGCCTCAGCCTCCTGAGTAGCTGGGACTAGAGGCGAGCACCACCACACTTGGATAATTTTAAATGTTTTTAATAGAGATGGGTGCTCACTATGTTGCACAGGCTGGTCTCGAATTCTTGGGCTAGGTGATCCTCTTGCCTCAGTTTCCCAAAGTGCTGGGATTACAGGTGTGAGCCATTGTGCGCAGCCCAGATATAGATTTTTCTTTAACTCTGGTGTTATATAGAAAATGTAGCTTTAGTGATGAGAGAGAAAGCGTTTTTCTGGAATTGCTTTGGGGAGACATCTGCATGCTGGTAAAAACTATTAGGCAGTAACAGCTATCTTGATTTTTCAGGCTCCCAGAAGCAGACCTTGAGATGAGGGTCCTAGTGCGAGTGGTTTATCTGGGAGGTGGTCCCAGAAAACACTGGTAGGGGATGGGGAACTGAAACAGGAAATAGAAGGGCATCAACAAAGAGTGCATTATGAAGCCAGATATTACCGTGGGCAACTAGAGCCCAGGGCTGCAGGGAACACCGGGGGCTGGTGTGGAGTCCTCCTGCTTGGAGGAGGGAGCTGGGGTATTTATACTTCCTTTCCCAGAAGTCACTAGTTGAGGGCTGCTCCTGGGGTTGGGTGGGGGTGTTAATTCTTCAAACTTCTGGCCTGCCACTCACATGGGCATAGTGGGCTCTAGTGGCCAGGGCAAGCTCTCAGGCAAAGGAAGGCAGAGGATGGCAGCTGGGGCTCTGACATGGTGAGGAGGGCAGCTGCCAACAAGGCGGCCACAGTGACTTCAATAGCTCTGGCTCACTGTGGTGTTGAGGGCAGTTTTTCCCAAAATGCATTGTGTGGCCCAGGAGTCCCGTGAGAAGCTTCTCAAGAAAGGCTTCAGGGTCAGAAGAGTTTGAGAAAAGCAGCATTATTTATTTATTTATTTTTAAATTTTTTATACAGATGGGGTCTTGCTATGTTGCCCAGGCTGGTCTTTAATGCCTGGGCTCAAGCAATCTTCCTGCCTCAGCCTCCCAAAGTGCTGGGATTACAGGTATGAGCCACTGCACCTGGGCATAATACTCCCTTGCAGAGTCAACAGCGTTGAGGAATCCTGTGATGTATGTCTTTATTTCTCTTTGCCTAATCTGGTATTTCTGATACCAAATTTATCTGACTTCAGAATCTTTTTTTTTAAAGTTATTTTTTATTTTTTATTTTTTTGAGTTGGAGTTTCACTCTTGTTGCCCAGGCTGGAGTCAGTGGCGTGCTCTTGGCTCATGGCAACCTCCACCTCCCAGGTTCAATCGATTCTCCTGCCTCAGCCTCCCGAGTAGCTGGGACTACAGGGGTGCGCCACCACGCCTGGCTAATTTTTGTGATTTTTTTTTTTTTTTAGTAGAGACAGGGTTTCACCATATTGGCCAGGCTGGTCTCGAACTCTTGAGCTCGTGATCCGCCCGCCTCGGCCTCCCAAAGTGCTGGGATTACAGGTGAGAGCCACCTCGCCTGGCCCACCAGGAGCCATTTCTCTTTGATGAAGCAATCAAAGGTCCCTCTCGGTGCCCAGACCAATTTCAGCCAGATTTTCTGTCACTTGTGGAAAAATATTCCTAAATGATAACCATAGATACTCTTATTTCCACCACATTCCAACCACTATCAGGGCATCTTGGGCTGCTGATGTAATCCCTGGGAGCCCAGGGATTCTAATTAAAAAAAAATATTCAGGCCGGGCATGGTGGTTCATGCCTGTCATCTCAGCACTTTGGGAGGCCAAGGCGGGTGTATCATCTGAGGTCAGGAATTTGAGACCAGTCTGGCCAACATAGTGAAACCCCATCTCTACTAAAAATAAAAAAAATCAGCTGCATGTGGCGGCAGGTGCCTGTAATCCCAGCTACTCAGGAGGCTGAGGCAGGAGAATTACTTGAACCCGGGAGGCAGAGGTTGCAGTGAGCCGAGATTGCGCCATTGCACTCCAGCCTGGGCGACAAGGGCAATACACTGTCTCAAAAAAAAAAAAAAAAGAAAGAAAGAAAAGAAAAGGAAAAAAGAAAAAACAAATTCAGTCCGGGCGTGGTGGCTCACACCTGTAATCCCAGCACTTTGGGAGGCCGAGGTGGGCAGATCAGCTGAGGTCAGGAGTTCAAGACAAGCCTGGCAGACATGATAAGACCCCATCTCTACTAAAAATACAAAAATTAGCTGGGTGTGGTGGCGGACGCCTGTAATTCCAGCTACTCAGGAGGCTGAGGCAAGAGAATCCCCGAACCCGGGAGGTGGAGGTTGCAGTGAGCCGAGATCACGCCTCTGCATTCCAGCCTGGGTGACAGATTGAGGCTCTGTCTCAAAAATAAAATAAAATAAATAAAATAAAATAAAACAAAAATATACAGATATCGTCTTGCCCTGTCACCCAGGCTGGAGTGCAGTGGCATGATCGCAGCTCACTGCAGCCTTGAACTCCTGGGCTCAAGCAATCCTCCCACCCCAGCTTCCCAAATAGCTGGACTACAGGTGTGTGCCACAATGCCCAGCTAATTTTTAATTTTTTTTGTAGAGATGGGGACTCACTATGTTGCCCAGGCTGGTCTCAAACTCCTGGCCTCAATCGAGCCTCCTGTCTTGGCTTCCCAAAGTGCTGGGATTACAGGCATGAGCTACCGTGCCCAGCCTCACACTTATTGTTTCATTGAGTCTCACAACACCCTTGTCTATAAGGTGTGAGGAGCCCCATTATGTGGAAAATGAAACAGGCTCAGAGAGATTAATTTTTTTTTTTTGAGACAGAGTCTCGCTCTGTTGCCCAGGCTGGAGTGCAGTGGCATGATCTCAGCTCACTGCAACCTCCGCCTCCCGGGTTCAAGCGAGTAGCTGGGACTACAAGTGTGCTCCACCACACCCAGCTAATTTTTTTGTATTTTTAGTAGAGACAGGGTTTCACCATGTTGGCCAGGCTGGTCTCGAATTCCTGCCTCAGGTCATCCACCTGCCTTGGCCTCCCAAACTGCTGGGATTACAGGTGTGAGCTACTGTCCCCAGCCTCACACTCATTTCATTGAGTCTCCCAACATCCTTGTCTATAAGGTATGAGGAGCCCCATCATGTGGAAAATGATTCAGGCTTATAGAGGTTAAATTACTTGCTTAAGGTCACACAGCCAATTCCAAAGTTACTTATGGAAGTGTAGCCTACCTTGGTAGACGGAAGGAGGCTGTCTACTAGATAGAAGTTGGTGGAAAAGGAGAGAACGGAAGGCAAACCAAAAGAGAAATTCCAGGCAGAACAACTTCTGCTTTGCACTGGAACTTTTGCTAGAACTCTTGGGAATGAGTCTCTCTTTTTCTGCGGGGACCACTTAGCAGGGAGGACACGCCTGGAGCTGCCCGCCTGAGAGAGAAGGCCATGTGGAGTGGGCAGCATCAAGACGGGAAGAAAGCCACGGTCCTGAGAATGCAGATTTATTTAATTTGTATAAGCAGAAAACTTCCAGATCGAGTCGACAAAAGACTAATTTGAATTATAAAAACAGAATCAGGCTGGGCGCTGTGGCTCACGCCTGTAATCACAGCACTTTGGGAGGCTGAGACAGGAGGATCGCCTGAGGCCAGGAGTTTGAGACCAGCCTGGGTAACATAGTGAGACCCCATCTATACAAAAAAATACAAAAATTAGCTGGGCATGGTGGTGGGCGCCTGTAATCCCATCTACTTGGGAGGCTGAGGCATGAGAATCAGTTGACCCCGGGAGGCAGAGGTTGCAATGAGCCGAGATTGCACCACTGCACTCCAGCCTGGGTTATGGAGCGAGACTCAGTCTCAGAAAAAAAAAAAAAAAAAAAAAAACAGAGAATCACGGCCCCTCAGTCAATTTCCAGACTTGAGCCAGTTTACAGACCCAGAACCCCTTGAATGAGGGGAGGCCGTGTCCGCTTGAGGAAGGACCCCACTACACTACCGACAATTTATGCCATTTATCTTTCTCCCACCCTTCCGTAGAGAGACCTCTGAGCTCTTACCGGGATAACTGATCTTTCAGGGACTACTGGACACTGGCTCTGAGCTGATGTTGATTCCAGGGGTCCCTGAACATCACTGTGGACCTGCAGTTAAAGTAGGGGCTAATGGAGGTCAGGTAATTAATGGAGTTTTAGCTCAGGTCTGAATACAGTGGGTCCAGGGATCCCTGGACTCATCCTGTGGTCATTTTCCCAGTGCCAGAATGCATAATTTGCACAGACATTATACTTAGCATACTTGCCATACTTAGCAGCTGGCAGAATCACCACACTGGCTCTCTGACTGGTAAGGTAAGTACTATTATGGTGAGAAAGGCCAAAGGGAAGCCATTAGAGCTGCCTCTACCTAGAAAAACTGTAAATCAAAAACAATATCACATCCCTGGAGGGACTGCAGAGATTAGTGCCACCATCAAGGACTTGAAAGATGCAGGGGTGGTGATTCCCACCACATCCCCGTTCAACTCTTCCATTTGGCCTGTGCAGAAGACAGATGGATCTTGGAGAATGACAGTGGATCATCGTAAGCTTAAGCAAGTGGTCACTCCAGTTGCAGCTGCTGTACCAGATGTGGTTTCACTGCTTGAGCAAATTAACACATCTCCTGGTACCTGGTATGCCGCCATTGATTTGGCAAATGCCTTTTTCCCCATTCCTGTCCATAAGGCCCACCAGAAGCAATTTGCCTTCAGCTGGCAAGGCCAGCAATATACCTTTACTGTCATACATCAGGGGTTATCAACTCTCTGGCTTTGTGTCATAGTCTTATTTGGAGAGACCTTGATCGCTTTTCCCTTCCACATTATATCACACTGCTCCATTATATTGATGACATTACATTGATTGGATCTAGTGAGCAAGAAGTAGCAAACACACTGAATTTATTGGTGAGAATTTGTGTGCCAGGGGATGGAAAATAAATCTGACTAAAATTCACGGACCTTCTACCTCAGTAAAATGTCTAGGGGTTCAGTGGTGTGGGGCCTGTCGAGATATTCCTTCTAAGGTGAAGGATAAGTTGCTGCATTTGGCCCCTCCTACAATCAAGAAAGAGGCGCAATGCCTAGTTGGCCTATTTGGATTTTGGAGGCAACACATTCCTCATCTGGGTGCGTTACTCTGGCCCATTTATCAAGTGACTTGAAAGGCTGCCAGTTTTGAGTGAGGTCCAGAACAGGAGAAGGCTCTGCAACAGGTCCAGGTTGCTGTGCAAGCTGCTCTGCCACTTGGGCCATATGACCCAGCAGATCCAATGGTGCTTGAGGTGTCAGTGGCAGATAGGGATGCTGTTTGGATCCTTTGGCAGACCCCCATAGGTGAATCACAGCAGAGGCCTCTAGGATTTTGGAGCAAGGCCCCGCCATCTTCTGCAGATAACTACTCTCCTTTTGAGAGACAGCTCTTGGCCTGTTAAAGAGCTCTGGTGGAAACTGAATGTTTGACTATGGGTCATCAATTCACTATGCAGCCTGAACCGCCTGTCATGAACTGGGTGTTTTCTGACTCATCTAGCCATAAAATGGGTCGTGCACAGCAGCATTGTATCATCAAATGGAAGTGGGATTTACGTGATCGGGCTCAAGCAGGTCCTGAAGGCACAAGTAAGTTACATGGGGAAGTGGCTCAAATGCCCATGGTCTCCACTCTTGCCACCCTGCCTTCCCTTCCCCAGCCTGCACTGATGGCCTCATGAGTTCCCTATGATCAGTTGACAGAGGAAGAGAAGACTAGGGCCTGGTTCACAGATGGTTCTGCATGATATGCAGGCACCACTCGAAAGTGGAGAGCTGCAACACTCTAGCCCCTTTCGAGGACATCCTTGGAGGACAGCGGTGAAGGGAAATCTTCCCAGTGGGCAGAACTTTGAGCAGTGCACGTGGTTGTGCACTTTTCATGGCAGGAGAAATGGCCAGATGTGTAATTATATACTGATTCATGGGCTGTAGCCAGTGGTTTGACTGGATGGTCAGGGACTTGGAAGAAGCATGATTAGAAAGTTGGTAATAAAGAAATTTGGGGAAGAGGTATGTGGATAGACCTCTCTGAGGGGTCAAAAACTGTGAAGATATTTGTAACCCTCCTGCTCAGCAGAGGAGGATTTTAATAATCAGGTGAATAGGATGACTTGTTCTGTGGATACCACTCAGCGTCTTTCCCAAGCCACCCCTGTCATCTCCCAACGGGCGCATAAACAAAATGACCATGGTGGCAGGGATGGAGGTTACGCATGGGCTCAGCAACATGGACTTCCACTCCCCAAGACTGACCTGGCTACGGCCACTGCCCAGTGCCCAATTTGCCAGCAGCAGAGACCAACACTGAGCCCTTGATCGGCACCATTCCTTGGGGTGACCAGTCAGCTACTTGGTGGCAGGTTGATTATATTGGGGTTCTTCCATCATGGAAAAGGCAGAGGTTTGTCTTCACTGGAATAGACACTTACTCTGGATATTGGTTTGCCTGTCCTGCATGTGATGCTTCTGCTAAGACTACCATCTGTGGACTCATGGAATGCCTCATCCACCATCATGGTATTCCACACAGCATTGCCTCAGACCAAGGCACTCACTTTATGGCTAAAGAATTCCAGTGGTTAGCTCCTGCTCATGGAATTCACTGGTCTTACCATGTTCCCCATTATCCTGAAGTAGCTGGATTGATAGAACGGTGGAATGGCCTTTGAAGTCACAATTACAATGCCAACTAAGTGACAATACTTTGCAGGGCTGGGGCAAATTTCTCCAGAAGGCCACATATGCTCTGAATCAGCATCCAATACATGGTACTCTTTCTCCCATCGCCAGGATTCACCAGTCCAGGAATCCAGGGGTGGAAGTGGAAGTGGCACCACTCACCATCAACCCTAGTGATCCACGAGCAACATTTTTGCTTCCTGTTCCCACGACATTATGTTCTGCTGGCCTAGAGGTCTTAGTTCCAGAGGGAGGAACACTGCCACCAGGAGACACAACGATTCCATTAAACTGAAAGTTAAGATTGCCACCCGGACACTTCAGGCTTCTCCTACCTTTGAGTTAACATGCTAAGAAGAAGGGAGTTACAATGTTGGCTGGGGTGATTGACTGGACTATCAAGATGAAATCAGTCTACTACTCCACAATAGAGGTAAGGAAGAGTATGCATGGAATACAGGAGATCCCGTAGGGCGTCTCTTAATAGTACCATGATCTGTGATTAAATTCAGTGGGAAACTACAATAGCCCAATTCAGGCAGGACTACAAATAGTCCAGACCCTTCAGGAATGAAGGTTTGGGTCACTCCACCAGGTAAAAAAAACCGCAACCTGCTGAGGTACTTGTGAAAGACAAAGGGAATACAGAATGGGTAGTAGAAGAAGGTAGTCATCAATACCAGCTATGACCACATGACCAGTTGCAGAAACGAGGACTGTAACTGTCATGAGTATTTCCTCGTTATTTTGTTGAGAATATGTTTGTGCATGTACACACTAAGAAAATATCTTCATTTTATTTCCTTTATCATGTGACATAAGATTTATTGACCTCATATCAGCATTTATGTGCTGTTAACTTTACGTAATAGCATTTAGGTTAAGGATTGGTGTGCTTCCGGTTGTATGAAGGATAGCTGTATTATGTTAGGTGTAATTATAAACTTTGTTTTTTTGGAGACAGAGCCTCGTTCTATCCCCCAGGCTGGAGTGCAGTGGTGTGATCTCGGCTCACTGCAACCTCTGCCTTCTGGGTTCAAGCCATTCTCCTGCCTCAGCCTCCCGAGTGGCTGGGATTACAGGCACACACCACCATGCCCAGGAAATTTTTGTATTTTTAGTAGAGACGGGATTTTGCCATGTTGGCCAGGCTGGTCTAGAACTCCTGACCTCAGGTGATCTGCCCGCCTCAACCTCCCAAAGTGCTGGGATTACAGGCCTGAGCCACTGCGCCCAGCCTATTATTGTCTTTATTTGAAAATTATGTATGATTTCAGGAGATGTATATGGGTTCAAATTGACAAGGGGTGGACTTGTGATAGTTAATATTGAGTGTCACCTTGATTGGATCGAAGGATGCAAAGTATTGATCCTGGGTGTGTCTGTGAAGGTGTTGCCAAAGGAGATTAATATTTGAGTCAGTGGACTGAGAGAGACAGACCCACCCTCAATCTGGGTAGGCACCATCTAATTAGCTGCCAGTGTGGCTAGGATAAAGTAGGCAGGGCTGGGTGCATGCCTGCAATCCCAGCACTTTGGGAGGCCGAGGCGGGTGGGATCACCTGAGGTCAGGAGTTCGAGACCAGTCTGGCCAACATGGTGAAACCTGGTCTCTACTAAAAATACAAAAATCAGCCAGGTGTGGTGGTGGGTGCCTGCAATCCCAGCTACTCGGGAGGCTGAGGCAGGATAATCGCTTGAACCTGGGAGGCGGAGCCTAGATGGCATCATTGCACTCCAGCCTGGGTGACAGAGCGAGACTCTGTCTCAAAATAAATAAATAAATAAAAGCAGGCAGAAGAAGTTGGAAAGAGCAGACTTGCTGAGTCTTTTGGCCTTCATCTTTCCCCTGTGCTTCCTGCCCCCAAATATTGAACTCCAAGTTCTTCAGCTTTTGGACTCTTGGACTTACACCAGTAGTTTGCCAGGGGTTCTTGGGCCTTCAGCCACAGACTGAAGGCTGCACTGTCAGCTTCCCTAATTTTGAGGTTTTGGGGCTTGGACTGGCTTCCCAGCTCCTCAGCTTGCAGATGGCCTATTGTGGGACTTCACTTGTTATCGTGTGAGTCAATTCTCCTAATAAATTCCCCTTCAAATATTTATCTATCCTATTAGTCCTGTCTCACTAGTGAACGCTAATACAGAGGTCCTGGATCCACTTGTTCCTGAAGCTGGATCCACCCATGAACTGTTCAGCTGCAGGAGTTAATAAGCACGCCTCTTTGGCTTGGCTCAGCTTCATCTGGGTTTCTGTCATTTGCAGATGAAAGCATCCTGACTCATCTAGACAGGATGCTGTGGGAGCACCAGCCTTCATCAACAAGGCCCCATCTCCAGGCACCTACCATCTGCTGGGCAAGGTGCCATTGCTGTAGAGACACTCGGTTCTTACTGTGACCCTTGTGGGAGTTCTTCTCCTTATCACCCTTTCATAAACAAGGAGCGTGGTGGGCAGTGGCAGCCCTTCTGAGCACACCTCACTGCTGGGATTCTCCCTGGGGCTGCTGGCTCTGGGGCTGTGGGGGTGCTCCAGGGCTGGGCTTAAGCCAAGGGTTATATAAGCCTGATGGGTGGACGCTTGGAGTATCTGTGGCCCTGAGCGGGCTGGGAAGGTCCTTGGATCCCTGAGAAAGACAGGGAGGGAGGCCGGGCGTGGGTGGCTCACGCCTGTAATCTCAGCACTTTGAGAGGCTGAGGTGGGCAGAACACTTGAGGTCAAGAGTTTGAAACCAGCCTGGCCAACATGGTGAAACCCTGTCTCTACTAAGAATACAAAAATTAGCCGGGTGTGGTGGCCGGCACCAGTAATCCCAGCTACTCGGGAGGCTGAGGCAGGAGAATCACTTGAACCTGGGAGGCGGAGGTTGCAGTGAGCGCAGATCGCGCCATTGCACTCCAGCCTGGGTGACAGAGCGAGACTCCATCTCAAAAAAAAAAAAAAAAGAAAGAAAGAAAAAGACAGGGATGGGGTCTCTGGCCTGCTACCTACACACTGGGGGTCTCTGTCCCTGCCTCCCTCCCCCTCGCCCCCTCGTGTACCTGGGAGGCCCCTGTGCATGTTTCCCCATCACCCGTCTGGCTCTCAAGCTCACCAACCTACTTTCTGTTTCCGGGTACCCCCAACATCTCTCACCCCAAGCCTCCCCTCTCCCTATTCCATCTCCGCTTTTGTGTCTGCCTGGCCCTCAGTCTCTCCACTTCTGCCCCTGTCTCCCTGTGTCTTTGTCACTGTGTGTCTTGGGGTCACCGCGCCCCTTTGGCTCTGACTCTGTCTCTAGTCTGTTTATGTCTCTCCAGCGCTCTTCCTCTGTCTGTCTGTCTGTCTCTCTCTTTCTCGCTCTTTGGGAACTGCTCTGTCTCTCTCATCTGTCTCTGCGTCTCTGCCCTAGTTTTGGTCTCTGTCTTGGAGATTCTCCTTCTGGTCTCTGTGTGGCTCACTGTCTCTTGCTGCGATCTCTCTCTTCTCTGTCTCCCTCCTCCTCTCCCTGCCCCTCCCTCCCCACATCCTGAGTTGTCTTTGGGGAACCGGAAATTTGGGGGATCAGAGAGATATTGGGAGGCTCAGTGGCTGCTGCTGAGAGATAACGCGGGTGTGCGGGGGCTGGGGCTGGGGGTGGGAGCCCAGAATCCACTGCGCCCTCCTCCTGGCCCTGGGACATACAAAGGCAGTGGCATGGGGGAGGTTCTGTACCCTCTGTGGGCCTCAGATGTGAACCCACCTCCCTCACGGGCTTGGGGTGAGGGGCAAATCCAGCAGCCAGGGCAGAGGTGGGGCTTGGGCTAACAAGGGGCGGAGGGAGAGTGCCCTCCAGCAGATGTCTGAAGGTGAGGCCAGTGGGGGCTGGCAAGGGGCTGAGAGGAGGGGAGGCTCTGGCCTGGCATCAGGGGTCCTCCAAGGACTCTTGAGCCCATCCCTTCCCTTCCCAGCACCTCAGTGGTTCTAGCTGTACTGTGGTGGGCTTATTTATTTAACAGACACTTGCTCTGAGACAGTCTTTAATCTTCACAACAACCCTATGAGTTCGTACTAACTCAATTTTACAGATAGGGAGACTGAGGCACAGAAAGGTTGAGTGACCTGCCCAAGGTCACACAGCTAGGAACCCTCAAAATGACAGAACTCTGATCAAATTAGGTTGGTCATTGTCAAAGTCTGAGCTGGCTGTATGCATGCCCATTTTAAACAGAAGCAGAGGTAATTCACCTTAAATCCTGGAGAGATGCCGGGATTACAGGCAGTGGCTCAGTCCTATAGTCCCAGCACTCTCAGAGGCTGAGGAAGGAAGATTGCTTGAGGCTTGGAGTTCTAGACCATCCTGGGCAATATAGTGAGACTCTGTCTCTACAAAAAAAAAAAAAAAAGAAAAAAAATTAAGATGAAAATAACAATAGGCCGGATGTGGTAGCTCATGCCTATAATTCCAGCACTTTGGGAGGCTGAGGCAGGCGGATCTCTTGAGACCAGGAGTTTGAGACCAGCCTGGCCAACATGGTGAAACCTCATCTCTACTAAAAAATATAAAAATTAGCCATGTGTGATGGCACATACTTGTAATCCCAGCTACTGGGGAGGCTGAGGCAGGAGAATTGCTTGAACCTGGGAGGTGGAAGTTTCAGTGAGCTGAAGTCACGCCGCTGTACTCCAGCCTGGGCAACAGAGAAAGACTCCTCTCAAAAAAAAAAAAATCTTAATAAAATAAAAGTTTTAAAAATTAGCTGGGTGTAGTGACTCCAGCCTGTAGTCCCAGCTACTTGGAAAGCTGAGGCAGGAGGGTTTCTTGAGACCAGGAGTTCGAGGCTGCAGTGAGCTATGTTTACTCCACTGCACTCCAGCCTGGGCAACAGACAGAGATGCTGACTCTAAAAAATTAAATATAAAAAAATCCTGGGGGCCAGGCGCGGTGGCTCGCACCTGTAATCCCAGCACTTTGGGAGGCTGAGGTGGGCGGATCACTTGAGATCAGGAGTTTGAGACAAGCCTGGTCAACATGGTGAAACCCCATCTCTACTAAAAATACAAAAATTAGCCAGGGGTGGTGGCATGCACCGGTAGTCCCAGGTACTGGGGAGGCTGAGGCGGGAGAATCACTTGAACCTGGGAGGCGGAAGTTGCAGTGAGGCAAGATCTCACCACTGCACTCCAGCCTGGGTGATAGAGCAAGACTCTGTTTCAAAAAAAAAAAAAAAAAAAGTAGAAAACTAATAAAGTGGGAACAGACAGTTATGGATATAGTAAAAGTCACAAATGGTGAATGTAGATTCAGAAGAATGAAATTTTAGGAAACACAAAGCCCACTGGTAGCTAACTCTTTTCTGGCTCTACCATCTCTTAATCACAGCCTGGCAGCACCGTCGATCACCTGTCCGAGACCACAAGGCCTCTGGGTGGCAGCGCTGGGATCCCAGCAGCCGTGGCAGGCTCTGCAGAGGCCCCAGAGCCTGAGAGACCCTCTGCATCCTTCAGAGCTCCTGGTGGCAAGCAACGGAAACCAACTGGAGCTGTTAAATGCTGGAGATTAATGGGAGGGCCAGCCAGGCACAAGGGATCATTGGAGTGGGGAAGCCGTCCTGGAAAGCCAATGGGACGTGGGGGACAGTTGTGCATAGCAGGGACTACTGTTGCCCTGCCCAGACACCCCAGCTCTGTGTTGGGCCACTGGCTTGGCCCTAACTGTCCCTTCCTCTCTGTTCACCAGCACCTGTGATTGGCCTAGTCCAGGCTCCACATCCAGGTCCAGGCTGCCTGGAGGTTGGGGAGAGAGTTCTCCCCATAAATGAAGTGGGACACAGGTCCCTCCAGAAACCACAATTGAGGCTTCTCCAATGTAATTAAGGACCATGGTGACGGAACTCTTCTCCCAGGCCTCCTCGCCCTACCTCTGGGCCTGACTCCTGTTCCACCAGCCTTGCGTGGAGCTCCTCCCACCCACCTGCTGCGTCGGGGTGAAGGGAGTCAGATCAAATCCATGGCTTGTAAACCACTCCAAGAAGCTGATTCAGGGATTCAGCAGACATTGAATGTATCGAGGCAAATATGAGGCTTTCAGGGGTTTCTGTTGACCTAGCCTTTCTCTAGGACAAATCAGTTTGTTGTTATTATTTATTAATTGATCGACTTTTTTTAGAGATGGGGTCTTGCTCTGTTGCCCAGGCTGGAGTGCAGTGGTGTGAATGATGGCTCACTGCAGCCTCAACCTCTTGGGCTCAAGTGATCCTCCTGCCTTGGCATCCCAAAGTGCTGGATTACAGGTGTGAGCCACCACGTCTGGCCATAATTTATTATTTTTTCCATAGAAAATAATGATCCATTTGAATTTGCAAAACAAGTCTACGCTGGTAAAGGTGGCCTTTTTCCCATTCCATGTATATTGGGGCTGCTGGCAGTATTTCAACCACCCACCTCCCCCACTTGCTCCCTGAGTCAGTCATGTGGGCCTTTTTGCTTCCTCGACACCCCAAAACCACCAGGCTCTTTTCTTCCTCTGGGTTTTTGCACTTGCTGTTCCCTCTGCCTGGAACTCTGCCCCCATGGCCTCACGTGGCCTCCTCCTTCCATCATGTGGATCTGGCTGAAGTTTCCTCTGCTAGGAGGAGCCTTCACCCTCCACCCCATGTAACTGTGTGTGTTCCCATCTCAGTCCCCCTGCATCTCATTACCCCATTGAATTGACTTCCTAATGCTGATCTCTTTTTTTTTTGAGATGGAGTCTGTCTGGCCCTGTTGCCCAGGCTGGAGTGCAATGGCATGATATTGGCTCACTGCAACCTCCACCTCCTGGGTTCAAGCAATCAATCCTTCTGCCCTAGCCTCCCAAGTAGCTGGGACTACAGGCATGTGCCACCATGCCTGGCTAATTTTTGTATTTTTAGTAGAGATGGGGTTTCACCATGTTGGCCAGGCTGGTCTTGAACTCCTGTCCTCATGTGATGCACCAGCCTTGGCCTCCCAAAGTGCTGGGATTACAGGCTTGAACCACCGCACCCGGCTATAACGCTGATCTCTTTATACATTTGGTGTTTTTGTCTATCCTCCTTGGGACTGTGAGCTCCCTGTTCATCTCTGTCACTCCAGGGTCCAGCAAAGAGCTTGGCACAGAGTAGCTGTTCGACAATCATGTTGAGCAAATGAATTAAAAAAGAGCTTAAGACAAACACGTGAGGCCCTTAACAACAAGTTCCTTCCAGCCCTAACACGTGGTACGTTCCCAGCCTTAGAGAAAGCACTGTCTAAAGGAGAGACTGCAAACTGATTGCTCACCAACGTGTTTAATTTTTTTAGATGCTATGGTTAAAAAAAACCCCACCACATAAGATAACATTTACCATCTTAACCATTTGTAAGTGTACAGTTCAGTAGTGTTAAGTATATTCACATCGTTGTGCAACAGATCTCTAGAACTTTTTCATCTTGCAAAAGTGTTTTTCATCTTTGCAAAACTAAAACTCCCTACCCATTAAACAACAACTCCTGGCAACTGCCAGTCTACTTTCTGTTTCTTGTTTTTGCATGTGTGTGACTGGCTTATTTCATTAGCATAATGTCCTCCAGATTCATCCATGCCATAGCGTGCGATAGGATTTCCTTCCTTTTGAAGGTTGAATAATATTCCATTGCACGGTGCTACAATTAAAAGTCCCCTCCAAAACTCATGTTTAATTGCCATCGTGATGGTATTAAGAGGTGGAATGACTGGGCGCAGTGGCTCATGCCTGTAATCCCAACATTTGGGAGGCCAAGATGGGAGGATGGCTTGGGCCCAGAAATTTGAGACCAGCTTGAGTAACATAGAGAGACCCTGTCTCTACAAAAAATTAAAAAATTAGTCAGGTGTGGTGGCACATGCCTATGGTCCCAGCTACTTGGGAGGCTGAGGTGGGAGGATGGCTTGAGCCCAGGAGGTCAAGACTGCAGTGAGCTGACATTGAGCCACTGCCCTCCAGCCAGGGCCACAGAGCAAGACACTGTCTAAAAAAAAAAAAAAAAAAAAAAAATAGATCATGTTACCAAAGTCCCAGTTTCTTGGTGCTATGAACAAAGAATCAGAGGAGACACACAGAGCAAGAAGCCAAAGTTTACTAAGCACAGTAACACACTCTCAGAGAGGGGAGAGCAGACTGACCTCTGCAAAATGAGATCAGCACCAGTTTGGTGTATTTTGAGTCTTTCAATATGTTTTCTTTCCTGAGTTGCATAATCTTTAGCAAGTAGATGACTTTTGCCTTTTGATTGATGGGTGGGGTTGTTTAATTTATTTCTCAACCTCTGTGAGCTTGTGTGTTGCCTCCATCCCATAATTTTAAGTACATGCACGATATACAGTCCACATGTGTGAGCTTTAATGACCTGATTATCATATGGGGTCCGTGGTTTTTTTTTTTTTTTCTGAAACAGAATCTCGCTCTGTCACCCAGGCAGGAGTGCAGTGGCGCAATTTCAACTCACTGCAATCTCCACCTCCCGAGTTCAAGCAATTCTCCTGCCTCAGCCTCCCGAGTAGCTAGGATTACAGGCGTGCGCCACCACACCCAACTAATTTCTGTATTTTTAGTAGAGACGGGGTTTCACCATGTTGGCCAGGCTGGTCTTGAACTCCTGACCTCGTGATCCGCCTACCTTGGCCTCCCAAAGTGCTGGCATTACAGGTGTGAGCCATCGCTCCTGGCCCATATGGGGTCCTTTTAAGGATACCTTTTCTCTCTTGCAAATCCCTGAGGGGACAGGTTTGGTCTGGATCTTGCCAACCAAGGGCTCCTTATTTCTTGATCTCACTTTTGTTTTGGCTCAACTTCTGCTTCTTGCTCACCCACCTCTTTATTCTGCTTCTGCTCCTACTCATTCCACCCTCTATCCAACCTCCAATTCCCCCTGCTATTCTCCAGTCTCAGCTGGACTGTTAAGGTGATTAGGCCCTGAGGACTCTGCCCTCATGCATGGATTAATGTCGTTATTGCCAGAGCGGGTTGTTATAAAAGCAAGTTCAGCTCTCTCTCTTGCTGTCTCCTGCAAATGCTTTCTTGCCCTTCCGCCTTCCACCATGGGCTGACACAGCAAGAAGGCCCTTGCCAGATGCAGGCCCCCAAGCTTGGACTTCCCAGGCTCCAGAAGTGTATTTTTAACAATTTCTTTTTCTGGCCAGGGACAGTGGCTCATGCCTGTAATCCCAGCACTTTGGGAGCCTGAGGCCGGCAGATCACTTGAGGTCAGGAGTTCGAGACCAGCCTGGACAACATGGTGAAACACTGTCTCTACTCAAAACACGGTGGGCACCTGAAATCCCACCTACTTAGGAGGCTGAGGCAGGAGAATTGCTTGAACCCAGGAGGCGGAGGTTGCAGTGAGCCGAGATCACACCACTGCCCTCCAGCCTGGGTGACAGAGCAAGACTCCATCCCCTGCCCCCCAAGTGATCTGCTGGCCTCCATCTAAAAAATAATAATAATACAATTCTCTTTCTTATTAATTACCCTGTCTGTGGAGTTCTGTTATAGTGGTACAAAACAGACTAAGACATATGGATATACCATATTTTGTTTATCCCCTCATCCTTCAATGGCCAGTTGGGTTGCTTCCACCCTGGCTACTGTGAGCAATGCTGCTATGAGCATGGGAGTGCAGCTACGTCTTCAAGATCTAGCTTTTAGGCCAGGCACGGTGGCTCACGTGTGTAATCCCAGCACTTTGGGAAGCCAAGGTGGGTGGATCACCTGAGGTCAGGAGTTCAAGACCAGCCTGGCCAACATGGTGAAAATCTGTCTCTACCAAAAATACAAAAATTAGCTGGGTGTGGTGGTGTGCACCTATAATCCCAGCTACTTGGGAGGCTGAGGTAGGAGAATCGCTTGAACCTGGGAGGAGGAAGACTGAGCTCCAGCCTGCCGGCCTGGGCGACAGAGCAAGACTTTGTTAAAAAAAAAAAATTCTAGCTTTTAATTCTTTTAAATATATACCCAGAAGTGGGATTGCCAGATCACATGGTAGTTCTGTTTTTAACATTTTGGGGAACTGCCATCTTATTTTTCATAGAGGTTGCACCATTTTGCATTCCCACCAACAGAGAACAAGAGCTCCAATTTCTCTATGTCCTTCCCAACGCTTGTTATTCTCTGTTTTTTTTTTTTTTTTTTTTTTTTTTTTTTTGACGGAGTCTCACTCTGTTGTCCAGACTGGAGTGCAATGATGTGATCTCGGCTCACTGCAACCTCCGCCTCCCGGGTTCAAACAATTCTCCTGCCTCAGCCTCCCAAGTAGCTGAGATTATAGGCACATGCCATCATGCCCAGCTAATTTTTTTTTTTTTTTGGTATTTTTAGTAGAGATGGGGTTTCACCATGTTGGCCAGGCTGGTCTCGAACTCCTGACTTCAGGTGATCCTCCTGCCTTGGCCTCCCAAAGTGTTGAGATTACAGGCGTGAGTCACTGCACCCGGCCCTGTTTTTTGATCATAACCATTCTAGTGGGTATAGAGTGGTATCTCATGGGTTTGATTTGCATTTTCCTAAGGATTTGTGGTATTGAGCATCTTTTCATACATTTGTTGGCCATTTGTATATCATCTTTGGAGAAATGCCTATTCAAGTATTTTGCGCATTAAAAATTTATTTTTATTTATCTTTTTAGAGTCTAGAGTCTTGCTATGTTGCTCAGGCTGGCCTCAAACTCCTGGGCTCAAGCAATCCTTCTGCTTCTGCCTCCCTAAGTACTGGCATTATGGGCATGAGGCACCATGCCCAGCCTGCCCATTCTTTAAGTTGGGTTGTTTTGTTGTTGTTGAGTTGTAGGAGTTTTTTAAAAAAATATTTAGGGTATTAACCTGTTATCAGATATATGATTTGCAAATATTTTCTCCCATTCCATAGGTTGCTTTTCACGGGGTTGACTGTGTCCTTTGATGCACAGAAGTTCTGTTTTGTTTTGTTTTGTTTTTGAGATGGAGTTTCACTCTTGTTGCCCAGGCTGGAGTGCAATGGTGCGATCTCAGCTCACTGCAACCTCTGCCTCCCAGGTTCAAGCGATTCTCCTACCTCAGCCTCCCAAGTAGCTGGGACTACAGGCTCTCACCACCATACTCAGCTAATTTTTGTTTTATTAGTAGAGACAGGGTTTTGTCATGTTGGCCAGGCTGGTCTTGAACTCCTGACCTCAGGTGATCTACCTGCCTCAGCTTCCCAAAATGCTGGGATTACAGGCGTGAGCCACCACGCCCGGCTGATGCACAGAGGTTTTTAATTTTGATGTAGTCCTATTTTACCTTTTTTTTGATGTTATTGTTGCCTGTGCCTTTCTTTTCTTTCTTTCTTTCTTTTTTTTTTTGAGACAGAGTTTCACTCTTGTTGCCCAGGTTGGATTGCAGTGGCACGATCTTGGCTCACTGCAACCTCCACCTCCTGGGTTCAAGTGATCCTTCTGCCTCAGCCTCCTGAGTATGTGGGATTACAGGCATGTGCCACCACGCTCAGCTAATTTTTGTATTTTTAGTACAGACAGGGTTTTGCCATGTTGGCCAGGCTGGTCTTGAACTCCTCACCTCAAGTGATCTGCCCACCTCGGCTCCTAAAGTGCTGGGAATACAGGCATGAGCCACCGTGCCTGGCTGCCTGTGCCTTTCTTGGTGTCATATCTAATAAATCATTGTCAAGTTCAGTGACATGAAGCTTTTTCCCTATATTTTTTTTCTAGGCGTTTTATAGTTTTAGGCCTTATATTTAAGTCTTTAAATTTTGAATTAATTTTTGTATATGGCCAGGCATGGTGGCTCATGCCTGTAATCTCAGTACTTTGGGAGGCCAAGGCGGGCAGATCACCGAGGTCGGGAGTTCGAGACCGGCCTGACCAACATGGAGAAACCCCGTCTCTACTAAAAATACAAAATTAGCCAGGCTTGGTGGTGCGCTCCTGTAATCCCAGCTGCTCAGGAGGCTGAGGCAGGAGCATCCTGGAGCCCTGGAGGTGGAGGTTGTGGTGAGCCGAGGTCGCGCCATCGCACTCCAGCCTGGGCGACAAGAGCAAAATTCCGTCTCAAAAAAATTTTTTTGTGTGTGTGTACGGTGTATGATAAGGGTCTAACTGCATTATTTGTATGTGAATAGCCAGTTTTCCCAACACCATTTGTTGAAGATACTGCTTTTTCTGCCACTGAATGGTCTTGGCACCCTTGCCAAAGATTATTTAACCATTAATGTGAGGGTGGGCCAGGCATGGTGCCTCACGCCTGTAATCCCAGCACTTTGGGAGGCAGAGGTGAGAGGATCCTTTGAGGCCAGGAGTTTGAGACCAGCCTGGGCAATGTAGTGAAACTAGGTCTCTGCCAAAAAAAAAAAAAAAAATAGCCAGACATGGTGACACCCACATCTAGTCTCAGGTACTTGGGAGACTGAGGTGGGAGGATAGCTTGATCACAGGAGTTTGAAGTTTCAGTGAGCTACAATCATACCACTGTGTGCCAGCCTGGGCAACAGAGTGAGATCTTGTAACAAAAATAATAATAATAATAATAATAATAATAATAATAATAATAATAATAAATGTAAGGATGTATTTCCGGGCTCTCTATTCCATTAGTCTATATCTCTGTCTTTATGCCAAGTACCACATTGTTTTGATTACTGTAGCTTTGTAACACATATTGAAATCAGGAAGTAGTCTTCTTACTTCTTAAGATTTTTTAAACTTAATTTTTATTTTTTGAGACAGGGTCTCACCCTGTCACCCAGGCTAGAGTGCAGTGGTGGGTCCAGGCAATTCTCCTGCCTCAGCCTCCTGAGTACCTGGGACTACAGGTGCTCGCCACCACGCCTGGCTAATTTTTGTATTTTTAGTAGTGACGGGGTTTCACCACGTTAGCCAGGCTAGTCTCAAACTCCTGACCTCAAGTGATCCACAAGCCTTGGCCTCCCTAAGTGCTGGGGTTATAGGCATGAGCCACCTCACCTGGCCTACGATTTATTTATTTATTTATTTATTTTATTTTATTTTTATTTTTTGACACAAAGTCCCTCTCTTGTCCCCCAGGCTGGAGTGTGATGGCATGATCTCGGCTCGCTGCAACCTCTGCCTCCCAGGTTCAAGTGATTCTCCTGCCTCAGCCCCCTGAGTATCTGGGATTAAAGGCACCTGCCACCACGCCCGGCTAACTTTTGTAGTTTTCGTAGAGACAGAGTTTTACCATGTTGGCCAGGCTGTTCTAGAACTCCTGACCTCAGATGATCCACCCTCCTCAGCTTCCCAAAGTGCTGGGATTACAGGTGTGAGCCAATGTGCCCGGCCTTTTTAATTTTTTTTTTTAATTTGGTGTGATATCAGTTAGAATTAAAAAATTTTTTAATTAATATTATTTTGATTGACAAATCATAGTTGTTTACATTTATGAGATACAAGGTGATTTTTAAATTTTTTTTTTATAGAGATGAGATCTAGCTATGTTACCCAGGCTGGTCTCAAACTCCTGGCCTCAAGTTATCCACCCGGCTCCACTTCTCAAAGTGCTGGGATTACAGGCATGAGCCACTGTGCCCAGCTACACACACACACACACACACACACACACACACACACACACACACATATATATAGATATATATATTTTAATAGGCAGTACTCTGTAATCCCAGCTACTCGGTAGGCTAAGGCAGAAGGATACCTTCAGCCCAGGAGTTTGAGACCAGCCTAAAAAAAAAGAAAAGGAAAAGGCAGTATATTCCTGTGGTTCAAAATTCCAAAGGTACTAAAGATTTTAACAGAAAAATCTCTCTCCCACCTGTTCCCTAACCACCAAATTCCTGTCCAAAGTCACAGTCATTCTTATCAGTTACCCAAAGATTTTCCACACTTCTATAAGCAAATGCACGTTTAAGCAAATTTGCAGCCACTTCGTTTTTATATAAATGGTATAATTCCACGCACTGTTTGTATTTTGCTTTTTCGTGTAATGCCGTATCTTGGAGGTTTGACATCATTACCCTAAAACTTACAACCTTGTGCATTGTTTTTTTTTTGTTTGTTTGTTTGTTTGTTTTTGAGACAGAGTCTTGCTCTGTCACCCAGGCTGGAGTGCATTGGCACAATCTTGGCTCACTGCAACCTCTGCCTCCCGGGTTCAAACCATTCTCCTGCCTCAGCCTTCTGAGTAACTGGGATTACAGGTGCCTGCCACCACACCCGGCTAATTTTTGTATTTTTAGTAGAGATGGGGTTTTGCTATGTTGGCCAGGCTGGTCTCGAACTCCGTTTCACTCTGTTGCCCAGGCTGGAGTGCAGTGGCACGATCTTGGCCCACTACAACCTCCACTGCGGGCTCAGGTGATCCTCCCACCTTAGCTTCTTGAGTAGCTGGGATTACAGGCGCCTGCCACCATGCCCGGCTAATTTTTGTATCTTTTGTAGAGGCAGGAGTCTCACCATGTTTCTCAGGCTGGTCTCGAACCTCTGAGCTCAAGCCATCCTCCTGCCTCAGCCTTCCAAAGTGCTGGGATTACAGGTGTTAGACATCACACCCGGCCAGTGCATTCTTTTTCTATTGTTTGAGATGGAGTCTCACTCTGTTGCCCAGGCTGGAGTGCAGTGGCAGTGATCTTGGCTCACTGCAATCTCCACCTCTCAGGTTCAAGAGATTTTCTTGCCTCAGCCTCCCAAGTAGCTCGGATGACAGGCACGTGCCACCATGCCCAGCTAATTTTTGTATTTTTTAGTAGAGACGGGACTTCACCATATTGGACAGGTTGGTCTCGAACTCCTGACCTCGTGATCCGCCCGCCTTGGCCTCCCAAAGTGCTGGGATTACAGGCAGGACCACCGTGCCCGGCCCAGTGCATTCTTTTTTAATAGCTGCATGGTTATGCTGTTGTGTGGATGGACTTTAAATAGCTACCTCATGATGGACATTTAGATTGTTTTAATAGTTTACCCCCCAGAAGCTGCAATGAATAATCTTATGTGTAAGTCATTTAGCCCGCGTGGGAGGACTTCTGTATAATGAATCCCTTGAAGAAGAGTCGTTTGGTCAAAGTGAATATGCATGTGTGATTTTGCTAGATACTGCCAAATTCCCCTTCGGGGGAAGGGATTAGTTGACACTCCCACAAGAGGTGGCCCACAGTAGCTGTTTCCCCACACCCTTGCCAGCTCAGAGTGCTATCAAACTCCTTAATCTTTTGCCAAACTGTTAGGTAAAGATGAGTCTTTTTTTATTTAAACAGAGTCTTGCTCTGTCGCCCAGGCTGGAGTGCAGTGGCACGATCTCGGCTCGCTGCAACCTCCATCTCCTGGGTTCAAGCAATTCTCCTGCCTCAGCCTCCCAAGTAGCTGGGATTACAGGTGTGTGCCTCCACACCCAGCTAATTTTTGTATTTTTAGTAGAGATGGGGTTTTGTCCTGTTGGCCAGGCTGGTCTTGAACTCCTGACGTCAGGTGATCTGCCTGCCTCGGCCTCCCAAAGTGCTGGTATTACAGGCGTGAGCCACCACACCCAGCCAAGGTTAGAGTCTTATTATAGTCTTAATTTGCATTTCTTTTATTATGAAAAATAGCGGAGCATCTTTTCATATGTTTGCATTGTTTCTATTTACTCTTCTGTGATCTATCTGTACACGTCCATTGACATTTTTTTGAGTAGTCTTTTTCTTATTTATTTCATGAGAAGCAGCTATATTTTTCCCGTTTGTCACTGATCTTTTTAAAAAACATGTTTCTGAAGTATAACATGCTCCACACAGTGTGAAATCAGAAGCGTGCAGCTTGATGGATCTTCAAAAAGTGGAGCTTCCTGTGACACTTGGCATTTAATATCGTTTATACTCATCAAGGCTTTTGACACGAGACGTTTCTTATTACAGAGTTGAGTTTATCAATCTCTTTTTTTTTTTGAGACAGAGTTTCGCTCTGTTGCCTAGGCTGGAGTGCAGCAGTGGTGTGATCTCGGCACGCTACAACTTCTGCCTCCTGGGTTCAAGCGATTCTCCTGCCTCAGCCTCCCGAGTAGCTGGGAGTACAAGCACCCACCACCACGCCCGGCTAAATTTTGTATTTTTAGTAGAGATGGGGTTTCACTATGTTGGCCAGGCTGGTCTGGAACTCCTGACCTCAGGTGATCTGCCCACCTTGGTCTCCCAAAGTGCTGGGATTACAGGCATGAGCCACTGCGTCCGACCAAGTTGATCAATCTTTTGTTTTATGACATATTGGTTTTGTGTTAGGTTTTCCCATTCTGAGATTTAAAAAAAAATCTGACATAGTTTATTTTAGTATTGTTGCTATTTTATTGCTAATGTTTAAATCTTTTTTTTTTTTTTTTGAGACAGGATCTTGTTCTATCACCCAGGTTGGAGTGCAGTGGCACTATCATAGCTCACTGTAGCCTTGACCTCCCTGGCTCAAGTGATCCTCTCACCTCAGCCTCCCTAGTAGCTGGGACTGCAGTGACACCATGCTCAGCTAATTTAAATTATTTTTTGTAGACATAGGGTCTTGATATGTTGCCCAGGCTGGTCTCAAACTCCTGGGCGCAAGCGATCCTCCTGCCTCAGCCTCCTAAAGTGCTGTGGTTACAGGCGTGAGCCACCATGCCTGGCCTCATTTAAACCATGAACGTAATTTATCCTGGTGTAAGGTGTGAACTATGAATCTGCATTATTATTTTTTTTTCAGATGGCTAAACTTTGTCCCAAAGCCAATTTATTGCATAATCCGTATTTTCCCCACTCATCTGAAAAAGTGCCTTATCCTATGCTAAATTCTCTTGGGCTGTTTCTGGATTTGCTGGTCTATTCTGCTAACTGCTGTCTATTCATGGGGACATTTTAGTTGGTGCCACAAATTTATTGAGCAGTTCTGTGCTATGTGTTCTATATATAAGCTGCGGTAGTTAACACAATTAGAATATTGGGCTGGGCTCCGTGGCTCATGCCTGTAATCCCAGCACTTTGGGAGGCTGAGGCAGGCAGATCACTAGCGGGCAGGAGTTCAAGATCAGCCTGGCCAACATGGAGAAACCCCGTCTCTACTAAAAATACAAAACTCAGCCGGGCGTGGTGGTGGGTGCCTGTAACCCCAGCTACTCGGGAAACTGAGGCATGAGAATTGCTTGAGCCGGGATGCGGAGGTTGCAATGAGCCGAGATCGCACCACTGCACTCCAGTCTGGGTGACAGAGCAAGACTCTGTCTCAAAAAAAAAAAAAAAAATTAAAATACTGACTCAGTGGCCGTGTGAACGTTAGCAAGTGACTTCATCCCTCTGCCTCAGTTTCTTCAGCAATAAAGTAGAAATGATAATAGTGCCCACCTCATAGGCTTGTTGGAAAGATTGCGTAAAATTTTTTTTCCTGACAGTCTTGCTCACCCTATCAACCAGGCTGGAGTGCAGTGGTGCAGTCTCAGCTCACTGCAACATCTACCTCCTGGGTTCAAGCAATTCTCCTGCCTCAGCCTCCTGAGAATCTGGGACCACAGTATGCACCACCACACCTGGCTAATTTTTGTATTTTTTGCCATGGTGGTCAAGCTGGTCTCAAACTCCTAGCTTAAAGTGACTCGCCCGCCTTTGGCCTTGCAAAGTGCTGGGATTACAGGCATGAGTCACCATGCCCAGCCCTGATTCAAGAATTTAATGTACTATGCAAAGTGCCTATAGCAGTGTCTGGCATATAATATACACTAAATAAATGTTAGTCATTTATTTTTATTATTTAGGGTCCTTTTTTTTTTTTTCTTTTTGTAGAGATGGAGGTCTTGCTATGTTGCCCAGGCTGGTCTTGAACTCCTGGCCTAAAATGGTTCTAGTGCTCTGGCCTCCCAAAGTGCTGGGATTACAGGTGTGGGCCATCACACCTGGCTGTAAGGCCATTTTTAATACTTCCTTCAGCCCTGTGACTGTTGACCCAATTCTTTGGATGAGGAAATTGGGGCTTGAGGCCCTGAGATGAGTTGCCCAGGAACTTGGTGAGTGGCGGCACTGGTTCGGAGAGAGGCTTCCCTTGTTCTTGAGACCTGTGTGCATAAGCCTGGCCACTTTGAGCTGTCAGATCTCTCTGAATTCTCGTGGGGGAGATGGGGCCTTTTCTTCCTTCCTTTCTGTCACCCCAGCACCGCGGTGGCTGATCCCCGAAGAGGAAATGTCACACGAGGCCCCCCTAGTTGAGGGTGGGATGAGGCTTCACCAGGCGGCTGCAGCTCCAGCTTGCGTATTGAAAGACATCCTGGGTTCAGGCAGCCGGATCCTCAGCAGCTCAGCCTTTCCCTGCCAGGCCTACAGGGACCCCAAGTCTCTGAGAAGGCGGTGGCCTGCCTGGGGAGCCCTGGGGCCTTGGAAAGAGACCCCCACAGCCCATCCCTCACCAGCGGTGGGACCTGGGGCAAAAGCCTTCGCCCTTCTGAGGGTCAGTGTCCTCTGTGAAATGGGCAGGTTGTAACAGGGCTCAAAGAAGGTGATGGGTGCCTCGAGGGCTGGTGTGGAGATTTGCAGGGGGCTAGTGATTTAAAATGGCAAACAATGTGTTCTGTTTCCTACCATCCCCACCCCACAAAAGCAGCTGGGTATGGAGACAGAGGGCCCAAACTGCCAGTTCAAAGGCCTGTGTGCCAGGTGTGAGGCAGAGAGGACCCAGGAGGGGCCAAGCGGGAGAATGAGGTTTCTCCTGCTAGCGAGAGGGAAGATGTAGTGAGCTGGAAAGGGAACCCGAGGGAGGGTCTGGTCGTGGAGGCAGGTGGAACTTTTCCTCCCTACCCCTCCTTGAGGCCAGTCCAGGGGGAAAGAAGGTGGGGTGGGGGAAGGGGTAGATGGAAAGGAAGGAAATACAGAGGAAGGGTGCCCCCGGGGAGTTTGGGGTATTTGAGGGAGAGGCAGATTGGCATCCTCCTCCCTAACTGGAGTTGCTGGGTTGCGTCTTTACAGACAAATCCAGCTCCATGGGTTGGGCAGCCCGATTTGGCAGATAAAAATGCAGGATGCAATTGCTGGGACATACTTATACTAAAACATTATTATTATTATTATTATTACTATTATTTTAGAGATGGGGTCTTGCTCTGTTGTCCAGGCTGGAGTGAAGTGGCACGAACATGGCTCATTGCAGCCTTGACCTCCTGGGCTTTATCAATTTTCTTGCCTCAGCCCCTCAAGTAGCTGGGACTACAGATGTGCGCCACCACACCCGGTTAATTTTTAAATTTTTATAGGGACGGTGACGGAGGTCTCGCTATGTTGCCCAGGCCGGTCTTGAATACCTGGCCTCAAGGGATCATCCATCTTGGTCTCCCAAAGTGTTGGGGTTACAGGCATGAGCCACCGTGCCCAGTCACTAAAACACTATTTGTTGGTTATCTGAAATTCAAATTTAACTGAATGCCCTGTGTTTTATCTGTCTTACCTACCCAGGGGGCCTGAGGAAGACAGGGCTGGAGAGTGCTGATGAGGTATTGCATGACCTGTGTATGGTGCAGAGGTGCTCCAGGAGTTTCTGCAGGCTCTGATAGGGATACAGAAGGTAGCTGGGAGGATGTGACCTTGTAGCTGACGGCTGGTCCCAAGCAGGCGTCAAGCAGGAGGCTTGAGAAGCCTTAGCAACAACAAAAATGAAGAGGAAAGCCTCCAAGCTGCAAGAGAAACCGCAGTGCTCCTGCAGGTGGGAGGTGGGGGGAGCAACCCATCAGCCACCCAGCTTTGTCCAAACTCTCTCCCCTCCCCCAGTCACCCAGCCACATTCGCGGGCTCCCACCCTGTGGCCTGGGGGCTGAGGCTCTCCCAGGGGCAAGTGAAGCAGAAGAAAGAACACCATGGCGGTCCTCAGAGAATGGCTGGGGCTTAGAATCTTCAATGCAACTGAACAACAACAACAAAAATCACCAATTTGGACTGAATTTACCCAAATATGTCTCAATGATATTGTCAGAGGTGGTGAAGGTTGGAGTCAAGAAAATTATACTTGGGCTGGGTGCAGTAGCTCACAGCTGTAATCTCAGCACTTTGGAAGGTCAAGGCAGGAAGATCACTTAAGCCCAGGGGTTCAAGACCAGCCTGGGCAGCATAGCGAGACCCCATCTCTACAAAAAATACAGAAATTAGCCGGGTGTGGTGGTGCACACCTGTAGTCCCAGCTACTCGGGGGGCTGAGGTGGGAGGATCGCTTGAACCTAGGAGGTTGAGGAGGCTATAGTGAACTATGATAGCATCACAGAACTCCAGCCTGGGTGACAGAGGGAGACCCTATCTCAAAAAAGAAAAGAAAAGCCTTGGCATGGTGGTTCATGCCTGTAATCTCAGCACTTTGGGAGGCCAAGGCAGGCGGATCACCTGAGGTCAGGAGTTTGAGACCAGCCTGGCCAACATGGTGAAACCCTGTCTCTACTAAAAATACAAAAATTAGCTGGGTGTGGTGGCGGGCCCCTGTAGTCCCAGCTACTCAGGAGGCTGAGGCAGGAGAATCGCTTGAACCTGGGAGGTGGAGGTTGCAGTGAGCCGAGATTGTGCCACTGCACTCCAGACTGGGCAACAAGATTGAAACTCCACCTCAAAATAAATAAATAAATAAATAAATAAATAAATAAATAATAAAATAAAATATAAAATAGGGTTATGCTGTTTTCTTCCACGCCGATACCCTGTGCCCTGTCCTATTTGCTCCATGTTGAGTGCCTGGCATGGCTCCTGACACCCAGTCCCCAGACACTGGGGCATGAGCAGGGCATTGAGGAGGACCTGAACACCCAGGGCAGGCACCCAGAGAAGTGCTCCTTGTAATGCAGACTCTGAAGTCACTGGCAGCGGGAGGTGAGAGCTGCTTGAACGTGGAAAGAAGTGCTGGCACTCGAAGGGGTCACAGTCACTTTTTCCTATTTACCCAACACTTCTCCAGCATTAACTGTGGCCTGCCCTGTCTTAACTGCTTTATAAATATCACTTTATTTATCTTTTTCCTTTATTTTAAAATTTGTTTTTAAGAGACACAGTCTTACTTCGTCACCCAGGCTGGAGTGCAGTGGTGTGATCATGGCTCACTGCTGTCTTGAACTGTTGGGCTCAAGGGATCCACCTGCCTAAGCCTCCTGCGTAGCTAGGACTACAGGCATGCGCCACCGCACCTGGCTAATTTTTTTTTTTTTTTTGAGACAGAATCTCGCTCTCTTGCCCAGGCTGGAGTGCAGTGGCATGATCTCGGCTCACTGCAACCTCTGCCTCCTGGGTTCAAGTGATTCTCCTGTCTCAGCCTCCCGAGTAGCTGGGACTACAAGTGTGTGCCACCGCGCCCAGCTAATTTTCTGTATTTTTAATAGGGACGGGGTCTCACCGTGTTAGCAAGGATGGTCTCAATCTCCTGACCTCAGATCTGCCCGCCTTGGCCTCCCAAAGTGCTAGGATTACAGGCGTGAGGCACTGCGCCTGGTCCACCTGGCTAATTTTAAAAATTGTTTTGCAGAGATGGGGTCTCACTTTCTTGCCAAGGCTCGTCTTGAACTCCTGGGCTCAAGTGATCCTCCTTTCTCAGACTCCCAAAGTGCTAAAATTATAAGTGTGAGCTACTGCGCCTGGCCCTTTTATTTTCATTAAAAAATTATTATTATTATTATTATTTAGATGGAGTCTCGCTCTGTGGCCCAGGCTGGAGTGCAGTGGCATGATCTTGGCTCACTGCAACCTCCGCCTCCCGGCTTCAAGCAATTCTCCTGCCTCAGCCTCCCGAGTAGCTGAGATTACAGGCACGCTCCACTAGGCTCGGCTAATTTTTTTGTATTTTTAGTAGAGATGCAGTTTCACCATATCGGCCAGGCTGGTCTGGAACTCCTGATCTTGTGATCCGCCCACCTCAGCCTCCCAAAGTGCTGGGATTACAGGCATGAGCCACTGTGCCCAGCAAAAAATTATTTTTTAGAGACAAGTTCTTGCTATGCTGCCCAGGCTGGAGTGCAGTTGCTATTCACAGGTGCAATCCCACTACTAATCAGCACGGGAGTTTTTGTTTGTGTGTTTGTTTGTTTGAGATGGAGTCTTGCTCTGTCACCCAGGCTGGAGGGCAGTGGCACGATCATGGCTCACTGTAGCCTCAAGCTCCTAGGCTCAAGCCATCCTCCTGCTTCAGCCTCCTTAGTAGGCTGGGACCACAAGTGTGTGGCAACACGCTCGGCTCATTTTTAAAGCTTTTGTAGAGATGGGGGTCTTGCTCTGTTGCCCAGGCTGGTCTTGAACTTCTGGTTTCAAAGGATCCTCCCACCTCAGCCTCCCAAAGAGCTGGGATTATAGGCATGAGCCACTGCACTCAGCCCCAGGTCTTTCATTCAATGAATAGGATGTATATTGAGATGGTCTCTGGGGCAGGCCCTGTGGCTGGGCTCTGAGGACAAGCATGGAAATGAGATGCTGGATGGACACTAACAATTACTATCCAACGTGATCAATGGTATAAAGAGCCGAGTTTACTGAGCGTTTACTATGGGCTAGGCCATGTTATAAGCACGTTGCCCTGCTCTTTCTTCGTCCTCACAGCAACCCCCTGAGATATCACTGGCCTCATTTTGAAGATGAGGAAACAGAGGCTCAGACAAGTTCAGTCATTTGCCTATGGTCACAGCAAGCAAATGGCAAATTTGGGATTCACACCTGGGAGCTCTAAGTGTAGGTCTATAGGGGCACATCCCAGAGGGCTTCCTGGAGGAGGTGACACTGCCCCCTGGAGTAGTACAGAAAGGGTAGTTGAGAGAAGGGGAAGGTGTCCTAAGCAGAGGGAACTGCCGATAAAGTCCGGGAGGTGACCAGCCTGGCACCCTGGAGGGGTTGCAGGTAGTTGTGGGGCTGGAGCTGGTGCAGTGCCTGGTCTAGGCTCCTCGGTGGTGGGCAGAGCTGGTGCCCACCCACTCCTTCCTCAGAGGGTGGTCCCTGCTTACCATTCTCAGGGGCTCTGGCTGGGCTGGGCGGAAGGGGCAGGACAGGACTCAGGGCAGGCAGGAGTCCGAGGCTGCAGGGAAGCCATGAAGGCACCATTGCACTCCAGCCTGGGTCACACAGCAAGAACCCATCTTAAAAAAAAAAAAAAGACCCAGGGCAGGACCCCACCTTGCCTGGCCCTTGGGACAGCGTTGAGGCAGGAGCACCAGTCATGGAGGGGCAGGATTGCATGATGAGTCTGCACAGGCTGCCTGAGTTTGCCACCTGCCCTGTCCTTTGCTGGCTCTGTGACCTCGGGCAAGTCACTCTCCCTCTCTGAGTCTCAGTTGCCCCATCTACAAAACAGACAAGAGCAGCTCCTGGGCTTTTGTGAGGATCAGATTTCTTAGCAGATGCAGAGGGCTTAGTGCAGGGCCTGGAAGTAAGTATCTGTGGTGTCAGCTCTTATTAGCACTGAGACAGCGACCGTCAGCAAGTTCTCTGCTTTCCTTAGGGGGAGGGGAGCCCGTGGCAGTTGCAGGGCTAGTGTACCCCCCGGCCACCCTGCAACACCTTGGGATCAGGCCTCGGCCCTTCCCTAGGGCCCAGCCCCGCCACACACTTGGGTCTGAGCCTACTGGGGGTGTCACAGGCAGCTCCCGGCAGCCGGGGGAGGGGTGGGAACCAAGAGAAGTGGTGACTAAGACGGGAACCTGAAATGCACTCACATGGAGGCCTCCCCCAGGGAGGTGGGTTTTCACTCTGCTCTGGTGGGTGACTCATGCGGGGGCAGGCACGGAAGGTGCCAGGACACAGGGGTGACGCGCATCCCTCCCAAGAAGCTGGTGGTGCAGTGGGTTGTGGAGGGCTGGTGGTGTCTCCCAGATTCTGGGGGCGGAGGGATAGACTCTGTGACTGGGAGGCCTGGAGTCAGAAAGATCTGGGTTCCAGTTCCAGCCCTGTTAGCTTTGTGACCTTGGGCAAGCAACTTCCCTTCTCTGTGCCTCAGTTTGCCGGTCTGTAGCATCAGGTTCATCTCACATCCACATCCCAGCACTGAGTCCATCCTATTGTGCTTTATTGGCTCTTGGCCACTCCCCTCCTCAAGAACCTGCACTGGCTCCACATTACCCAACAACGAAATGCAGCCCTTCTCTGTTAGGGGTGGTGAGAAGGGCCAAGGAGGAAACACATTTATGGAATATCTGCTCTGGGGCCTTGGGCTTATTTATTTATTTTATTATATTTTTTTAGGGTGGAGTCTTGCTATGTTGCCCAGGCTGGAGTGGAATGGTGCAATCTCAGCTCACTGCAATCTCCACCCCCCAGGTTAAAGTGATTCTCCTGCCTCAGCCTCCTGAGTATCTGGGATTACAGGTGCCTGCCATCCTGCCTGGCTTATTTTTATATTTTTAGTAGAGACAGGGTTTCACCATGTTGGTCAGGCTGGTCTCAAACTCCTGACCTCAAGTGATCCACACACCTCGGCCTCCCAAGGGAGGGGATTACGGATGTGGGCCACTGCACCTGGCCCTGGGCTTATTTGAACCCCACACAAACCTATTTTACTGCTGAGAAAGCCAGCTCCCTGCAGGTGTCCAAGTCACCCAGGGCCACTCTGGGGGCAAAGCTGGGCTTCAAACCCTTGTCCGTCCCTCTCCATCCCCCAGAGTCCATCTCTCTCCTGCCCACACAGCTTCAAATCCAGTCAATAAAATGGCAGGAGTTTAAATGTGAGCATGTTTTTATTACAAAGAAGAATAAAAGAGAAAAGCAGAGAAAACTACCAATTGCTCTTCAGGGTCTCACCTCCTCGCAGGTAACATATGGTGACAATGTCTGGCTTACTCCTGAGTGCTGACACCAGAAGACAGCTGTTAAGAAGAGGTGGTGGGTGTCCCCTCCCCCTTGCCCTTTTAGCCAAGCTGAACCTTGGTGACACTATGAGTAAGTTATAAACGTACCTTAACTCGGCTCTGGGGTCTTCATTCTGTGCCTCCTAACTTACATGTATGTTACATGCCATTTTGTGTGCACAAAATTGTTTGTAGAGGCACCAACCCCTGACGGTTTCAAAGATGAGTCCAGCGGATCATCAGATAAAGTGAAACGAATAATGGGAATTCCAATGTTAGCTAAACTATTCTAGGTTATAGAAAAAGAAACTATTGGATTTTTTTTATGAAGGCAGCATGACCTTCCTAGAAAAATCTCATAAACATAGTAGGCCGGGCACGGTGGCTCATGCTTGTAATCCTAGCCTATGGAAGGCCGAGGAGGATGGATCACCCGAGGTCAGGAGTTCGAGACCAGCCTGGCCAACATGGTAAAACCCTGTCTCTACTAAAAATACAAAAATTAGCCGGGCATGGTGGCAGGTGCCTGTAATCGCAGCTACTTGCTATTCAGGAGGCTGAGGCAGGAGAATCGTTTGAACCCAGGAGGTGGAGGTTGCAGTGAGCCAAGATCACGCCATTGCACTCCAGCCTGGGTGAGAGAGTGAGACTCCCTCTCAAAAAAAAAAAAAAAGGAAAATCTCACAAACATAGTAAACCAACAAGCAAATTACAACAAGAACAAAAAAACCAAAAACAAGCCAAGAAGAGGAGGTTGAAGATTAATTATTTGGGTGTAAAAATTCTAAATAAAATGTTAATAAAATACAATTATATATCCAAAGGTAACATATCTTGAGCAGTTTACTTCAGGAATGATCAAGTACGGTAATTGATCAATATAATTGCATAGGGAAAGTACAATGTGATCACATCAATTGGTGTTGAGAAGTCAGCTGGAAAATTCAACAGCTTTTTCTAAAAAAAGAAAAACAAGGCCAGCCGCAGTGGCTCATGCCTGTAATCCCAGCACTTTGGGAGTCCAAGGCGGGTGGATCACGAGGTCAGGAGATTGAGACCTCAATCTGGCTAGCACAGTGAAACCCCGTCTCTACTAAAAATGCAAAAAATTAGCTGGGCGTGGTGGCGGGTGCCTGTAGTCACAGCTACTCGGGAGGCTGAGGCAGGAGAACGGTGTGAACCCAGGAGGTGCCTGTAATCCCAGCATTTTGGGATGATCGTTTGAGCCCAAGAGTTTGAGACCAGCCTGGGCAACATAATGAGTCTCTGTCACTACAAAAAAAAAAAAATTAGCTTGGCAGGTGGTGCATGCCTTTGGTCTCAGCTACTCGGGAGGCTGAGGTGGGAGGATCACTTGAGCCTGGGTGGTTGGGGCTGCAGCAAGCTGTGATTGTGCCACTGTACCACTCCAGCCTGGGTGACAGAGCAAGATCCTGTCTTAAAATAAAATAAAAATAAAAACATAAACTACCTAAATATCATGAAGTTTCTTTGCTAAAACTTAACAGAAAAAATCACTCTAAATACGAAAGCCATTTCCTTTAAAATCACAACAAAATGGTGTTTTGGAGGCTCTATTACATATGCCAGAACAAGAACAAAAATAAATACTACTGAAATAAAAGAGAGAATTTGTGTGTGTGTCTGTGTATGTGTGTGTGTGTTTTGAGATGGAGTCTCACTCTGTCCCCCAGGCTGGAGTGCAGTGGTGCAATTTCGTTTCATTGCAGCCTCCACCTCCTAGGTTCAAGTGATTCTCCTGCCTCAGCTTCCCAAGTAGCTAGGATTACAGGCATGCGCCACCACGGCTGGCTAATTTTTGTATTTTTAGTAGAGATGAGGTTTCACCGTGTTGGCCAGGCTGGTCTCAAACTCCTGACCTCAAGTTATCTGTCCGCCTCGGCCTCCCAAAGTGCTGCGATTACAGGCATGAGCCACTGCACCTGACTGAAAAGAGATAATTTGATATTGTAAGAATTCATTGGCTAGAAGTAGAAAAAGGAACCTATTTCATTCACATATTGCTTAGGGGATGCTTTGAAGAGGGAAGGTGCAGGGCCTCTATGAAGAAAAACATGTCAAGGACAAAGAGTTAGAGGCTAACATAAGAAAATGGGAGATTTGCCGGGCGTAGTAGCTCACACCTGTAATCCCAGCACTTTGGGAAGCTAAGGAGGGTGGATCACCTGAGGTCAGGAATTCGAGATCAGCCTGGACAACATGGTGAAATCCTGTCTCTGCTAAAAATACAAAAAGTAGCCAGACGTGGTGACGGGCTCCTGTAATCTACTAGGGAGGCTGAGGCAGGAGAATCACTTGATCCTGGGAGGTGGAGGCTGCAGTGAGCCGAGACTGCACCACTGCACTCCGGCCTGGGCATGAGAGCGAGACTCTGTCTTAAAAAAAAAAAATTCTCAGAAGAAAATTTAGGAAACTATATATATATATATAATGTGGAAATTGTGGAAAATATTTGTTATTTTTGTTTTTGAGACAGAGTCTTAGCCTGTTGCCCAGGCTGGAGTGCAGTGGTGTGATCTTGGCTTGCTGCAACCTCTACCTCCTGGGTTCAAGTGCTTCTCTGGCCTCAGCCTCCCGAGTAGCTGGGATTACAGGCATGCACCACCATGCCTGGCTAATTTTTGTATTTTTAGTAGAGACGGGGTTTTACCATGTTGGCCAGGCTGGTCTTGAACTCCTGACCTCAGGCAGTCTGCCCACCTCGGCCTCCCAGAGTGCTGGGATTACTGGTGTGAGCCACCATGCCCAGGCGGGAAATTTTTAAACCAATAAAAGAAGCCCAGAAGTCACCAAGAATCTTTTAGATGAATCTTTGTTAAAATTGGAGGAAAAAATTATGGGAAAATATTGTAAGCAAAGTTAAAGGGTGACTTGGATTTGCCAATATGGCAAATGAACAGCCTGTATCTGTGGTGCATAGACAGGCCTTGCAGACTGTCAGCAAAAAGACAAACAGTATGAAAGAAAAACGGCCAAGAGGAGGAAGCGCAGGCAATTCACAGAGGAGCAAATTTAAATAGCAAATAAATAAGCAAAAAATGTTCAGCCTCATTAGTAACCAGGGAAACACAAATTGAAGGACCAATGAGGTAGCACTTTATACCCATCAGGTAAGCAAAAATTAAAGAGCTAATGGAGTTTCAGGGGAAGCATAGTCATATATTGCTGGTGAAAATGCAAACCCCAGTGGGCATTTTAGAAATGAGTCTGAAAAGATTCAACAAAAAAAAATTTTTTGCAAGGTCTCAGAAGATACTCCATTTATTTATTTATTTATTTATTTATTTATTTATTTATTTATTTATAGAGATGGAGTCTCACCCTGCCACCCAGGCTAAAGTGCAGTGGCATGATCTTGGTTCACTGCAACCTCTGCCTCCCAGGTTCAAGCGATTCTTCTGCCTCAGCCTCCCGAGTAGCTGGGAATACAGGTGTGTGCCACCGCACCTGGCTAATTTTTGTATTTTTAATAGAGACAGGGTCTTACCATGCTGACCAGTCTGGTCTTGAACTCCTGACCTCAAGTGATCTGCCTGCCTTGGCCTCCCAAAGTGCTTCGATGACAGGTGTTTTTTTTTTTTTTTTGAAAGCAAGGTTATTAAGAAAGTAAAGAAATAAAAGAATGGCTGCTCCATAGGCAGAGCAGCCAAAAGTTACTTCTGATGCATTCTTTAACTGGGTAACTATAGGAGAATGCACTCGACCAAAACAAGAAAACAAGCCAAGTAAGAGGAACATAATGGCATCTAGGAACAGGAGATTCAACATATGGAAGAGGGGAAGGGAGGTGGGGCGGGGTGGCTCACGCCTGTAATCTCAGCACTTTGGGAGGCCAAGGTAGGCGGATCACCTGAAGTCAGGGGCTTGGGACCAGCCTGGCCCACGTGGTGTAACCCCGTCTCTACTAAAAATACAAAAATTAGCTGGGCGTGGTGGCACACACCTGTGAGCCCAGCTACTCGGGAGGCTGAGGAAGAAGAATCGCTTGAACCCGCGAGGTGGAGGTGGCAATGAGCCGAGACTGCCCCACTGCACTCTAGCCTGGATGACAGATTGAGACTCTGTCTCAAAAAAGAGAAGAAAAAAAAAAAAAGAGGGGAAGGGTCTCCTTGGGGAAAGGATGAGATGAGAAAGACCCCGCGGTGACACCGTGCAGAAGGCCTGGGCAGGAGTGCATTCATATTGGAGCATGGCAGGAGGCACCAGCAGAGATTTTTTTCCAAGAAAATGAAATTCACAAACCACTTAATCTAAGTGAACACCTTGAGAAATGATATAAACAACTGATGGAGAGATTTGGGTTGAGTTAATAAGCACATCGAATATGCTAAGCAAATGAAAAAAACGAAAATGACTAACCCATGGAAAACAAAAATTGTGCAGAAAGGAAAGGTAATAATAATTTATTATATAGCTTAGCTCTGAGTTGAGTTTACATGTCATAATAATATTTGCTAAGATTTTTGGATGGGTAGTTTAGTTTTTCATCAAATTTAGGATGCTTTCAGTCATTACGTGTTTATTATTATTATTTTTTGATAAATAATAATAGGCCCCAAACATCGTGGGGCCTGATTCTTCCTCTTTGTTCCAATGGCCCTGGGTGACTCAAGTGCCCATTCAATGACCAGGACACAGAGGTCTTAGAGAGATGCTCCATGAGGCCCCAGGTGTGAGCCTGTACCCTGCCGGAGCATGAGGCAAGGGACAGGGCATCGTCTGTGGGGATAGTGGGGGTAGTGGTCAGCCAGGCTTGGTGACTCTACTTGCTCACCAGATGATCCTACACCTGCCACCTCCGATGGATCCACTGCCTCTGTGCCTGCCTGTACTGCTGATGCTCCAGTGGATAACTCAGCATCCCAGCCTAGGCCCAATGCCACTGAAGATGGACCTGCACCCTGGGGACCCAGGAGTCCTACCACTCAGCTGTCCCCAGGAGTGCCCAGACCCTCATTCTTATCCAGGACCTAGGAGCCCTACCCCCTGGCCTTCCGTCATCAGCCGTAAATGATGATATACTGCTGTTACCATCATCACTGCCTTCAGTGACCAAGGGCCTTCCAAGGTGCCAGCTCTGGAACGAAGGATGCCCTTGGGAGGTGATGACACTCAGGTACACGGGTGCTCAACAGATTGCTTCCTCCTATCCTCAGATGGTCTTTGCATGCATGCAGCCATTGGCACTCCCATTGTACGCAAGGAAACCAGCCCAGGGTCACACAGCTGGTCAGCAGCAACACAGCTGGTCTCAAATCTAAGGTGCCTGGCCATGCCTCCATGAGGGACCGCCTGCAAGGGAGGTTGATCTTGGCTTTGGGGAGCCTTTCCTGGGCTGCACGAGTAACCTCCAATGTTCGAGGCCCCAAACTCTGCTCACATCTTCCTTTCCCTGTCTCTGCTTGGGCTATGATCACGGTGACTCTAGCAACCCTTCATGGACATTATAGTACTCTCTGCCATTCACTTTTGGTCTAATCTGACTTCAACCCCCACTTACTTGGTCTCTCCTTTTACAACCAACACAACCGAAATCCGAGGGCTTCTTTTTTTTTGAGACAGAGTCTCACTCCATTCTGTCACCCAGGCTGGAGTGCAATGGCACGATCTCGGCTCACTGCAACCTCCACCTCCCGGGTTCAAGGGATTGTCCTGCCTCAGCCTCCTGAGTAGCTGGGATTACAGGCGGGTGCCACCGTGCCTGGCTAATTTTTGTATTTTTAGTAGAGACGGGGTTTCACCATGTTGGTCAGGCTGGTCTCGAACTCCTAACCTCGTGATCCGCCGGCCTCAGCCTCCCAAAGTGCTGGGATTACAGGCGTGAGCCACCATGCCCAGCCAAATCTAGGGCTGGAACATGGCTGCAGCATATAAATAGAATTGAATTCCATAGTTTTGTTAACCCTGTTTTTTGTTTGTTTGTAGTTGTTGCTGTTTTTGAGACAGAGTCTCGCTCTGTCGCCTAGGCTGGAGTGCAGTGGTGCAATCTCGGCTCACTGCAGACTCTGCCTCCCGGGTTCAAACTATTCTCCTGCCTCAGCCTCCCAAGTAGGTGGGACTAAGGCGCCCACCACCACACCCGGCTAATTTTTGTATTTTATTAGAGACAGGGTTTCACCATATTGGCCAGGCTGGTCTGGAACTCCTGACCTTGTGATCCGCCCACCTCGGCCTCCCAAAGTGCTGGGATTACAGGCGTGAGCCACCACACCCAGCCCCTGTTTTGTTTTTGTTTTGCTTGTTTCTTAGGGTTGTTTTTCTATTTATGGTAAAGGCATTGGCTTTCCATTTGTAGCATCAATAGAATATTTCCTGTTTACAATAACCTTATGTCATAGTAAATGGTAAAGGGATTTAAAGCAGTGGTTTTCAGCTGCCAGAGGCCTGAGTGAGTTTGGGCACACTCTGTGTGATCAGGCAGAAGGCCTGTGGGAAGTTTAGCTGAGGACAGGGTCAGGAAAGGTGATGGACAGTGGGGGTCTGTCCTGGTCACCAGACCCCTGGGTCCTGCCCACCTGCTTGGAGCTCCCCACCCATCACACATGATGCTGCCAAGCCCTCTGGGTATTGTGGGCAAATACCTTAGGAGAGAAGCTGATGAACTTTGTTTCTTGAAATGCACAGATTCCTTGGACATCCCTGAGAGGTCAGTCATGAAGGTCAACTTGGTTTTCTCCCCCTCATTTGGGTTCAGAATTTAAAGTCCACACACACAGGCAGTAAGATGATATAGATAAGGACATCATCACTCGGTTTCGGATGTTAAAATGTCTAGGTGGGTTAGGGGTGATTTGAGATCACACAACCTTGTGCCACAAAGAGGAATTCCCAGGTCAGAGGGAGACATTTTATTGCCATGTTATGATCTTATCATTGAGTTGAAAGGCAATCTTGTTTCATTTTGGATTCTTTCTTATGTTTATGTCTTATAAGGGCACTTTGAATTTCCAAGCAAATAATAATTTTGAATTGGCTTTTAATCATTGACTTCTAGCACAGTTATATGATCAGAAACGTGCTGTGTGATTTGATTGCTCTCAAATATATTGAGATTTGCTGGAACAAAATAAGTCAGGTTAATTTTTGTAAATGTACCATGCATGCTTAAAATGAATGTATCTACATTTGTTCCTGAGATACAGGTTGATGGACGGATGGCTACATGGATGTGATGGAGATGGTTTACTATCAGGACCTTCCGCATCCTGCTGATGTTTTGTTGCTTAGGATATGAATGGCTGAGCGGAGGCTGTAAAACCTGGCACTCTGCTTGGGTATGAGGTTCTTCCTGCCATCCTGCCATCATTTGTTTTTTATGTTTTGTCGCCAAAAGTGACCTTGAGGAACCCTGGGAGCTCAGGAAGGAAGGAGCGCCCAGAAGCAGGGACAGGGAGCTGGTTGGGGAGGACCAGAAATCAGGTTTGTGAAGGTTCCAGAGAGGACCTGTCCTTGCGAGGAGTGTGGGAGACTGAGATGGGGGAGGGGTCATTGGAATGATGCGGGCGCTACTTGGCATTGTCCATTGTGAGGCACCACCGGGGTCATCAGGGATTGGTGGAGAGGGAGTATAAAGCCCCAGGTTTGCTAAGGGAGGGCCCAGACCGAAGAAGGTTTGGCGGATAGCAGAACCTTTTTGTCTCCCTCTGATTGCTCCTAAGCCTCACGCTCCCTTGCCCCGCGTGTCCTGTTGCTTCCCTGATCTTCTCCGTGACCTGTAGCTAAACCTTCCACCAGCGCTTGAGAACTTAATTTGAACCGGATCCTTTCCCAGACCCCTTTCTTCTTCTCCTCCTCCTCCTCCACCTCCTCCAGGTGCCCAACAGCCCCCTTCTCCTTTCCCTTCCCCTCCCCCTCCCCTTCCCCTCCCCCTCCCCTTCCCCTCCCCTTCCCCTCCCCCTCCCCTTCCCCTCCCCCTCCCCTGCCCCTCCCCAACTCAGATCCGCCCCGGTCCCCGTCCCCTTCCCTCCCCCCTGCCCTAAGCCACCTCCACCTCTGTCCTGGCCGCCTCAGGGCGCCCTGAAAGGACCAGGACATGCGGCTGCGCTTTTGGCTCCTCATTTGGCTCCTGCTGGGATTTATCAGCCATCAGCCCACCCCTGTGAGTAGACGCTGGACCCGCGGGGTTTCTTCCTTTTTACTGGGCTGTGTCACGCGGCATGAAATTACACAGCTCAGGCCTGTAATCCCAGCACTTTAGGGGGCCGAGGTGGGCAGATCACTTGAGTCCAGGAGTTGAAGACTAGCCAGGGCATCATGGCGAAACCCCATCTCTACAAAAAATTCCAAAAAAGATTAGTCGGGCCTGGTGGTGCGTACCTGTTATCCCAGTTACTGGAGAGGCTGAGGTGGGAGGATCGCTTGGGCCCAGGAGCTGGACGTTGCAGTGAGCTGAGATGGCCCCGCTGCACTCTTGTCTCTAACAAACAAAATGGACCAAAACAAAGTGAAATGTCATTTGATTTGTGTCATCTGGTTTGATGACTTTTTTTTTTTTTTTTTTTTAGACAGAGTCTCACTCTGTCGCCCAGGCTGGAGTGCAGTGGCAAGATCTCGGCTCACTGCAACCTCCGCTTCCGGGGTTCAAGCAATTGTCCTGCCTCAGCCTCCTGAGTAGCTCAGATTACAACGCCTGGCTAATTTTTGTGTTTTTAGTAGAGACGGGGTTTCACCATGTTCGCCAGGATAGTCTCCATCTCTTGACCTCGTGATCTGCCTGCCTCGGCCTCCCAGTGCTGGGATTACAGGCGTGAGCCACCGCGCCTGGCCAAAATATATAACCTTAAGTGTAAGTTTACTAACTTTGGAAAGTACATACACCAGCATAAACCGACCCCCTTTCAAGATCTACATTATTTTATTTATTTATTTATTTATTTATTTTGAGACAGTTTCTCCCTTGTTGCCCAGGCTGGAGTGCAATGGGGCAATATCAGCTCACCGCAACCTCTGCTTCCCAGGTTTGAGCGATTCTCCTGCCTCAGCCTCCCGGGTGGCTGGGATTACAGACATGTGCCACCACTCCCAGCTAATTTTGTATTTTTAGTAGAGATAGGGTTTCTCCATGTTGGTCAGGCTGGTTTTGAACTCCCGACCTCAGGTGATCCGCCCGCCTCGGCCTCCCAAAGCGTTGGGATTACAGGCGTGAACCACCGTGCCCAGCCAAGATCTACACTATTATGTCACCCCAGAAAGTGAACTCTCACTCTTCCCAGCCAGTCTCTTTCTTATCATAGGTTAGCTTGCTTATTCTGGAATTTTGCGTATACAGATGCATGCCATGCCATAGGTACTCTTTTGTGTCTGCTTTGTTCTGCTCAACACCATGTTTCTGAAATCATTACCATTGTTGTATGGTTCTCTAACTCCATCATTTCCATTTCAGACTCAGCATATGCTGAGTTCAACCTGTTGAAGGGCTATCTCTGTTTAATTCACCATCTTGAAAGAAACATTTAAAATTGAGATGTTTTCAAGAATATATAGTTAAATCCTGAGGAATCGACGTAGAAATGTTATCACAAGCTGTCTGAACTTACTCAGGGGAAGTCTTCGTCTTCACTCACATAAGAGTCTAATGGAATTAATATCAACAATCTTAGAGAAATCCCACACTATTCATGCCATTTTCATGATCTCCACCTTGGTAATTTTTTTTTTTTTTTTTTTTTTTTTTGAGACAGAGTCTCGCTCTGTCACCCAGGCTGAAGTGCAGTGGTGCGATCTCGGCTCACTGCAACCTCTGCCTCCCGGGTTCAAGTGATTCTTCTGCCTCAGCCTCCCAAGTAGCTGGAACTATAGGCACGTGCCACCATGCCCTGCTAATTTTTTGTAATTTTAGTAGAGATGGGTTTCACCGTGTTAGCTAGGATGGTCTCAATCTCCTGATCTCGTGGTCCACCCACCTCGGCTTCCCAAAGTGCTGAGATTGCAGGCGTGAGCCACCACACCCGGCCCACCTTGTTAATTTTTAAGCACTAAAATTTGATACTTATTTGTGAATGAAGTAATCTCTTCATTGTATTTTTTTTTTTTTACTTATGCTGAGCTTCAAATGACAAAGATTCATATAATCCAAGAGAGAAGTATTATTTAGAGGGATTCTTTTACCATGTGATATATAATAAATGCATCCAATGTTATACATCAATTTAAAAAACAAGTAAATAACTTTAAAGAAAAGATAACTACTGGCCAGGTGCAGTGGCTCACACCTGTATTCCCAGCACTTTGGGAGGCCGAGGCAGGTGGATCAAGAGGTCACGAGTTGGAGACCAGCCTGGCCAAGATGGTGAAACCCTGTTTCTACTCAAAATACAAAAATTAGCCGAGTGCGGTGGCAGGCGCCTGTAATCCCAGTTACTCAGTAGCTGAGGCAGGAGAATCGCTTGAACCCGGGAGGCGGAGGTTGCAGTGAGCTGAGATCATGCCACTGCAATCTAGCCTGGGTGACAGAGCAAGACTTTGTCTCCAAACAAAAAGAAAAGATAATTACTTTATACTTAGCTTGTCTTAGCCATGAGTGACGGGCTGCATGTGGCCCAGGACAGTTTTGAATGCAGTTCAACACAAATTTGTAAACTTTCTTAAAACATTAGGAGATTTTGGCCAGGTACAGTGGCTCATGCGTGTAATCCCAGCACTTTGGGAGGCTGAGGCGGGCAGATTACCTGAGGTCAGGAGTTCGAGACCACCCTGGCCAACATGGCAAAACCCCATCTCCACAAAAAATACAAAAATTTGCTGAGTGCATTGTCAGGCACCTGTACTCCCAGCTACTCAGGAGGCTGAGGCAGGAGAATCACTTGAACCTGAGAGTCAGAGGTTGCAGTGAGCCGAGAGCACGCCACTGCACTCCAGCCTGGGTGACAGAGTGAGACCCCATCTCAAAAACAAAACACCAAACAAAAACAAAAACAAAAAAAAATGGCTGGGCACGGTGGCTCACACCTGTAATCCCAGCACTTTGGGAGGCCGAGGCAGGCAGATCGCCTGCCAGGAGTTCAAGGCCAGACTGGCCAACATGGTGAAACCTCATCTCTACTAAAAATACAAAAATGAGTCGGGCATGGTGGCAGAGACCTGTAATCTCAGCTACTCGGGAGGCTGAGGGAGGAGAATGGCTTGAGCCCAGGAGCTGGAGGTTGCAGTGAGCCGAGATTGCACCACTGCACTCCAGCCTGGGCGACTGAGTGGAGCGGAACTCTGTCTCCAAAAAAAAAAAAAAAAAGAGTTTTTTTTTAGATCATCAGCTATTGTTAGTGTTAGTGTATGTTATGTGTGGCTCAAGACAACTTTGTTTCTTTTAATATAGGCAGGGAAGTGAAAAGATTGGATATCCCTGCTTTATACCAAGAAAGACAACACCCCACATTTGCAATGCCTAAAAACACTACCAGCCATCTGAAAAACATGAGACTTCTAACTTCTGTTCTTTTTTGTAGCAGTGGAATCCCACGGTGATATCTGAGGGATGTGGTTACCTTTTGGAGGAGGTTGACGGTTTCTAAGGATGATTCTTTCTGAGTGAAATATTGTCGGTGTCATTGACCTTTTCATTATTTCAACTATTATTATTCCAGGTTATCAATAGTCTGGCTGTCTATCGTCATCGTGAGACTGACTTTGGTGTAGGAGTTCGAGACCACCCTGGCCAACATGGCAAAACCCCATCTCCACAAAAATTGGATAATTTGATAATTATCATTATTGGGTTTCTGAGACGTTACACATTTAACATTCTCTTCTGCACAAGTTGCCTTTGTGTGAGTATACTAACTTTCTGTAGAGGTATACTTGTAATCACAAATAAGAATAAATTATATAAAACAATTCACGTTTCTGGACTTCATTATGAATATGTGGTTTTACCCAAAAAATCAGGGAAATGATTTATTAGCATAAGAATTATGAAAATGTCTGCCATTTACATTATGAAAATTAAATAGGTCGGTGTTTGTTTAATAGAATGTCAACAGAGCTTTTGGTCAAAAATAAGTTTTTTTAGCCTTTGTGCTATTTATCACAAATGGAGTATGAGGTTTCGTCACTTAAATAGGAAATTCTTTCTAAACTCTTCTGCTTTATAGTTCTATCGTATGGGTGGAAGGAAAGCTTCCAATCTCCTCTCTGAAGATTCACTGCAGAAATGAGCTGACAACAGACAGCTTAACAGGAAAAGGAAAACATAGAACAGGCATAAACATGGGAACCAGCTGAAAAATGAGACTGCTAGAAGGGCCGGATGGTTGATGCTTAAAGAGCACCCTCTTCTGAGGGGAGAGGGAGATAGATGGAGATGTAGGCCATTTAGAGGGGCAGCAAATGATTTTTAGGGGAAATGAAAGAGGCCAAGGAACAAACAATTGGCCTGAGACAAAGTTCCTCTGAGGTCATAGGGACGAGGTGACAAACTGCCGGAAGGTGAAGGGCAGAACTGCACTGCGTCTCATGATGCAGAGAAAGCCCCAGAGAATCTCTTAGAACTGCCCTCCAAGAGAATCAATGAAAAGTGTGTCTGGGCAGGGTAATTTTGAATGACATCATTCAAAGTGCATGTTCCCACTTGCAACTGGAGAGAGATCAGTATGTCAAAAGTCTGTACTTGGTAAGAATTTGGCTGCTAAGTTGTGCCATAATTTGTCTTTTGAGCCTTTTTTCCTTTGGGTAAGTTGAGCTCTACATTTTGTCTTGCCATTCATGACAGTAAAAATGTGGTTTTCTGGGGGCTGAACCTCCTGAACAATGATCCAAGATAAAAGTACTAATACCACAATGCTTTTTTATATTCAAGGGAAGAGGAAGTATGTTTCAGTTTTACCACCTAGATAATTACACGTCATTTGGCACTGCCTTTCAAGATATGTAGAAAACAGAAAATATATGAGTTATGAAGATATCTAGGCACACTTAACATTCTCTATGCCACTTAGTCCTGAACAGAGAATTTTCGGTATAAATTGGAGGAAGCTTTTTTTTTTTTTTTCTTTTCTCACCCCCGAGACGAGTCTCCCTCTGTTGCCCAGGCTGGAGTATAATGGTGTGATCTCGGCTCACTGCAACCTCCACCTCCTGGCTTCAAGTGATTCCCCTGCCTCAGCCTCTCAAGTAGCTGGGATTACAGGTGCCCACCACCATGCCCAGCAAATTTTTGTATTTTTAGTAGAGTCGGGGTTTTACCATGTTGGCCAGGCTAGTCTCAAAACCCGACCTCAAATGATCCACCCGCCTCAGCCTCCCAAAGTGCTGGGATTACAAGCGTGAGCCACCACGTGAGCCAGGGGAAGTTTTTAAATTTACCACTTTTTAACAGTTCCATTTAGGAAAGTTCAGTTGAGCTGCTGGACTTGGACAACTTCGCACCTCTCATCTTTGTCCTTGTCATCTAGTCATCTATACCATTACCTCCTAAGCAGGGACATCATGGGTGCCATGAAGCATTCATGCGTGATGGCATTTCTTTGCTTGTCATTTCTTCATGTGTTTGACATTTCTCCTAGCTCCAAACTGGGCCAGCTACCTTTCCTATGAAATCTAGTAGTAGCTGTGGGATTGACGTGGTTGCTCTTTTCATCTTTTTAGATTACCCATTGCTTCTCTCGAAATCCTAGTACATGATTTTTTTTTTATCCTATGTGCAGAAATCAGGAAAAAACAAATTCTACAAAGAATTTGAAAGATATTATTTCAGGCCAGGTGTGGTGGCTCATGCCTGTAATCCCAGCACTTTGGGAGGCTGAGGCAGGTGGATGACTTGAGGTCAGGAGTTCAAGACCAGATGGGCCAACATGGTGAAACCCCATCTCTACTAAAAAGACAAAAATTAGCCAGGCATGGTAGCAGGCACCTGTAATCCCAGCTACTTGGGAGGCCGAGGCACAAGAATCGCTTGAATCTGGGAGGTGGAGGTTGCCGTGAGCCAAGGTAGTGCCACTGCACTTCAGCATGGTTGAGAGTGACACTCCATCTCAAGAAAAAAGTCATTTCAATGACTACCTCAGGAGATTCATAGGTATCTGACCCACATCTGAGATGGGATTTGCATTGCATTTTCGCTATGATGAGAACAAATATTTAATATCTTAGAAGATTAAAAGCATACTGTGATAATATGGAAATCTTGGTGGGAATTCAGTCATTAGTGAGAATGTTTTGCGTTAAGTTCAAACCAGCCTCAATGAAGCTGATGTGAGGGAAGGGAAAGTGAACTCTGAGTAGAGCAGGGACAGAAGGAAGATGCTCCAGTGCAGATCAGGAAGGAGCAGGGGGTGAAATGTTACAAATTCTAGAACTCAGAGAGCTGAAGGTAATTACTTCCTTTTCAAGTTGTGAAACATGTTAACCTGTGGGAAAATACTTATAAGATGATAATTACCATCTAACCGTGTTGAAGTGTACAGTTCAGTTGTGTGAAGTATATTCATGTCATTTTTTTTTTTTTTTTTGAGACGGAGTCTCACTCTGTCACCAGGCTGGAGTGCAGTGGTGGGATCTTGGCTCACTGCAACCTCTGCCTCCTGGGTTCAAGCAGTTCTCCTGCCTCAGCCTCCCGAGTAGCTGGGACTACAGGCGTGCATCACCATGCTCAGCTAATTTTTGTATTTTTAGTAGAGACGGGGTTTCACCATGTTGCCCAGGATGGTCTCCATCTCTTGACCTTGTGATTCACCCGCCTCAGCCTCCCAAAGTGCTGGGATTACAGGCGTGAGCTACCGCACTTGGGCTATTTTTTTTTTTTTTTTTTTTTTTTTTTTTTTTTGAGACAGAGTTTCAATTTTGTTGCCCAGGTTTGGAGTGCAATGGCACAATCTCAGCTCACCACAACCTTTTCCTGCTGGGTTCAAGTGATTCTCCTGCCTCAGCCTCCTGACTAGCTGGGACTACAGGCATGCACCACCATGCCTGGCTAATTTTGTATTTTTAGCAGAGACAGCGTTTCTCCATGTTGGTGAGGCTGGTCTCAAACTCCCGACCTCAGGTGATCCGCCTGCCTCGGCCTCCCAAAGTGCTGGGATTACAGGAGTGAGCCACCGTGCCAGCCTCATGTCATTCTCGTGTGTGTGTGTGTGTGTGTGTGTGTGTGTGACAGAGTCTCATTCTGTCGCTCAGGCTGGAGTACAGTGGTGTGATCTCGGCTCACTGCAACCTCCGCCTCCCAGCTTCAAATGGTTCTCTGCCTCAGCCTCCCGAGTAGCTTGGATTACAGGCGCCCGCTGCCATGCCTGGCTAATTTTTGTATTTTTAGTAGAGACAGGGTTTCACCATCTTGGCCAGGCTGGTCTTGAACTCCTGACCCCGTGATCCACCTGCCTCAGCCTCCCAAAGTACTGGGATTATTTATACGCATGAGCCACCGTGCCCAGCCGTCATTCTTATATTATTATTTCCTAGGTGTCTCTCCTGAAGACTATCTTCTGGTCTCGAAATGGACATGATGGATCCACGGATGTACAGCAGAGAGCCTGGAGGTCCAACCGCAGTAGACAGAAAGGTATGGCTCTGTTGGAGTCCCCATAGTGTGGAAATGAGTTTGCCCTGGAAAGGGAAAGAACAGCTTCTTGACCTCAGGTTTCTCACCTTCTCCTCTCCTCACTCTCACCAAGGGCTGAGGTCCATTTGTATGCACACAAAGAAAAGAGTTTCTTCCTTTCGAGGAAATAAAATTGGCCTGAAAGACGTCATTACTCTACGGAGGCATGTGGAAACAAAAGTTAGAGCTAAAATCCGTAAGAGGAAGGTGACAACGAAAATCAACCGTCATGACAAAATCAATGGAAAGAGGAAGACCGCCAGAAAACAGTAAGATGTGCCTTGACACAAATACTGTTGTATGAACCATGTGCCAATCAAAGTAGACAACTGTAAAGTCCTTGAGAATATTTTCTACAATATTTGTGGCAAATTCAGTGGGCTCAAAATTGAGTTTGTCCTTTCTGCTTCATTAGTTTAAGCTGTATAATTCCTTTCCCTTCCTACATTCTTGTTTGTAATTTTTTCGGGGGAAGAGGAGTTGCTAGTACTGGCATTGGTTTTCCTTTCTCTCTCTTTTTTTTTTTTTCCTGAGATGGAGCTTTGCTGTTGTTGCCCAGGCTGTAGTGCAATGGCACAATCTCAGCTCACTGCCTTTTGGCTTCAAGCAATTCTCCTGCCTCAGCCTCCCAAGTAGCTGGGATTACAGGTGCCCACCACCACGCCCAGCTAATTTTTGTATTTTTACTAGAGATGGGGTTTCACCATGTTGTCCAGGCTGGTCTCGAACTTCTGACCTCAGGTAATCCACCTGCCTCAGCCTCCCAAAGTGCTGGGATTAGAGGTGTGAGCCACCACACCCAGCCTTTTTTTTTTTTTTTTTTTAATTTTGAGATAGAATCTCGCTCTGTCGCCCAGGCTGGAGTGCTATGGTGCAATCTTGGCTCACTGCAACCTCTGCCTCCCAGTTTGAAGCAATTCTGCCTCAGCTTCCTGAGTAGCTTGGATTACAGGTGTGTGCCACCACATTCGGCCAATTTTTTTTTTTTTTTTTGAGACAGAGTCTCACTCTGTCACCCAGGCTAGAGTGCAGTGGCATGATCTTGGCTCACTGCAACCTCCGCCTCCCAGGTTCAAGCGATTCTTATCCCTCAGCCTCTTGAGTAGCTGGGACTACAGGCATATGCCACCATGCCCGGATAATTTTTGTATTCTTAGTAGAGGCGGGGTTTCACCATATTGGCCAAGCTGGTCTAGAACTCTGGACATCATGATCCACACACCTCGGCCTCCCAATGTGCTGGGATTACAGGCGTGAGCCACCGTGCCCGGCCCAATTTTTGTATTTTTAGTAGAGACAGGGGTTCACCATGTTGGCCAGGCTAGTCTTGAACTCCTGACCTCAGGTGATCTGCCTACCTCAGCCTCCCAGTGTGAGCCACCGCACCCAGCCTGGATTGTTGAATTCAATGCTTGGGTCACCTCCAGATTCATTTTCACAGTCTTTCATGTTTTGGTCATATTACATTGTATTTTGCTGCCATATGACTGATCTCTTTTTGTTAAATGTGAGATACTTGTTAAAAAATATTTAGCAATGAATTGAGGCCTAGTGGCATGTTATCTTGCTGCAGAAGAGATGGGAGTCTACTTCTGGGGGATGGTCACGGGTCCTCCATACAGGCTGCAATTGAGGTCGTCGGTGCAGGCTCAGTCCCTACAAAGGCCAGGGTATTTCCTGTCCACCTCTATTCTGATGCATGACTCTTCTGGGTCTCAACCAGAGCCAGTGGACTTCAGTACGGGTCGCTTTCATTGGCAGACCCTCAATCCACTTGTTTTCCATCTAATCCCACGCATGTGTGCAAAAGCTGCTGTGCTTCTTTGCATCTCAGTAGTTCCTTCTGGAATTCAGCAATGAAACTCAGGGAAATGGGTTCCAAATGCGAGGCTGACTTTCGTCCTGGGTTTCCTTCTTCTCCATCTTCACCTCATGTCTGTTTACTGCCATGTTAGCAATTTGATGTATTCAATCATGGGTTTTATATTCTGTTTGGTGTCCCCCATTGTTCTCATCGGAGATCAGAAGCTTCAGATGCACTTATGTCAACTCAAGAGTAGAATGCTTCCTTAGCTTCCCTCCAGAGTCAGGTTTTGTGTTTCTAGTTCCCAAGTGCACAGCAGGAGTAGTGATGTCCTCACTGGCTTCTCATTTGCATTAAACTGTGAGCTTCTTTAGCATGGGGACAGGACCCTGCTCCCATTGCATTCTCAGCACCACACCACACACTCCTTGTTGGAGGCCACTCCAGACAGCATGTGCTGAAGGATGCCCTGTGGTCAGAAACAAGTTCATTAACTTTCCCTTTGAAGTGTTTTCGCCCCTGTTTCCTAGCGTTCTGGGAATTTTACACATCCTTCCTATAAAACCAAGTATCAGGTGAGATCCTTAGGATCAGGACCATGAATCAAGTGGTGTGAGGGCAACACAGCAAACTTACCCTTTTTAGGCCATTTCCTTTTTCTGCCCTCAAACTCTGTGAACTGAACCTTGTTAAAGTCAGTCAACACCAGGGTGGATGGTTTGCCGTTGTCACCTATTTTCAGGACATAACACCCTGACTTAGGAGCCATTCTGATCATTTCTAATTCAATAGATGCGCCCAGCATTCAGATTGCCTTTTCTCTCAACCAGGATCTTTAAAGTCGATGACAAGAGTTCCAGTCCTGAATCATGGCAAAGTGCAGTAGTGAACGGCGGGGTTAATGACACCATATTCTGGAAGGATCTCTCTATGGCTGTTGGTCTCAGTTCTGGCATCAGCCTCTGACTGAGAAGCAGGTCTCACACAGGAAGAGTCAGATGAGGAGCAATCCTCTGCTTCCGATGGAGTTAGTTGTGATGAGTTGGTGAGGTCTGGTTTTTCACACTGAACTAAAATGATCTTTCGCTGTGTCAAGCACAAGACTGACCCCAGAGACACACATAGTGCACCTCATAGAAGCTTTTAATAGTCTCTATATTTACTAAAGAATAGGACTAACTATGGAACTATGAAGATGAGCTGGAAATGACAGGTGACTTGCCAGCAGGCCAGAGTGTGATTTTTTTTGGTCCCTCAATGGGAGGTGTCCATTCTCCCTTCGGTTGTGAGAATCAGTTGGTTCATTTGTGGGAAGGTTGCAGGGGGGATCTTTGAATCACAGCCTTCAGATGCCAGAAGGGCAGAGGGAATCCCACATGGACTGGTGGATCATGTGTGTGCATTTCTCTCCCTTCTAACCTGAGGAAACTAAGCATGAAAGAATGTGAGCACGCAGAAAAGGAGAGGCAGGTATCAGAGGCAGAGGAAAATGGGAAATTGGATATGAAAGAAATACACACCTACAAGTGAGTTCAGAAACTGAACCCCACCCTCCTGGGAAACGCCCATTGGAGTGTTGTTTTTAACCTCTGTACAATGTTTAGTCCCAGTAAATGCAGAAATAGAAACAAATGGTCAGAAGACATATCGTGAGAGAGAGAGAGAGTTCACAAAACAGAAAACAAAGTACCTTAATATTTACCAGTGACCAAAAGATGTGAAGTAGCAAAACGGCTCCTGACCCCATTGCCAGCTAGACCGTGTGGAAACTCGGTTCATACCAGCCATTCTAGGGGTGGGGTGAGTTGTTGTCATCCTTAGGAAAGTGTGTTGTTGTAGGATCAACCACATCCTTCAAAAGGACTATGCCTGTTTATAAGCCCAGCTGTTTCTGCCCTGTGAAACACGGTAAGGATATTAATACAAAGAGAATACAGCTTTATGATAAAAGATGCTCAATGAAGGATGAATTAGGGATATACTGAGAATGGGGAAGGAAACTATCATCTCAGAAGTCAGCAGGCAGTAAGCAAGAGGAGGAATCAATACAGCAACAGTTTGGATCAGACCGTACAGTTTTTTTGTTTTTGTTTTTGTTTTTGTTTTTGTTTTTCTGAGATGGAGTCTCGCTGTGTCACCCAGGCTGGAGTGCAATGACGTGATCTTGGCTCACTGCAACCTCCGCCTCCCAGGTTCAAGTGATTCCCCTGCCTCAGCCTCCCGAGTAGCTGGGATTACAGGTGCCTGCCACCACGCCCGGCTAATCTTTTGTATTTTTAGTAGAGACGGGGTTTCACCGTATTAGCCAGGATGGTCTCAATCTCCTGACCTCGTGATCCATCCGCCTCGCCCTCCCAGAGTGCTGGGACTACAGGCATCAGCCACCGTGACCGGCTCAGACTGTACTCTTATAGCCATCTGAAATACGTTTTCTAGGTAGAGATAGATTGTGTAAGGGTACAGTTGTGAGGATAACAGAAACATGGCAGATTATTTAAAATCATCCTGAACATGGTGCTTTATCTGATGAAAGTGATTGTAATCCATAGGAAAATGTTTCAACGTGCGCAAGAGTTGCGGCGGCGGGCAGAGGACTACCACAAATGCAAAGTAAGGAGCTTCCTCCCCGCAGTTGCAGGATAGTTCAGTGCTGATGCAGATGATGCCACGGCTCTTAGACTCTCTCAACATTCAATTTCTCATGTGTTGGCTTTTTCAGATCCCCCCTTCTGCAAGAAAGGCTCTTTGCAACTGGGTAAGTTTGTTTGTTTTCCTTGCTTTTGAACATAGTCTGCCAGGTCAGGACATGGATACATTTTTCTCCCTACAGCTCTGTGCTCAAGCCCTGCAGAGGGAGATGGCAGAGAGGAAGGCTGCCTACAGGCATCACAGTCCCATCCCTGTTGGTAACCGTGTTGTGCAAAAACACCTTCATCCCCACCCAGTGGGGCCCCTGATCTAATATTCAAAGTGTCAGAGGTTCCATATTTGTAATAGCAAATGGGCCCTGACTGTAAATTAGTGAAGAGTGAATGTAACTTATTACCCACAGGGACAATTCCAAATGAAGGCCTTAAATGATGCTCAGCTAAGCTGGTTCTTGTGTGGCCTCTGTACCTTCAAAAGCTGCCGAGTCCTATGATTACACGTGATGGGACTTGTGCACTTGAAGTGAAACACAGTTTTAAAACTTGCTTTGTTTAGAATTCCCACCTCATTTTTCCATGGACAAAAGTATTCTTTATGTCCTAGTGCACTTACAATTTGGTATTACCTGGGAGTGAAAAGAAATATTACAGCCATGCATGCCTAAGTGACTTCTTGAGGTGAGATTGTTCTGTCAGAAAACCCTCTCCCAGTTCCCCTGCAGCTCTTCAGGAATCCACATCTCTCCAGAGCTCTTTGTTCTCATGGGTGGCACCTCCAGAGTGAAGAAGATCCTTTGTCAAGAAGGGAAACAGAGGGGAAATGAGAGGGTCCTGCAGGCAGAGCTGGAATCAACTTCCACTCTGCCTCTTGCAAGCTGTGTGACCCTGGGCACAATTTCTCCTTCCTCTGGAAACCTCTGTTTTCTTAGATTTGGAGCAGGGTGGTCACACTGACCTTGCAGAGTTCTGAGAGTCAGAGACAGAACATAAAAGGCCTGGAAAACATTCTCCAAAAAGAAGCTGCAACATGTGTGGACAATGGGCTTTTCATGCCTCTCTTACTGTCTCTTACTGTCTGTTGACCTGGTGCAAGAAACATGCTCTGGTGATGGCTGTGAGGGAGGAATGAGGATAGACATAGACACTCCTGTGTCTCAAACATGCTTCTTTATTACTCTGTTATGACTCTGTCTTCCCTGGGGCAGGACCCCAGCCTGCCTACATTTGCAGACAGACACAGTGGCATGTGGAGACAACAGTGTGTCCCAATGACTTTTCTTTACCCCCCAGCTGTCGGCAGTACTCAGTGGAAGGGTGATATTATGACACTGATACTGCTATTTTGAAACCTGGAGGATGGAAAGGTGCAAAAATCTATCACCAGCAACAGAAGGTGCAGACTGTGTTGGTGGCGGTAATTTTGTCCATCAAATGAATATGTGTGAAAACATTCCCTCCTTTGGCCCTACAGGTCAGAATGGCGGCAGCGGAGCATCGTCATTCTTCAGGATTGCCCTACTGGCCCTACCTCACAGCTGAAACTTTAAAAAACAGGATGGGCCGCCAGCCACCTCCTCCAACTCAACAACATTCTATAACTGATAACTCCCTGAGCCTCAAGACACCTCCCGAGTGTCTGCTCACTCCCCTTCCACCCTCAGCGGATGATAATATCAAGGAGTGTCCTCTTGCTCCTCTTCCACCCTCTCCTCTTCCACCCTCAGTGGATGATAATCTGAAGGAATGTCTCTTTGTCCCGCTTCCACCCTCTCCTCTTCCACCCTCAGTGGATGATAATCTGAAGGAATGTCTCTTTGTCCCGCTTCCACCCTCTCCTCTTCCACCCTCAGTGGATGATAATCTCAAGACTCCTCCCTTAGCTACTCAGGAGGCCGAGGCGGAAAAACCACCCAAACCCAAGAGGTGGAGGGTGGATGAGGTGGAACAATCGCCCAAGCCCAAGAGGCAGAGGGAGGCCGAGGCACAACAATTACCCAAACCCAAGAGGCGGAGGTTGAGTAAGCTGAGAACACGCCATTGCACTCAAGCCTGGGCAATAAGAATAAATCCGTGGGTCGAAAAAAAGAAAAAAATCAAAAAACAAAACAAAACCCACGCTCCAAAAACAAACTAACGAAGAATAAATAAATAATATAAAAATAAAATAAATACTGCAGTCCTTATGTTATTGCTTTGTTTCAATATCTGGTATGATTGCCTGAGGGACCTGAGGTATTTAATTAATTGTAGGGTTTTTTTTTAAATCTTTAGAAGTGGTTGGTTATGTAAAATATTATTATTATTATTATTATTTTTTGAGACTGGGTTTTGCTCTGTCACCCAGGCTGGAGTGCAGTGGCTCGATCACAGCTCACTGCAGCCTCAACCTCCTGGGCTTCAAGCAATCCTCCTGCCTCAGCCTCCCAAGTAGCTGGGATCACAGATGTGTGCCACCACGCCTGGCCAATGTTAAAAAATCCTTTAACTTTTTTGTAGAGATGCACTCCTGGACTCAAGCGATCCTCCTACTGGTCCCGACCACCAGCCTCTTTCTGATAAACATTTACACTGTTTATTATCTGATGCCATTTCTATCTTCTTCCTTGTCGTCCAGACATCAAAGAATTAGGTTTCTTCAGGGTTTTCTTTTTCAAGTCCTCATTGTTAAAGATCACTCACATTAGGGCCAGACACCACGACTCATGCCTGTAATCCCAGCACTTTGGGAGGCCGAGGCGGGCAGAGCACTTGAGGTGGGGAGTTTGAGACCAGCCCGGCCAACTTGGTGAAACCCCACCTCTACTGAAAAACATACAAAAATTAGCTGGGCGTGATGGTGCATGCCTGTAGTCCCAGCCACTTGGGAGGCTGAGGCATGAGAATCGCTTGAACCCAGGAGGCAGAGGTTGTAGTGAGCCAAGATCACGTCAGCACACTCTAGCCTGGGTGACAGAGCGAGACTCTGACTCAAAAAATAAATAAAATAAATATCACTTACATTAGATATACCCAAGGGGTGTTCTATAGAGAGTTGGAAGCAGTGGTTATTGCAACGGGCACGGAAGTCATCTGGCTATGCCAGGGTGCCCAGGGGATACTCGGGGTGGGTGGCATGGTGCTGCTGGGGACTCACCGCACAGGACGCTCTGATTGACGCACTGCCAGGAGTAGCGCTCTGTCTTGGGGCTGCAGCCGGCCTCCTCAGCTCGAGTGTAACAACAGTCGTGGCCATGGCAGCACCTGCGGATGTCACATGGGCAGGACAGCAGGTGGGTGAAGCTCTCTCCTGGCCCTCCTCTCTTGCCAGGACCATGGGTGACTGAAGACCCCCAGGGAGGCACAGCATCCTCTTATCTAAGTTTTTTTTTTTTTTTTTTTTTTTTTTTTTTTTTTTTTAAGAGACAGGGTCTTTCTCTGTCGCCCAGGCTGGACTGCAGAGGCACAATCATAGCTCACGGCAGCCTTGAACTCCTGGGCTCAAGCGATCCTCCTACTTCAGTGTCCCAAGTAGCTGAGACTACAGGCACACGCCAGCATGCCCGGCTGGTTTTTTAATTTGTATTTCCTTTGAGACAGCGTATCTCTCTGTTGCTCAGGCTGGGGTGCAATGGCTCCATCAGCTCACTTTAGCCTTGAACTCCCGGGCTCAAGTGATACTGCCACCTCAACCTCCCAAGTATGCTACTACAGGAACACAAACTCCTTTTTTAAATTTTTTGTGGATATGGGGTCTATGTTGCCTAGGCTGGTCTCGAACTCCCAGGCTCAAGCAGTCCTCCTACCTCAGCCTCCCCAAATGCTGGGATTACAGGTGGGAGCTACTGTACGCCTGGCCTTATCTAAGCTGTTTCCCTGAAAATCCCCGACTTCGATAATGATTCCATTGGCCCCACCATGCCCTGTCCTGCCTTCCTGGCTGTGCCCAAGCTTGGTCCCTGCCTGCCTGCCTCACTCTCTGGGTCTCGAGCTCCTGTGACACATGACTCCTCTCTCTTCCTGGAGTGATCCAAGCCCTGCCACTTCCTGACCTTGCCCACACTGTACCCTCTGCCTGGGGCAACTTCATGTCTGCCCATTGTCCCTTAGGCCTCAGCCCAGGCACAAGCCCCTGCCTCCGGAGGTCATCCAGGCCTCACCAGGTTACACCCTCTCGTAAAATTGGATTCCCTCCCTTCAGGGCAGGTTTATAATGAAATCCTCCTCAGAGGCCAGGTGCGGTGACACCCATCTGTAATCCCAGCACTTTGGGAGGCTGAGGTGGGAGGATCACTTGAGGCCAGGGGGTCGAGACCAGCCTGAGCAACATAAGAGAGACTCTTGTCTCTATAACAAATTTAAAAATTAGCTCACCAGGCCAGGCTCAGTGGCTCATGCCTGTAATCCCAACACTTTGAGAGGCCGAGGCAGGTGGATCACGAGGTCAGGAGTTCGAGAGCAGCCTGACCAACATGGTGAAACCCTGTCTCTACTAAAAATACAAAATTAGCCAGGCATGGTGGCACGCACCTGTAATCCCAGCTACTCGGGAGGCTGAGGTAGGAGAGTTGCTTGAACCCAGGAGGTGGAGGTTGCGGTGAGCCAAGATCATGCCACTGCAGTCCAGCCTGAGCAACAGAGCAAGACTCTGTCTCAAGACAATAAAAACACACAAAAAATTAACTCGCCATGATGGCACATGCCTATAGTCCTAGCTACTTGGGAGGCTGAGGTGGGAGGATTCCCTCCAGCCCAGGAGTTTGAGGCTGCAGTGAGCCACTATGATTGTGCCACTGCACTCTAACCTGGGCAAAAGCGAGACCCCAGGCTAGAGTGCATGATTTTGGGTCACTGCAACCTCCACCTCCCAGGTTCAAGTGATTCTCCTGCCTCAGCCTCTTGAGTAGCTGGGACTACAGGCATGTGCCACCACGCCTGGGTAATTTTTGTATTTTTAGTAGAGACAGGGTTTAGTAGAGACCATGGTGAAACCCCGTCTCTATAAAACAAATCTCTACTAACCCCATCTCTACAAAAAACAGCTGGGCGTGGTAGTGCACACCTGTAATTCCAGCTACTTGGGAGGCTGAGGCACGAGAATCATTTGCATCTTGGAGGCAGAGTTTGCAGTGAGCTGACATCGCACCACTGCACTCCAGCCGGGATGACAGAGCAAGACCCTGTCTCAAAAAAAAGAAAAAGGAACAAACAACAGCCACAACAAAAAAACCTCTGTGTCAATCACAGCCTTCAAGCTAGGGGAGAGGCGGCCGAATTCTGCCCTCTGCTAACTAACTATAGCTTTGTGGAAATGGGTGAGTGGCATGCCCCTGTGAGCCTCAGGGCCCCATCTGTAAAATGGGCATAACTGTCATGCCCGTCTTTAAGAACAGCCTTGGGGGTAAATGAGTGGAACTCATGGAAAGATCTCAGCCCACAACCTTCCACAGAACAGGCGCTTCTCACACAGTAAGTAGCAGGAGTGCAGAGGCTGCAGGCATGAATCCAGTCAGACTGCAGACTGCCTGGGTTCAAGTCCCAGCTCCCACGTCTTGGTAACTAAGTGGCCTCAGACAAGTTACTTAGTATTTCTTCTTCTTCTTTTTTTTTTTTTTTTCAGACGGAGTTTTGCTCTGTCACCCAGGCTGGAGTGCAGTGGTGTGATCTCGGCTCACTGCAACCTCCGCCTCCCGGGTTCAAGCAATTCTCCTGCCTCAGCTTCCTGAGTAGCTGGAATTACAGGAACCTGCCACCACATCCAGCTAATTTTTGTATTTTTAGTAGAGACAGGGTTTCACCATGTTGGCCAGGATGGTCTCGAACTCCTGACCTCGTGATCTGCCTGCCTCAGCCTCCCAAAGTACTGGGATTACAGGCGTGAGCCACCGCACCTGGACACGTTACTGAATATTTCTGTGCCTAGGTTTCTTCATCTGTGAAATGGGATTGTTGTGAGAACACAAAGGGATTCCCAGGGCAGTTCCTAGTGCATAGTCTGGCTGCCTTTGTTTGTTTGTGTGTGTGTGTGTGTGTGTGTGTGTGTGTGTGTGTGTGTTTGTGTTTGTGTTTAATATAGAGACAGGGTCTCACTCTGTTGCCTAGGCTCGTTTCAAACTCCTGGGCTCCAGTGATCCTCCTGCCTCGACCCAAAGTGGTGGGATTACAGGCATGAGTCAACACACCTGGCCACTTTATATTATTATTATTTTTTTCTTTTGAGACAGGGTTTGGCACTGTTGTCCAGGTTGGAATACAGCGGTGCAATCTCAACTCACTGCAAACTCCACCTCCCGGGTTCAAGCAATTCTCCTGCCTCAGTCTCCCGAGTAGCTGAGATTACAGACGCCTGCCACCACACACAGCTAATTTTTGCATTTTTAGTAGAGATGGGGTTTCACCATATTGGCCAGGCTGGTCTTGAACTCCTGACCTCAAGTGATCTGCCCACCTCGGCCTCCCAAAGTGCTGGGATTACAGGAGTTAGCCACCGCTCCTGGCCAATTTTTTAAGGCAACGTTTTCAGCCCATGGCCAGGGTAAGGGGCAGCTGGTACCAAGATCTGGCTTCACTGGCCATGTTATCCAAGAGGCCTCTGCCTGCCTGCAAAGTAGTACTGCACACTGGGATCTCCCTGGACCAAATCCCAGCTTCAGTTTTGGGTACTTCCTCATAAGCCTTGACTACCCCAGAGTGTGAGGGATTTTGTAGCCTGGTCCCAGGCATGCACTCACCAGTCAATGGCATCGCAGGGCTGGCCATGGCCTCCCAAGCCACAAAAGGAACCATATTTCGTATAGGCGATGGGAGTCTAGGGACCAACACAACCCACAATTCCTGCCAGTTCCAGGATCCCACGCCGGTGCACACATAATATCCTGGAGGCTGGGGGGTAAACAAAGGTGACAGGCTGCAGGTCAGGGCTTCCCAGACCCCTGGGAAGGGCATGAGCCTGAGAAGAGCCTAGGTGTTACAGCCTGGCTGTCTGGGTTTGAATCCTACTTCCTAGCTGTGTGACCTTGGACGAATTCCTAACCTCTCTGGGCCTTGGTTTCCTCATCTGTGAAATGGGGGATAAGCTGACTTCAACTCATATGAATGAAATGAGATAATGAGTATAAAGCCCCTGGTGCATGAAAAGGCTATTATAATCCGGCTGGGCTCAGTGGCTCACACCTGTAATCCCAAGACTTTGGGAGGCCCAGGTGGGCAGATCACCTGAGGTCAGCAGTTCAAGATCAGCCTGGCCAACATGGTGAAACCCCATCTGTAGTAAAAATACAAAAATTAGCTGAGCCTAGTGGTGCACACCGGTAATCCCAGCTACTAGGGAGGCTGAGGAAGGAGAGTCACTTGAACCTGAGAGGTGAAGATTGCAGTGAGCCAAGATTTTGCCACTGCATTCCAACCTGGACGACAGAGCAAGAGTCTCAAAAAAAGAAAAAGAAAAAAAGGATAACTATTATAATCAAGGTCCTCAAGGTAGCCAAGAAGGGAAAAAAGAGTCGTGCATGAAACGTTTGTCCAGTTCCCTGTGTTGGGCACTGGGCATCACGGATGTGCCTACAGGTGTCTGTCACCAAGGTGGGCTCCTCTGTGGCAGCTCCCGGGCCCTGGCACTGCCCTGTGCTCATGACTTCCCCTCCAGACTCAGGGCCCTTGGTATCTCCTCTTATTTTCACTGCCAGACAGGAAGGCCCCTTGGCCTGAGTCCAGCCATTTTTCTAGATCCTGGCACAGCTTGGACATGTAATGGTGCCCAACGCATGTGACTGGAACCCCTGCATTGGACATGAAGGAAACGAGGCCAGCTGGGAAAGGTAACCCCACATTCCCACAGCCAGCAGGAACCCAAGCAGAGGCTTCAACCCAGGCTTCTGACTTGCAAACCAGTGCTCCTTCCTCCTTACACAGTAACAACAGGGGAAGGTGGCCTTCTGGGTTGCCAGAGCCGAGTGGTACCAGCAATAGAGTGGAAACTCACACACAGGCTTGCCTGCTTCCTGGGTTAGGGTTAGGGTTTATATGGCTCCGGGAGGTTGATGCATTGTGTTTGATCATCCCCCCCTTTTTTTTTTTTTGAGACAGAGTCTCATTCCTGTTGCCCAGGCTGCAGCACAGTGGTGTAATCTTGCTCACAGCAACTTCTGCCTCCCAGGTTCAAGCAATTGTCCCGCCTCAGCCTCCCGAGTAGCTGGGATCACAGGTGTGCGCCACCACACCCAGCTGATTTTTGTATTTTTAGTAGAAACGGGGTTTCACCATCTAGGCCAGGCTGGTCTTGAACTCCTGACCTCATATGATCCACCTGGTTTGGCCTCCCAAAGTGCTGGGATTATAGGCGTGAGCCACTGCGCTCATCCTGATCATCTCGTCTCTCTTTTTTTTTTTAGAGACAGGGTCTCACTCTGTCACCCACACTGGAGTGCAGTGGCACAATCATAGCTCACTGCAGCCTCCAAATCCTGGGCTCAAGCGATCCTCCTGCCTCAGCCTCCAGACATATGGGCATGCACCACCATGCCCAGCTAATTTTTAAATTTTTAGTAGATCTGGGGTCTCACTATGTTGCCCAGGCTGTTCACAAACTCCTGGCCTCAAGTGATTCTCCTGCCTTGGCCTCCGAAGGCGCTGGGATTCCAGGCATGAGCCACCATGCCCAGTCTCATTTCTGTTTTATCTAGAACATGTTTTCATCACACTGACTTTTTTGAGAAGTCCAGGCCAGATTTAAATTCCATTTTGTCTTTTTATCGGTGGAAAAGTAGCATATTTATGTTGCAGGACAAAGATGAATCAAATAGGAAGAAAATGTAAAACACATTTGGGGCCAGGCACAGTGGCTCATGCCTGTAATCCCAGCACTTTGGGAGGCCAAGGTGGGCAGATCACCTGAAGTCAGGAGTTCCAGACCAGCCTGACCAACATGGAGAAACCATGTTTTTTTTTTTTTTTTTTTTTTTTTTTATTGATCATTCTTGGGTGTTTCTCGCAGAGGTGGATTTGGCAGGGTCATAGGACAATAGCGGAGGGAAGGTCAGCAGATAAACAAGTGAACAAAGGTCTCTGGTTTTCCTAGGCAGAGGACCCTGCGGCCTTCTGCAGTGTTTGTGTCCCTGGGTACTTGAGATTAGGGAGTGGTGATGACTCTTAACGAGCATGCTGCCTTCAAGCATCTGTTTAACAAAGCACATCTTGCACCACCCTTAATCCATTTAACCCTGAGTGGACACAGCACATGTTTCAGAGAGCACAGGGTTGGGGTAAGGTCACAGATCAACAGGATCCCAAGGCAGAAGAATTTTTCTTACTACAGAACAAAATGAAAAGTCTCCCATGTCTACTTCCTTCTACACAGACACGGCAACCATCCGATTTCTCAATCTTTTCCCCACCTTTCCCCCCTTTCTATTCCACAAAACCGCCACTGTCATCATGGCCCGTTCTCAATGAGCTGTTGGGCACACCTCCCAGCCGGGGTGGCGGCCGGGCAGAGGGGCTCCTCACTTCCCAGTAGGGGCGGCCGGGCAGAGTCGCCCCTCACCTCCCGGACAGGGCGGCTGGCCGGGTGGGGGGCTGACCCCCCCACCTCCCTCCCGGGTGGGGCGGCTGGTTGGGCGGGGGACTGATCCCCCCACCTCCCTCCCGGGTGGGGCGGCTGGCCGGGCGGGGGGGCTGACTCCCCCACCTCCCTCCCAGACGGGGCGGCTGGCCGGGCGGGGGGGCTGACCCCCACCTCCCTCCCGGACGGGGTGGCTGCCGGGCGGAGACGCTCTTCACTTCCCAGACGGGGTGGCTGCCGGGCGGAGGGGCTCCTCACTTCTCAGACGAGGCGGCTGCCGGGCGGAGGGGCTCCTCACTTCTCAGACGGGGCGGTCGCCAGGCAGAGGGTCTCCTCACTTCTCAGACGCTCCTCACCTCCCAGACGGGGTCGCGGCCGGGAAGAGGCGCTCCTCACTTCCTAGATGGGATGGCGGCCGGGCAGAGAGGCTCCTCACTTTCCAGACTGGGCAGCCAGGCAGAGGGGCTCCTCACATCCCAGATGATGGGCGGCCAGGCAGAGACGCTCCCCACTTCCCCGACGGGGTGGCGGCTGGGCAGAGGCTGCAATCTCGGCACTTTGGGAGGCCAAGGCAGGCGGTTGAGAGGTGGAGGTTGTAGCGAGCCGAGATCATGCCACTGCACTCCAGCCTGGGCACCATTGAGCACTGAGTGAAGGAGACTCCGTCTGCAATCCCAGCACCTCGGGAGGCCGAGGCTGGCGGATCACTAGCGGTCAGGAGCTGGAGACCAGCCCGGCCAACACGGCGAAACCCCGTCTCCACCAAAAAACACAGATGGCGCGTGCCTGCAATCCCAGGCACTTGGCAGGCTGAGGCAGGAGAATGAGGCAGGGAGGTTGCAGTGAGCCGAGATGGTGGCAGTACAGTCCAGCCTCGGCTCGGCATCAGAGGGAGACTGTGGAAAGTGGGAGAGGAAGGGGGAGGGGGAGGGAGAGGACAAAAAATTAAAATTTAGCCGGACATGGTTGTGTGTGCCAGTAGTCCAAGCTGCTGGGGAGACTGAGGCAGGAGGATCACTTGAGCCCAGGAACTTAAGGTCTATTTAAGTAAAGGGTACAGTGAGCTATGATTATACCACTGCACTCCAGCCTGGGGAATAGAGCAAGACCCTGTCTCTAAAAAAAGGTAACAAAATAACATGAATGGATTCCATTTTAAGAGAATGAAGCATCATTGTGTAAGACTATGAAATTGGAAGCAAAGAGCATGAAGCCCAAAAAAAAAAAAAAACCATCTGAAGTCAGGGTGCCTGGGGTCAGAGGTGGGGGGAGGATTGAAGAGGTGCAGATGTAAAAAACTGAAGCTACTGTGACCAGTGGATTCGGGAGTTGAAGGAGTCAAGAATGACACATTCTCCTGACTGGAGGATAAACAAATATGACTGTTTTCAAGAAATAGCTGGAATATTCTTTGTGTTCAGAAGTACAAGAACAGCACATATGGAGGGCGGACTGATACTGAAGTTGAAGAGAAGCCTTCTGACGTGCACTAACTAGATTCTAGACTCAGCTTCTGTCACAAGGAGCCCCAAACAGTGACTCAGCAAAATAGCTTATTTCTCATGTGACAGTTCAGAGGTGATTGGTCCAGGGTTAGGGTTAGACAACAACCGTTATGCAAAATCATCTAGGGACCCAGGGCTGCGCTGTCATGTTGCTCTTGCATCCCCAAGGTTGTCATCTGTGTGGTTAAAGCGGCTCACCAGCCCCAAGTCCTCGTTCAAGCCCATGCAAAAGGAAGCGGAAATACAGGGCCTGGAAATTACACTGATCCCATTGGCCAGAACTTAGTCTCACCTTCTTACCACCCTATATGCGAGACTAAAATGCCTCTAGCTGGATAGTTACATGTTCATTTAAACTTGGGTCATTTTGTTTCTAAATGAAGGGAAGGGGCACAAGTATTAGTCTGTCACAGAAGAGAAAGAACAGAGAGAAAGGTTTTGAAGGGAATGACTTATAAATAGTTACCCGAAGTCTGGTCGTGGCTGACATCAGAGCCAGCATGTTGACCACTTCCATACTGCGTGCTTTAGCTGCCTTATCTCACTTAATCTCAGAATAACCCTATTGTCATTCCCAACTTGTAGATGGGAAAACAGACCCAAAGAGAAGTGATTTACCTTCCACACAATGGGGAAGTAAGGGGGCTAGGTGCACGTCAAGGCAGCCTGTGCCTGGCTCTTATACCTGGTGCTGCTTACATTTCCAGAGGGGGCAGCCTAGAGGAGAGGCCTAGGGACTGGACTCAACGTGCGAGTGCTTGGTGGAAGGGAAGCCAGAGGATCGAGTGGCCAGAGGTTAAGAACCAGGGAGGAGCAGTGATGAAAAGGCTGGAGAGCTTATGCATTTCAGGGCTGGGCTGCCAAGTACCTCACTTGGCCAGTTCAGCATTCTTAGGCAGGAGGCACAGCCATTGTGTTGTCCAATGCCAGGGTATATACCTTTTTCAGTTTCCAATCTACCAATGGTGACCTTTGAACAGCATTGTCAAACCCTTTTCTGCCCAGGGCTAGATAGTATATATTTTAAGCTTTGTGGGCCACACGTGGATTGTCACTCCTTTTCTTAACTTTTTTTTTTTTTTTTTGAGACAGGGTCTCCGCTCTGTCGCCCAGGCTGTTAACTACCGTTAACATTTTAATGCCTCTCTTTCTGGTGTGTGTATATTTATTACTAGACTGGAATCATCCTATATCTATGTCATCTGTTGCTGTTTCCTGTCCCTTTACATAAAGTGAGCTGCTTTCTGAAATTTTATTTATTTTATAATTTATTTATTTTATAGACAGAGTCTTGCCCTGTCACCCAGGTTGGAGTTCAGTGGTGCAATCTCAGCTCACTGCAATCTCAGCCTCCCGAGTAGCTGGGACTACAGACACTCGCCACCACACCCGGCTAATTTTCATATTTTTAGTACAGATGGGTTTTCACCATGTTGGCCAGACTGGTCTTGAACTCCTGGCCTCAAGTGATCTGCCCGCCTCAGCGTCCCAAAGTGCTGGGATTACAGGCATGAGCCACCATGCCCAGCCTCCCCTCCCTTTAAATAACATGAACTGCTTTCCTAAATTTTAGCTAATCCCCTGGGTTGGAAGGTGGGAGGGCATAGGGGCCAAAAGGACAAGGCTCAAGTCAAGATGCCTGGGTTCACATTCCAGCCCTTCCCTTAGAAGCTGCCACCCTTGGGACAATCTCGCTTCTCTAAGCCTCAGCGGCTTCATCTGTGAAAGAATCATCTCTCTTTGTTGGAGTTGCTGTGCATTCCGTGAAAGGGCCGTATATGCCAAGTGACCCTCATGCCAAAGGAGCCAAAAAAAAAAAGGAAGCAGACAAATCCAGTTTGTCAGTTTTGGGTGATTTATTAAGGAACTTACACACAAAAGCATGGTCTTGGGCTGCGCCATGACAGATCTCCACACCACAGCCCCAAGACCTACCGCTTATGTCTTGGAGCAAAAGCATAGTGCTCTGGAAGGAATGTATAGGTGGCTACAGTGCTCACAGCCTGTCATTTCTGCAACAACAGGGTGGTTTTGGAGGAAATTTACAATTAACAGACGTTCCTACATAAACAGTCATACATCCACCAGGCATGGTGGCACACACCTATAGTCCCAGCAACTCAGAAGACTGAGGTGGGAGGATCACCTGAGCCTGGAAGGTCGAGGCTTCAGTGAGCTGTCATCACACCACTGCATTCCAACCTGGGTGACAGACAGACTGTCTCAAGACACAAAAGCACGAGAAGAGAAGCAGTTTGAATAAAGTACTGTCTCTAATGAAAAGTACTTTAGGCTGGGCATGGTGGCTCATGCCTGTAATCCCAGCACTTTGGGAGGCTGAGGCAGGTGGATCACAAAATCAGGAGTTCGAGACCAGCCTGACCAACATGGTGGAACCCCATCTCTACTAAAAATACAAGAATTAGCCAGGCATAGTGGTGCATGACTGTAGTCCAAGCTACTTGGGAGGCTAAGACAGGAGAATTGCTTGAACCCAAGAGGTGGAGGTTGCAGTGAGCCACGATTGTGCCATTGCACTCCAGCCTGGGTGACAGAGTGAGACTCCATCTCAAAAGAAAAAAAGTACTTAAAAAATTTTTTTTTTAATTAAAAAAGCCAGACGTAGGCAGGTGGATCATGAGGTCAGGAGATCAAGACCATCCTGGCCAACATGGTGAAACCCCATCTCTACTAAAAATACAAAAATAAGCCAGGTGTGGTGGCACACACCTGTAATCCCAGCTACTCGGGAGGCTGAGACGGGAGAATCCTTTGAACTCAGGAGGCGGAGGTTGTAGTGAGCCGAGATTGCGCCACTGCACTCCAGCCTGAGCAACAGTGAGACTCCATCTCAAAAACAAAAACAAAAAAAGCAAGCCAGGCACGGCTCACACCAGTAATCCCAGCCCTTTGGGAGGCCAAGTCGGGAGGATTGCCTGAGCCCAGGAGTTTGAGACCAGCATGGACAACATGGTGACACCCGTCTTTATAAAAATTTTTTAAAAAATAAAAGGTAATACATCAAGACTGTGTACAGTGGCTCATGCCTGTAATCTCAGCACTTTGGGAGGCCAAGGCGAGAATTGCTTGAGATCAGGAATTTGAGACCACCCTGGGCAACATAACAAGACCCCAACTCTACAAAAAAAAAATTTTAATGAGCAGGGGGCATTTGTTGAGCTGGCCTATTGTCCCAGCTACTTGGAGGCTGACAGTTCAAGTGCCAGGGTCCGAGCCAGATGTGGGGTGTAACCTATGGTGAACGGGTTGTGGTCTGTATCACACCAGAGTTCATAGCCTAAGTAAAGGGGAGAGGAGGCAGCGACTGTGCTGCCGGGGTGGGAACCAAACTTCCCTTTCAGTCTCTTCCACTGACCTGACACTTCCCTTGTAGGGCCTCAGGATCCTCATCTTTCTAATGAAGAGGATCGTTTCCAAAGGATGGCAAACTTCAGTACCTTCTAATCAGTTATCTAAATTTTTTTTTTTTTTGAGACGGAGTCTTGCTCTGTCACCCAGGCTGGAGTGCAGTGGCGTGATCTTGGCTCACTGCAGCCTCTGCCTCGGATTCAAGCGATTCTCCTGCCTCAGCCTCCTGAGTAGCTGGGATTACAGGCATCCACCACCATGCCTGGCTATCAGTTATCTAATTTTATTTTACTTAAAATTATTGAGGTGAAATAACATAAAGTAACCATTTTATTTATTTATTTCTATTTATTTATTTATTTGAGATGGGGTTTTGCTCTTGTTGCCCAGGCTGGAGTGCAGTGGCACAATCTCGGCTTACTGCAACCTCTGCCTCCTGGGATCAAGTGATTCTCTTGCCTCAGCCTCCTGGGTAGCTGGGATTATAGGCACACACCACCATGCCTGGCTAATTTTTGTATTTTATTAGTAGAGATGGGTTTCGCCATGTTGACCTGGCTGGTCTCGAACTCCTGACCTCAGGTGATCTGCCCACTTTGGCCTCCCAAAGTATTTATTTTATTTTGAGACAGGGTCTTGCTCTGTCATCCTGGCTGGAGTGCAATGATAGCTCACTGCAGCCTTGAACGAACTCGTGGGTTCTCAGCCTCCATCTCAGCCTCCAGATAACTGGGGCTATGGCTAATGTTTTTGTTTGTTTGTTTGTTTGTTTTGAGACAGAGTCTCACTCTGTTACCCAGGCTCAAATGCAATGGCGAGATCTTGGCTCACTGCAACCTCCACTTCCCAGGTTCCAGTGATTCCCCTGCCTCAGCCTCTCGAGTAGCTGGGATTACAGGCGCTCATTACCACAACTGGCTAATTTTTTTTTTTTTTTTAATACAGAGATGAGGTTTCACCATATTGGCCAAGCTGGTCTCAAACTTCTGATCTCGGGTGATCCACCTGCCTCAGTCTCCCAAAGTGCCATGCCCAGCTAATTTTTAAATTGAGACCAGGTCTCCCTGTGTTAACCATGCTGATCTTGAACTTCCAGGATCAAGTGATCCTTCTGCCTGCGCCTCCCAAAGTGCTGGAATTCCAGGCATAAGCCATCATGGCTGGCCTGATTTTTTAAAAGAAACAGAAATTGGGATTTTATTGTGAAATCTCCTGATCTTAGTATATTGGATTTCATTATTTTTACATCAGGCAGATAATGTGTCAATGTCAAAACAAGGTTTGAGGGAGGTGCAACTCACGCATGAGCATGGAAACACAGTCATCACGTTTATGAACTACAAAAAGATGTGGCTTTAATTATTTGAAAGACATCTTGGCCAGGCCCGGTGGCTCACTCCTGTAATCCCAGCACTTTGGGAGGCCGAGGCAGGTGGATCACCTGAGGTCAGGAGATCGAGACCATACTGGTCAACATGGTGAAACCCTGTCTCTACGGGCCGGGTGCGGTGGCTCAAGCCTGTAATCCCAGCACTTTGGGAGGCCGAGGTGGGTGGATCACAAGGTCAGGAGATCGAGACCATCCTGGCTAACATGGTGAAACCCCATCTCTACTAAAAATACAAAAAATTAGCCGGGTGTGGTGGCGGGCACCTGTAGTCCCAGCTACTCAGGAGGCTGAGGCAGGAGAATGGCGTGAACCTGGGAGGTGGAGGTTGCAGTGAGCCGAGATCATGCCACTGAGCTCCAGCCTGGGTGAAAGAGCGAGACTCCGTCTCCAAAAAAAAAAGAAAGAAAGAAAGAAAAAAAAAGAAACCCTGTCTCTACTAAAAATACAAAAATTACCTGGGCATGGTGGTGGGAGCCTGTGGTCCCAGTTACTCAGGAGGCTGAGGCAGAAGAATCGCTTGAACCCAGGAGGTGGAGATTGCAGTGAGCCGAGATCACGCCACTGCACTCCAGCCTGGTGACAGAGTGAGACTCTGGCTCAAAAAAAAAAAAAAACATTTTACTGGTCAATACTATATAAGACAAGCAGGCCGGGCGCGGTGGCTCAAGCCTGTAATCCCAGCACTTTGGGAGGCCGAGGTGGGCGGATCACAAGGTCAGGAGATCGAGACCATCCTGGCTAACACGGTGAAACCCCATCTCTACTAAAAATACAAAAAAAAATTAGCCGGGCATGGTGGCGGGCACCTGTAGTCCCAGCTACTTGGGAGGCTGAGGCAGGAGAATGGCGTGAACCCGGGAGGCGGAGCTTGCAGTGAGCCGAGATCACGCCACTGCACTCCAGCCTGGGCGACAGAGCAAGACTCCATCTCAAATAATAATAATAATAATAAGACAACAAAACATTTGCTGGCCAGGTGATGAAAGGTGAATTCTGCTTTCATCACAGTTACTGTCAAGCATTCAACCACAATTTATTGAGACTTCCATGCAGAACTTTGTGGAAAGCAAAGCACTGGGGAGAGATTCCATGAACATCATTCATTTAAACACCCATTTGTTATTTTATTTTATTTATTTATTTTATTTTATTTTTTTGAGACGGAGTCTTGCTCTTGTCACCCAGGCTGGAGTGTAGTGGCGTGATCTCAGCTCACTGCAACCTCCGTCTCCTGGGTTCAAGTGATTCTGCCGCCTCCTCCTGAGTAGCTGGGATTACAGGCGCCCACCCCAACACCTGGCTAATTTTGGTACTTTTAGTAGAGATGGGATTTCGCCATGCTGGCCAGGCTGGTCTTGAACCCCTGACCTCAGTTGATCCGCCCGCCTTGGCCTCCCAAAGTGCTGGGATTACAGGCGTGAGCCACCACGCCTGGCTATCTTATTATTTTTTTAATTGAGACAAAGTCTCACTTTGTCACCCAAGCTGGAGTGCAGTGGCACAATCTTGGCTCACTGCAACCTCTGCCTCCTGGGTTCAAGCAATTCTTCTGCCTCAGCCTCCCAAGTAGCTGGATTACAGGCATGCACCACCATGCCTGGCTAATTTTTGTATTTTTAGTAGAGATGAGGGTTCACCATGTTGGCCAGGCTGGTCTCGAACTTCTGACCTCAAGTGATTTTTCTGCCTCAGCCTCTGAAAGTACTGGGATTATAGGCATGAGCCACTGCACCTGGCCTATGTTTATTTATTTTTGAGACAGAGTATTGCTCTGTTGCCCACGCTGGAGTGCAGTGGCGTGATCTTGGCTCACTGCAACCTCCGTCTCCTGGGTTCAAGCAATTCTCCTGCCTCAGCCTCCTGAGTAGCTGGGATTACAGGCACCCGCCACCATGCCCAGCTAATTTTTGTATTTTTAGTAGAGACAGAGTTTCACTATGTTGGCCAGGCTGGTCTTGAACTCCTGACTTCAGGTGATCTGCCCACCTTGGCCTCCCAGAGTGCTGGGATTACAGGCATGAGCCACCACGCCCAGCCCCCATTTATTTTTTAGACTTTTATTATATTTTTTGAGACAGGGTCTCACTGTGTCTCCCAGGCTGGTGTGCAGTGGTACAAGCACAGCTCACTGAAGCCTCCCAGCTCAAGCAATCCTCTCACCTCAGCCTCCCGGGTAGCTGGAACGTGCCACCACACCTGGCTAATTTTTCTATTTTTTGGTAGAGATCGGGGTCTTGCTTTGTTGCCCAGGCTGGTCTTGAATTCCTGGGCTCAAGTGATCCTCCCACATTGGCCTCCCAAAGTGCTAGGATTACAGATATGAGGCACCATGCCCAGACTTAAACACCCATTTATTGTGCACTTTCTCTGCACCAGGCCCTGATCTGAGCCCCATGCACAGATGTGAACAAGACCTTACTCTCCAGGGACCAGGGGAAAGAAGTGCTACTTCTGTGCTCTGGAGAACCGAGTTCTCCAATCAGAAAAGATGAGAATGGAGGCCAGGTGCAGTGGTGACTAACGCCTGTACTCACACTTTGGGAGGCCGAGGCAGGAGGATCACCTGAGGTTAGGAGTTCGAGAGCAGCCTGGCCAACATGGTGAAAACCTATCTCTACTAAAAATACAAAAATTAGCCAGGTGTGGTGCCGTGTGCCTGTAATCCCAGCTACTTGGGAGGCTGAGGCAGAAGAATTGCTTGAACCTGGGAGGTAGAGTTTGCAGTGAGCTGAGATTCCCGCCACTGCACTCCAGCCTGGGGGACAGAGAGACTGTCTCAAAAAAAAAAAAAAGTTTTTTAAATTTAAAAAGGCAGCCGGGCACAGTGGCTCACGCCTGTAATCCCAGCACTTTGGGAGGCCGAGGCGGGCAGATCATGAGGTCAGGAGATCGAGAACCTCCTGGCTAACACAGTGAAACCCCATCTCTACTAAAAATACAAAAAATTAGCTGGGCGCAGTGGCGGGCGCCTGTAGTCCCAGCTACTCAGGAGGCTGAGGCAGGAGAATGGCGCGAACCCGGGAGGCAGAGCTTGTAGTGAGCTGAGACTGTGCCACTGCACTCCAGCCTGGGTGACAGAGCGAGACTCCGTCTCAGAAAAAAAAAAAAAAAAAAAAAAAAGCCAGTCACAGTGGCTCACGCCTGTAATCCCAGCACTTTGGAAGGCCAAGGTGGGTGGATCACAAGGTCAGTAGTTCAAGAGCAGCCTGGCCAAGATGGTGAAATCCTGTCTCTACCAAAAATACAAAAATTAGCTGGGCGCAGTTGCAGGTGCCTGTAATCCCAGCTACTTGGGAGGCTGAGGCAGGAGAATCATTTGAACCCAGGAAGTGGAGGTTGCAATGAGCTGAGATCGTGCCACTGCACTCCAGCCTGGGCGACAAGAGTGAGATTCTGTCAAAAAAAAAAAAAAATGGAATTGCTAGGACAGTCAAAAACAAATGGAATTGCTAGGACAGTCTAGACAGTTTTCACAAAGCAAGACTTTGGTCCCCTCTTCAGGACTCAGCATGGCCTCAGAGCCAGCCACCAGGCCCCGAATACCTTCAAGTTTGAGTGTAGAAGGGCATATTTCGCCTTCTTTTTGTGCTTCCCCTGACACCCTGACGTTCTTGACTCATCTGTCTTCATCTTCCGAGCCAACTTTGCTTACCCACAAAGGGAGGGCACTATTCCCTCACAAAACACAGCCCAAGGCTCACTCTTTCCTCTTTTCCTATAGAAGAGCCAAAGGGCATGACAGTTGCCTCTGCTCCTTTAACCTACCCACTCTTTCCTCACAGCCCTCCTCAGCCTTCACAGTCCATAATGCAGTCTTGAATTCTGGGCTTCATATTCTTGACACACTCTGCAAACAGAATCCCCTAGGAAGCTATATTTATTTCCTTTTTTTTTTTTTTTTTTTTTTGAGACGGAGTCTCACTCTGTCACCCAGCCTGGAGTGCAATGGCATGATCTCGGCTCACTGCAACCTCTGCCTCCCGGGTTCAAACGATTCTCCTGCTTTGGCCTCCCGAGTAGCTGGGACTACAGGTGCCCACCACCACACCTGGCTAATTTTTGTATTTTTGGTAGAGACAGGGTTTCACTATGTTGGCCAGGCTGGTCTCAAACTCTTGACCTCATGATCCTCACACCTCAGCCTCTCAAAGTGCTGGGATTACAGGCATGCGCCACCATGCCTGGCCTATTTACTTATTTTTATTTTTATTTTGAGACAGGTTCTCACTTTGTTGCCCAGGCTGCAGTGCAGTGGCATAAACATGGGTTATAGCAGCCTTGACCTCCTAGGCTCAAGCAAGCCCCCTGCCTCAGTCCCCCAAGCAGCTGGAACTACAGATATGTGCCACCATGTCCGGCTAATTTTTTTTTTTTTTTGAGGTGGAGTCTCGCTCTGTTGCACAGGCTGTAGTACAGTGGTGTGATCTTGGCTCACTGCAACTTCTGCCTCCCAGAGGCAGAGGATTACTCACACCTGTAATCCCAGTTTAGGGAGGCTGAAGCGGGCAGACAGCTTGAGGCCAGGAGTTTGACACCATCCTGGCCAACATGGTGAAAGCCTGTCTCTGCTAAATAAAAAAATTAGCCAGGCATGGTGGCACATGCCTGTGGTCCCAGCTACTCAGGAGGCTGAGGCACAAGAATCGCTCGAACCCAGGAGGCGTAGTTTTCAGTGAGCTGAGATCTCACCACTGCACTCCAGCCTGGGCGACAAGAGACTTCGTCTCAAAAAAAAAAAAAAAGAAAGATAATAAAGATGAGCAGAAATAAATGCAGCAGAGAATAAAAAATAGAGGAAGTAAGTAAAACCAAAATAATTTGGTTCTTTGAAAAATCCATAAAATTGATGAACCTTTAGATGGACTGACCAAGAAAAAAGCAGAGGAGACTCAAACTGCAAAACAGGAGCAAAAGAGGAGACATCACTACCAACATTAGATAAGTAAAAGAATTATCAGGGAATACTATGAACAGTTGTATGCCAACAAATTAGATGAAAGGAACAAATTCCTAGGGGTATTTAAACACCAAACTTAAGAAGAAATATAAAATCTAGGCCAGGCATGGTGGCTCACGTCTGTAATCCCAGCACTTTGAGGGGCTGAGTCAAGTAGATCATCTGAGATCAGGAGTTTGAGACCAGCCTGACCAACATGGTGAAACCTCATGTCTACTAAAGATACAAAAAATTAGCCAGGCAAGTGGCGCACGCCTGTAATCCCAGCTGAGGCAGGAGAATCACTTAAACCGGGGAGGTGGAGGTTGCAGTAAGCTGAGATTGTGCCATTGGGAGGAAAGCAGGTAGAAGGTGGGATCCGAGAGCAGCACACAGTAAGTGTCAATTGTCCTAGTTAATGTTCGGCTTCTTAAATTGGGTGATATGTTCACAGGTGTTCATTATGTTCTTTTTTTTTTTTTTTTTTGAGACAGAGTCTGACTCTGTTGCCCAGGCTGGGGTGCAGTGGTGCGATCTCGGCTCACTGCAAGCTCCACCTCTCGGGTTCATGCCATTCTCCTGCCTCAGCTTCCCAAGTAGCTGGGACTACAGGTGCCCGCCACCACGCCCGGCTAATTTTTTTTTTTTTTTTTTTTTTTTGTATTTTTAGTAGAGACGGGGTTTCACCGTGTCAGCCAGGATGGTCTCGATCTCCTGACCTCGTGATCCACCTGCCTCGGCCTCCCAAAGTGCTGGGATTACAGGCGGGAGCCGCTGCGCCCGGCCCATTATGTTCTTATAACTTACATTAACATATTATTTTGTACATGTCAAGCTTTTTTCCCCTTTTTTTTTTTTTTTAAGAGATGAGATTTTGCTTTGTCACCCAGGCCAGAGAGTGTCGTGGTGCAGTCATAGCTCACTGCAGCCTCCAACTCCTGGGTTCAAGTGATTCTCCCACCTCTGTCTGCCAAATAATTGGAACTACAGGCATGTGCCACCATGCTTGGGTAAGTTTTTTTATTTTTTATTTTTTATTTATTATTATTATACTTTAAGTTTTAGGGTACATGTGCACAATGTGCAGGTTAGTGACATATGTATACATGTGCCATGCTGGTGTGCTGCACCCATTAACTCGTCATCTAGCATTAGGTGTATCTCCCAATGCTATCCCTCCCCCCTCCCCCCTCCCCCCACCCCACAACAGTCCCCAGAGTGTGATGTTCCCCTTCCTGTGTCCATGTGTTCTCATTGTTCAATTCCCACCTATGAGTGAGAATATGCAGTGTTTGGTTTTTTGTTCTTGCGATAGTTTACCGAGAATGATGATTTCCAATTTCATCCATGTCCCTACAAAGGACGTGAACTCATCATTTTTTATGGCTGCACAGTATTCCATGGCATATATGTGCCACATTTTCTTAATGCAGTCTATCATTGTTGGACATTTGGGTTGGTTCCAAGTCTTTGCTATTGTGAATAATGCCGCAATAAACATACGTGTGCATGTGTCTTTAAAACAGCACGATTTATAGTCCTTTGGGTATCCTGGGTAAGTTTTTTAAAAGTGTTATTTGTAGAGACGGAGTCTGGCTGTGTTGCCTGGGCTGGTCTCAAACTCCTGGCTTCAAGTTATCCTCCTGCCTCAGCCTCCCAAAGCTCTGGCATTACAGGTGTGAGCCACTGCACCCAGACTCAGACTTTTTTTAAGGGAAAGAATGGGAGTATAGGTGGGGAGACACACTTTGGGAGGCCAAGGTGGGAGGATCACTTGGGCCGGGGGTTCAAGACCAGCCTGGGCAACAAAGTGAGACCTCGTATTTACCAAAAATACAAAAAATTAGCTGGGCTTGGTGGTGTGGGTTTGGGAGGCTGAGGTGAGAGGATTGCATAAGCTGTAGGAGCCCGAGGCTGCAACGAGCTGTGATCGCGCCATTGCGCTCTAACTTGGGCTAGACAATGAGATCCTGTCTCAAACCAAAACAAAACAAAACAGATAATTGTCAAATTGCTGTTTTGCTATTGTTGCTTTTTGTTTTTGCTTTGCTTTGCCTTGGAAGTGAAGAAGAGATTCTCATTTAAACCGTTATCTTGAAGTATTGAAGTATCTTTGTGAGCTAGGGTGCAATTATTTCCTCTGTCCTTGAGACACAGATGATTCCTGTCCAACATTCCCAAGGAACTCAGTAAGGACCAAATAGAGACTCAGGAAAGACAGTTACTGATTTTACACTGTTGCAAAACAGAGCTATGGTTTATGTTTAACAAACTGCTGGCGGGGCGTGGTGGCTCATGCCTGTAATCCCAGCACTTTGGGATGCCAAGGTGGGTGGATCACTTGAGGTCAAGAGTTCAAGACCAGCCTGGCCAACATGGTGAAACCCTGTCTCTACTAAAAATACAAAAATTAGCAGGGCATGGTGGTGCATGCCCGTAATCCTAGCTACTGGGGAGGGTGAGGCACAAGAATCGCTTGAACCTGGGAATCAGAGGATGCAGTGAGCCGAGATCACGACACTGTACTCCAGCCTGGGTGACAGAGCGAGACTCTGTCTCAAAAAAAACACAAAAAACATAAAAACCAAATTGCTGTATTTTATTTTGTGAAATAGGGTCTAGATCTGTTGTCTAGGCTGGAGTGCAGGGGTGCAATCACAGCTCACTGCGGCCTTGACCTCCAGGGCTCAAGCGATCCTCCCTCCTCAGTTTTCAAGTAGCTGGGACTACAGGTATGCACCATCATATGTTGCCCAGGCTGGTCTTGAACTCCTGGAGAGAGATACATATAAACACACACACACACACACACACACACACACACACACACCCTTTTTTTTTTTTTTTTTTGAGACACAGTTTCACTCCTCACCCAGGCTGGAGTGCAATGGCACAATCTTGGCTCATTGCAACCTCTGCCTCCTGGGTTCAAGCTATTCTCCTGCCTTGGCCTCCCAAGTAGCTGGGATTACAGGCACTGCCACCATGTCTGGCTAATTTTGTATTTTTAGTAGAGACAGGGTTTTGTCATGTTGGCCAGGCTGGTCTCAAACTTCTGGCCTCAGGTGATCCACTTGCCTCGGCCTCCCAAAGTGTTGGGATAACAGGCATGAGCCACTGCGCCGGGCCCATACATATGCATTTAAAAAAATTTATTTATTTATTTCGAGACAGGGTCTCACTCTGTTGCCCAAGCAGGAGTGCAGTGGTGCTATCTCCCAGGCTCAAGCAATCCTCAGCCTCCCGAGTAGCTGGGACTACAGGTATGTGCCATCACACCCAGATAATTTTTATTATTTTTATTTTTTAAGTTTTTTGTAGAGATGGAGTTTCACCGTGTCACCCAGGCTGGATATTTTTGTATTTTTGATAGGCCTGTACAGTTTCCAAAGTTGCAACCTTTCCCCCTCCCTGAGAGTAGGGGCAGCCCCTGCTCTCCCTCTACATCCTCCACAGTCCCGAGGTTTTGGCCTCTGTTTCCTCTGTTTCCTATGCTTGGAACACCAGTCGCTCTTTTGTTGGTCTGGCTGACTTCTGTTCCTCTTTTAAAAATTTAAGTTTGGCCGGGTGCGGTGGCTCACGGGGCCCCTGATTGTCTGAAGGTTGCGCTGGCACGCGCAACTTCCGGGACAGAGGCTGTGGCTGGAAGGAGCTGGGCATCCGGCCTGAGGCGCAGCGGTCGCGTTAGTTCGGCCCAATGGCGGCACCGCTGCTTCACACGCGTTTGCCGGGAGATGCGGCCGCTTCGCCCTCTGCAGTCAAGATGCTGGGCGCGTCGAGGACTGGGTAAGATTCAGGCCGCTTCCTTCTGTGCGTCTGGGACCAAAGCTCAGGACCGCTCTTAGAGGAGCAGATTGAAAGGATGTGGGGCAAAGCTAATGGCGTGTGATAGGAGCACGGGGTCGAGGGTCATCTCACGTTCACAGAAATGAGCTCATTCCTCCTAACTGGGTAATAGACATGGGTGGGGCCTGGAAAAGTGAGTATGTTCTCTGTTCTGGAGGCCCCCTTTCCCGACTGTGTCTCTTCGTGATTTCCCAGGCCTGGGTACTGCCTTCTGCGCCTTGACCCCTCTTCCTTCCCTCTTCTTCGTCCAAATTTGGAAGGGATTTCCCTGGGCTATGTGGGTTATCAGCCGAACGTTGTCACTCATGGCAAATTGAATATTACATCTTTTTTGTTTGAAATTTGTTTCGACACACGTATTTGTTTAGCAGTCTTTATTTTGCTCCACTTTTAAAATCCCTAACCCCATAGCACTCTTGGCGTTTAACTTTCAGAGTCATTAGGATGCTATGTTTTTTCATTAATTTACTACGTGTAAGTGAAGCAAACCTTGTAAAACAATTAGCGTAATATGATTCATAATGTTTATCGAGCTCCTGCTTACTGTGTTAAACACTGGCGACAGTGGTTTATCCAAAGACACTAATGTCCCTGCTTTCTACAGAGCTTACAGCATATTGGGGGGAAGGCAGTACATAGGCCAATAAATAAACGAACACGATGATTTCAGTTATACAACAAGGTAATGGGGGAGGGAGAAGGGAGAGAAGGAGTGTTTGAGATTTCTCATTGGGAAGACATCTGTCATTTGAGCTTCTATTTGAATGAAGACAAAAATCTAGGCCGGGCACGGTTGCTCACGCCTGTAATCCCAGCACTTTGGGAGGCTGAGGTGGGCGGATCACCTGAAGTCAGGAGTTCGAGACCAGCCTGGCCAACATGCGAAACCTCGTCTCTACTGAAAATACAAAAATTAGCCGGGCGTGGTGGCAGGCTCCTGTAATCTCAGCTACTCAGGAGGCTGAGGCAGGAGAATTGCTTGAACCCGGGAGATGGAGGTTGCAGTTAAGCTGAGATCACACCACTGCACTCCAGCCTGGGCAGCAGAGCAAGACTCCATCTCAAAAAAAAAAAAAAATCCAGCCACATAGAGATTTGGGAAAAGAGTATTTCCAATAGAGTGAACAGTAAGTGAAATGAGAAACAGCTTGGCTTGTTTGAAGAGCAGAAAAGACATGATGGCTGTAGTAAAACAAGTTGTTGGAGATGAGGTGAGAGAGGTAGGCAGGGGCCAGATTAATGTAGGATCTTAAAGACCACACTGAGAGATTTGGATTTTTACTGTAAGTGCAGTGGGAAGACAGTTATTGGTTGCTGAGCAAAGGAGGGATTGTTGATTAAGAGTGGAAGCAGGGAGACCAGTAAAGAGGCCTTAACAATAGTTCCACTGAATTATGTTGGTTCAATAAAGGTTGGCTATTATAATTTTTATTATTTTCATGAACTTAATAGCTTGTTAATCTTGGTTCCACAGGATTTCAAATATGCGTGCATTAGAGAATGATTTTTTCAATTCTCCCCCAAGAAAAACTGTTCAGTTTGGTGGAACTGTGACAGAAGTCTTGCTGAAGTACAAAACGGTAAGAGGAGATAATGTGTGAGGTTTGCTTTTGGTCAGGTCAGAATACAACTATTGCTGTTATACTAAAGACCAATAGAAATAGCAAGATTAATTAAGATACCAGTTGAAATCAAATATTTAATAATAGCATGATGCCATCAGTGCAAAATTAGAGTAATAGTGTCCTTTTTTTTCCCCCACCTTGGCCCATTTCACAGGTAATAATGAGAGAGTAATAATGTCTTTACTGAGGTTTCACCTCTTCAAATGCTTTATTTACAAAGCATCTTTTAACTTCAGCAAGTGCTAGAATTAAAAACAATTACAGCATTTTATTTATTTATTTATTTGTGCTGGAGTCTTCCTCTGTCACCCAGGCTGGAGTGCAGTGGCGTGACCTCGGCTCACTGCATCCTCCACCTCCCAGGTTCAAGCAATTCTCCTGCCTCAGTCTTCTGAATAGCTAGGGTTACAGGCATGCACCACCACACCTGGCTAATTTTTTAATTTTTTTAATAGAGACGGGGTTTCACCATGTTGGCCAGGCTGGTCTCGAACTCCTGAGCTTGTAATCCACCCGCCTTGGCCTCCCAAAGTGCTGAGATTACAGACGTGAGCCACCATGCCTGGCCTACAGCATTTTATTTTTTGAGGAACTTACCTAAGCATTACTTTGGGACAGTAAACCGGTTCTCTGAATAGGGATTTTTGTTTTTGTGGTAGGTTAGAAGCATTTCTACTATATCTCAGCAGTAGAGGGAAAATGTTAAGTAACCGTATGTTTATATGTAATATCCATTTGTATCCATATTTGAGTAAATACTTTTTTAGATCCTCCTGAATTAGATCATTATAGCTGGCTGTTTTTTTTCCCTCATGCTTTTTGAGAATTCGCAGGAGTATCAACTATTATATTCAAATGTCAATACAGAAGTATAGCTAAATGTAGTTTATCATTTTCCTTTTTCCAAGCCCTCTGGCTGCACTAACATGAGTGTTTAAATTTTTGTAGTCATGATTTTATAATCCGCAATTGACATGTGAAAGTTAGTGTTCCTTTTATAATTTCATCTGATGTTAAAGTACGGTTAAAAGTCTTGCTGTTGATACTAAACAGGAAACAAAAGCATAACTTAATTATTTCCCCTCCTTGTTAAGGGTGAAACAAATGACTTTGAGTTGTTGAAGAACCAGCTGTTAGATCCAGACATAAAGGTAATTAATTTTGTGTTTGATCATTAGCAAAATTATTGCCACTTTATACAGACATAGTTTGCTCTTTGGGTCCCATTCTGTTCTGCAGAACTTGCTCTCTCCATGGTCCTCCCTTACTTTAATCTGGTGGTTCTCAACCAGGGACAGTTTTACCCCCTAGAAGACATTTGGTGATGGCTGCAGATATTTTTGTCACAATTGGGAGGAAAGGGTGCTACTGGCATTTAGTGGGTGAATGACAGAGATGCTGCTAAACATCTCACAGTGCACAGGGCAGCCTCCCATAACCAAGAGTGATCCAGCCCCAAATGACAACAGTGTTGAGGCTGGGAAACCCTGCTCTAATGCTTCCTTTCTATTAGATTACTACCTCTTTCCTCCATGCTGCATGCAACTCTTTTGTCTCTTTAAAGCTAAAACAAACCAAAAAAAAAAAAAAAAACCACTGTTTCAGCATTTCCAGGTTCGAGATACACCTATCATGTAGTAAAACCTTAATACATTTTGTTTCACCATTCTTCCTTTACTGCCCAGTTTTGAAGAGAATGGTTTATTACCATGGCAGTGGTAGTTAGATTGCCTGGAATGAAATTCCAATTTTATTATCCAGTGTGTGATCTTGAGCAAATTGTTTTAACCTCTCTGCCTCTATTTTCCACTGTGTGAAACCAAGAAAACAATAGAGATTTAAAAAATATGGAGTGTTTTGTTTTTTAAGAGATGTGGTCTTGCTGTGTTGCTCTAGCTATTCACAGGTGTGATCATATTGCCCTACAGCCTTGAACTCCTGGCCTCAAATGATCCTTTCTCTTCAGCCTTCTAAAAAGCTGGGACTATAGGTGCATGCCACTGTGCCTGGCTTTAAACATGGAAATACTTAACAAGGATTCAATGAGCTAATATGCAAGAAGCACTTAGAACAGTCTCTGACTCAAAGTAAGGGCAGTAATTGTCATCTGTTGTTTTTGTTCCAGCTGACTGCGCTGTATCATTTCTCACTCACATTTAAGTCCACTGTTCTTATCACTGTAGTAATTACCCTGACAGGTTACCCATGTTTTTTTTTTACATGCTGATTTCAGTGGACTTTTTTGAGACAAAGTCTCCTTCTTGTCACCCAGGCTGGAGTGCAGTGGTGTGATCTGGGCTCACTGCAACCTTTGCCTCCTGGGTTCAAGCAATTCTCCTGCCTCAGCCTCCCAAATAGCTGAGATTACAGGCACCCGCCACCATGCCTGGTTAATTTTTTTATTTTTAGTAGAAACGGGGTTTCACCATGTTGGCCAGGCTGGTCTTGAACTCCTGACCTCAGGTGACCTGCCCGCCTCGGCCTCCCAAAGTGCTGGGATTACAAGTGTGAGCCACTGAGCCCAGCCTCAGTGGACTTACTTTTTTAAGCCTTGTATTCCTTGTATCAGCCGACACTGTTGGCCACCCACTTCTTAAAACTTCAGTGTTTCTGATCCTCCTGTCTTCTGATCCTTTAATCTCTCTCTCTTTTTTTTTTTTTTTTTTTTGCTCTGTCGCCCAGGCTGAAGTGCAATGGCACAATCTTGGCTCACTGCAAGCTCCACCTCCTGGGTTCAAGTGATTCTCCTACCTCAGCCTCCCGAGTAGCTGGGACTACACGTGCCCGCCACCACCCCCAGCTAATTTTTTGTATTTTTAGTAGAGATGGGGTTTCACCATGTTAGCCAGGATGGTCTCGATCTTCTGACCTCGTGATCCGCCCGCCTTGGACTCCCAAAGTGCTAGGATTAGAGGTGTGAGCCACCACACCCGGCCAGTGATCCTTTAAGCTCTAGTATCTCTCGATAGGTTCTTGATCTTAAATTTGGTGTTGATTAGGCTTCAAAACTTGACTCTTTTCTCACTCTGTTGATTCTTCTGTGTGATCTCCTCATCTCCCTTCATGGCTTTGAAATCTACCTGTGTCCTAATATATTTGTGTCTGTAGCCAAGATTGCTCTTGTGGGCTCCAGACTTATTTCATTTTCATTTTTGGGGACGGGCAGAACAGAGTCTTGCTCTGTCACCTAGGCTGTAGTGTAGTGGGATGATCTTGGCTCACTGCAACCTCTGCCTCCTGGGTTCAAGCCATCCTCCCACCTCAGCCTCCTGAGTAGCTGTGCCACCACGCCCAGCTAATTTTTTTGTATTTTCAGTAGATTTGGGGTTTCACCATGCTGGCCAGGCTGGTCTCGAACTCCTGACCTCAAGTGATCCACCCGCCTCAGCCTCCCAAAGTGCTGGGATTATAGACGTGAGCCACTGCACCCGGCCTAGACTTGTTTCTTAACTGTCTGTTAGATGCATTTACCCAGAATCATCATAGATGCTCCAAACTTAGCATGTCCACTCTTGGCTGGGCTCCATCTTTCATGGAGCTTTCCCTGGTTCTCTCTAAGCACATGGTTGTTCCTTCATTGAGTCCATTTCCCACACTTCCAGATCTCTCTAGTTACAGATCTGGTTTACAAGGCCCTCCATGGTCTATTTGGTGCTTCTTTGTTCCCCAGATTTATTATCTGTTGGCTTGGTCACTATACATGCCAGCCATACTGAACGTTTTTCAGTTTTCTGAAAACATACTTTTCCTTCTGTAAGAAGCAGAACTTCCAGAAAAGACTCAACTGTGTTACTGTTTAAAGACAGCTGAAGCATCACTTTCTCTTTAAAGCTTTTCCTGACCCCTGCCTTCTTTCCCAGATACAAAGGGACATTTTCTTTGTGTTCCACTGTATTTTGTATCAGCAGTTCTCATTCTTGGTATTTTGACATACCAAGAATTGCACTAGTTGTGTGGAGTGTTGCAAGTAGAACTTTTTTCATCTTGAGACAGGGTCTCGCTGTGTCACCCAGGCTGGAGTGTAATGGGCCCGATCATGGCTCACTGCAGCCTCAACCTCCCAGGCTCAAGCAATCTTCCCACCTCAGGCTCCCGAGCACCTGGGACCACAAGCATGAGCTACCATGCCTGGCTAATTTTTCTTTTTCTTTTTTTTTTTTTTTTGTTATACTCTCTATTTATTTTAATATTTGAAATGTTGTACAGTAAAATGTAATAAAACAGAACATTTCTCCCCAAATGCAGGGATTTTCTAAGTACTCAATTCTAATTTTTCTAATTTTTGTGTTTTTGGTTTATTTTTTGAAATGGGCTCTCACTCTCACCCAGGCTGGAGTGCAGTTGCGCGATCACAGCTCACTGCAGCCTTGACTTTCCCAGGCTCAGGTGATCCTCCCACCTCAGTTGTTGTATTTTTAGTAGAGATGGGGTTTCACCATATTGCCCAGACTGGTCTCGAACTCCTGGGCTCATGCTATCTGTCCGCCGCGGCCTCCCAAAGTGCTAGGATTACAGGCGTGAGCCACTGTGCCTGGCCTGGTTTTATTTATTTATTTTTATTGATTTATTTTTTTTTTGAGACGGAGTCTTGCTCTGTCGCCCAGGCTGGAGTGCAGTGGCGAGATCTCGGCTCACTGCAACCTCCGCCTCCCAGGTTCACGCCATTCTCCTGCCTCAGCCTCCGGAGTAGCTGGGACCACAGGCACCCGCCACCATGCCCGGCTAATTTTTTGTATATTTAGTAGAGACGGGGTTTCACCGTGTTAGCCAGAATGGTCTCGATCTCCTGACCTCGTGATCCATCCGTCTCGGCCTCCCAAAGTGCTGGGATCACAGGCGTGAGCCACCGCGCCCGGCCCTTATTTATTTATTTCTAACCATTTAACATTTAATTTAAACTACCAGGAAGTTTTTTTGAAGTGTTTTGTCTTTCCCCAGTTACCAAATGAATTGTCCTAGAAAATTTATTAAATAGTTTGGGCCGGGTGCAGTGGCTCACGCCTGTAATCCCAGCACTTTGGGAGGCCGAGGTGGGTGGATTACCTGAGTTCAAGAGTTCAAGACCAGTTGGGAAATGTGGTGAAATGCCGTCTCTACTAAAAATAAAAAAATCAGCCAGGTGTGGTGGCACACACCTGTAATCCCAGCTACTCGGGAGGCTGATGCAGGAGAATCACTTGAATCCAGGGGGACAGAGGTTGCAGCGAGCCGAGATCGCACCACTTTACTCCAGTCTGACGAATCCGCGGCGGGTTCGGCGGGGTGGAGGCCCCGCCTTCCGGGGCCGGGGAGGTGGGAGAAGCCATCTTCCTGCGGCTCCGGGTTTCTTCCTCCTGTCACGCCCGGGTCTCCCGCGTCTCCTCGGTCTCCTCCGCGTCGGGCCTGCGGCCCGCGCCCGCCCGGAGTCTCCGCAGCCGCCGCGCCCCGCGGACCCGCCCCGGCTCCTGCGCCGCAGAGTGGAAGGGGCGGCTGTGCCCTCTGCTCGCCCAGCCGAAGTCCCTCCCGCGCCACCTACATCCCGGCCGGCGGACTCGGGGCCGCGGCGGGCCGGGGTCGGACGCGACCTTGGCCGCGGGGCTGGGCAAGCAGCTGCCCCTTCCCAGCGCCGCGCCCGGCGCGTGTGCTCTGAAAGTGCGAGCTGCCGGACTTATTCTAGCGGCGGCGCCGGGAGAAAGGAGGCTGCTTCCCTAGCCGCTGCCGCTGTCGCCAGGAGAGCCATGAGCTCATGGACAGCTCCCAGAAATATGTCTATATGCACCACTGACTGCCAGAGTTCCTAATTTTTCTAGAGACGAAGTCTCCCTATGTTGCCCAGGCTGGTCTCAAATTCCTGGGATCAAGCAGTCTCCTCCTGCCTTGGCCTCCCAAAAGTGCTGGGATTACAGGCATGAGCCACTGTTCCTGCCTGCTAGTAGAAATAATAATAGTTCAGTACTAAAGCATCAAAGTCTGCAACTGATTTACTTTTTTTTTTTCTTTTTGAGACAGAGTTTTGTTCTTGTTGCCCAGGCTGGAGTGCAATGGCATGATCTTGGCTCACTGCAACCTCTGCCTCCGAGTTTTTTAAGCAATTCTCCTGCCTCAGCCTCCTGAGTAGCTGGGATTATGGGCATGCACCACCACGCCCAGCTAATTTTGTATTTTTAGTCGAGACGGGGTTTCTCCATGTTGGTTAGGCTCGTCTCGAACTCCAAACCTCAGGTGATCCACCCACCTCGGCCTCCCAAAGTGTTGGGATTACAGGTGTGAGCCACCACGCCCAGCCTGATTTACTTTTAAAAATGGTACAGTTTAAATGTTATCCTTATAGTTTTGTTGCAGTCTTTTTAGTGGAAAAGAGATAGGATAATTTTATTTACACACTAACTTAGCTTGTTTTCTACATGCCTTTGGCCTTAGTGAGCTACCGTTAATGTTATCCTTAACAGTTTTGGACATATGAAATTACCATAGTACAAATGAGTTGTGGTTTTACTTTATTTTACTGCCAGGCTACTTGGGATTTCATCAGAAAATGGTTGATCTGTGGGAGTTTGACACATGGATATGGCATAGTAAGCACTCAGTAGCTGAATTAAGGTGGGGAAAAGGGGACAGCTTCTTCTCCGCATATAGGGAGGCATGTGGGATGGTGGATGGAGGATAGCCTTGACCGAGACAGATGGGTTTGGACCTGCTTCTTTACTGGCCTCTTGGTAGGGTAGATTGCTTATTAATCATTCTTAGCCTCAGCTTCCTGAACAGCAAAATGGGAATAACTAAACATCTTGCAGAATTTTTAGGATTAGAAGAAGATACATATGCGGAGTGTCAGGCACCATGCCTGGCATATGGTGTATTCTCACTAAATGATAACTCCATATGAATATCCCTGTAGGTATGACCTTGTGTTGCTTTTATTTATATGTCTAAGCCTTCCACAAATTAGGGGCTTTTTCTTAATGGTTTTTTTCCTGTGCAGTATGTATGCATGAATATAATTAATATAGTAATATTTTACATAATTGACACTGTATTTTATACCTTGTGTTTCAAATTTAGCAGTTCTTCTCATGTCACTAACAATTACTATGAACAGTAATTTGATTGCCTGAAAAATATTTCATGGAGGAATGGGGCTATCATTTATACAGAACAAACACATCATAATATATTTAAACTCAGCCACAGATTTGGTTTAGAAAAGTTATGTTTATTCATGATCCCAATTGATCAGCCTAGACTGAATTTTATCAGCATGCTTCCTGGTCAGCTTGAATATAGAGGAAATAGAGGTAGCTATTGTTCCTTTGTGATCTTCTAATATTTCAATCTGCTAGAATTCTGCAGTTTTTAAAAGTCCCAGGTGTCAACATTTGAGGTGATTTCGCTTTTTCAGGGCAAACAAAAGTGATCAGGCTGAAGTATTGCATTTAAGTCTTTCTCCTGTGTATTAGAGTTACTAGATTACTTTCTTAAAACAATTAAGTTTATTGTGACATCTTTTTCTGTTTTAATACCCAGTTTTGATTTCCTTCCAAGTTTGTGACCTTTTCCCCCCAATCTATTCTTGATAAGTGATTGATATAAGATAGCTGTAAATTTCTGTTATCTTAGAGGATTTGTGATTTTGAAAGTACTCTTTGTTTAACTTAAGGATGACCAGATCATCAACTGGCTGCTAGAATTCCGTTCTTCTATCATGTACTTGACAAAAGACTTTGAGCAACTTATCAGTATTATATTGGTAGGTTCACCATTTATTTTACTGTCAAGTATGTAATTCAGAACTTTGGTAATAGTATATGTTATATTAATAACATGCTGCTTTTATCTTTCTTCCCCCACTCTAGAGATTGCCTTGGTTGAATAGAAGTCAAACAGTAGTGGAAGAGTATTTGGCTTTTCTTGGTAATCTTGTATCAGCACAGACTGTTTTCCTCAGACCGTGTCTCAGCATGATTGCTTCCCATTTTGTGCCTCGTAAGTCATTACTCTTTGCTTGCTTGGAATTTTCTTTTCTTTTCTTTTTAATACTTCTTTATTAAAATACCACCTTCCCCTTATATATGAGAGACTGCTACCATGGAAGATTCCAGATGCATATTGGCACCAGGTCTGGTAGACATATATTCCCCGTAATGACCCCTATGGAGGTGTCTAGATTCATTTGTTGCTGTGAGTTTTATGAATTATAACTTGCTTTATTGAACTCCTGGTGAAATCTAGGAATTTTTAGCCGTTTAAAAACTATAAAGTTGCTTTACTTTTTTTCAGATTGTGCATTTAATTAATCATTGGGCTAACTTTGGATTATGGAAAAATAACTTTTTTTATAGCTGTTCATTGTCTAGGTCAATAACTTTTTTTGTATAGCCATTCATTGTCTAGATCAATGACAGAACAACATATTTTCTTTTTCCCTCAAAAGCCCGAGTGATCATTAAGGAAGGCGATGTAGATGTTTCAGATTCTGATGATGAAGATGATAGTAAGTATAAAAAGGTTTAAAGCCTGGGCACAGTAGCTTACACCCATAATCCCAGCACTTTGGGAGGCCAAGACGGGAGGATCACTTGAGGCCAAGAGTTTGAGACCAGCCTGGGCAACATAGTGAGACCTTGTCTCTGCAAAAAAACATTTTTTTTCAAATATTTTCTTAAAAAAGGCTTAAAGTAGAACTAGGCAGGGTAGTGTGTGTCTTTAGTCACAGCTACCTGGGAGGCTTAAGTGGGTGGATTGCTTGAGCCCAGGAGTTCAAGCCCTGCCTGGTGGCAAGACACTGTCTTCTTTAAAAAAAAAAGGAAAGCACAGAATACCTGGCACCTATTCTAATAAGTAGACTGCAACAAATGACAACCTTTGATGTAATCTTTTTGTTATATTTACCATTGATATGCAGTCAGTTGTCCTGAATGCATTATTTATATAATTAGTCCATTTAATTTTCATTGATGCTGGTGGAGAAAAGTCTTGAAATTATTATTTCTCTGATAAATTATTCCATTTTGGTTAGCATGTGTTTTTAGCTTCAAGTATGTCACTTTTTGTTTGTTTGTTTGTTTTTTGAGACAGAGTCTCGCTCTGTTGCCCAGGCTGGAGTACAGTGGTGTGATCTCGGTTCGCTGCAGCCTTCACCTCCCAGGTTCAAGTGATTCTCCTGCTTCAGCTTCCTGAGTAGATGGGACTACAGGCATTTGCCACCATGGCCGGCTAATTTTTGTATTTTTAGTAGAGATGGGGTTTCACCATATTGGTCAGGCTGGTCTCGAACTCCTGACCTCAAGTGATCCACCCACCTCGGCCTCCCAAAGTGCCGGGATTACAGGCATGAGCCACTGTGCCCGGCCAGCATTTATTTTTAGCTTCAAGCGTGTCACCCTTCAGTTTTGTTTTGATGCTCATACTCTGAACTTTTCTCCTTTCAGATCTTCCTGCAAATTTTGACACGTCACAGAGCCTTGCAAATAATAGCAAGATATGTACCATTGTGAGTATACTTTTCCTTATTTTGAATGTTTAATTCTCAAGAAAATTGTAATCAATTAGTAAAAATTATAAAATGTTAATAGTATTAAAGCTTGAGTCTTACATTGCATGTTTTTTTTGTATCCACTTGAGGAAACATTACATTCTACAAAAAGTGGCATTTCCATTTTCTATTTATTCTCTTTAATTGTTTTTCAAAGTTTGTATGCAGATTCTCCCCCAATTTTGTATGGTGGTTGGAATTTTGTTTTTATCTTCAACAGATATGCTATCCAAAATTTTTCAGTGAGAAACCCCTGGGTGTGTTTGTGTCATGCCATATGAATAAAAATTGCACTTCTAAGAAAAGCTTTTCAGGTTTGTGGGTTTCTTTTGGAGGGGTGGATTTCTAGTTCCCTCTGTCTGTTGATTATTTGTTAACTTAAAAAAATCCAACTTGATTATTTTTTCTTCTTTTAAAAATAATATACATGTGTAGTGGGAAATGTCAGCAAAAGTGCTGTTATGTTTCTGTGGGAGAGAAGCTCCCTCTTCGATTTGCTGTTGATATCAGAGTTAACAGAAGCTTATTTTCTCTAAGTCGTTACAGACTTTCTCAGAAGCTAAACATTGTAAGTTCCAGTTCTGGCCGGGCGCGGTGGCTCACACCTGTAATCCCAGCACTTTGGGAGGCTGAGGCGGGTGGATCACCTGAGGTCGGGAGTTCGAGACTAGCCTGACCAACATGGAGAAACCCCGTCTCTACTAAAAATACAAAACTAGCTGGGCATGGTGGCGCATGCCTGTAATCCCAGCTGTTTGGGAGGCTGAGGCAGGAGAATCGCTTGAACCCGGGAGGCGGAGGTTACAGTGAGCCGAGATTGCGCCACTGCACTCCAGCCTGGGCAACAAGAGCGAAACTCTGTCTCAAAAAACAAAAAAAGTTCCAGTTCTTTGAGGTAGGGGTTCCTGTTTGCCTCCTATGTCTATCGATATTTGCTTTTAGAATGGTAGTTTTCCTTTTTATTCCTTTTCTAGAAAGTAAAGTTAACATGGATTGATTTAATTTTTTAAAAATAGGACACCGTGGTTTCTCATGCCAATACTGGTGGAAAAATTTCCATTTGTTCGAAAATCAGAGAGAACACTGGTAAGAAATCTTTTCATTGAGAACATCATGGAAAAGTTGTTTGTATGATTTCATTTTAGATGATATTAGGTCTTTTTCTTTCTTTTTCTGTCTTTATTTTTATTTTTCTTTTTTGAGACCGAGTCTCACTCTATCGCCCAAGCTGGAGTGCAATGGCGTCATCTTGGCTCACTGCAACCTCTGCCTCTCGGGTTCAAGCAATTCTCCTGCCTCAGCCTCCCCATTAGCTGGGACTGCAGGCACCTACCACCATGCCCAGCTAATTTTTGTATTTTTAGTAGAGACAAGGTTTCACCATATTGGCCACACTGTTATCAAATGCCTGACCTTGTGATCTGCCTGCCTCGGCCTCCCAAATTGCTGGGATTGGTGAACCACTGTGCCCGGCTGATGTTAGGTCTTTTTCTTAAAGGTTACTTTGTCTTCTAGACTTTAAGCTGATGTCTAAGAATTTGACTCAGATTCCTTTCTTATAAAGCGGCTATTGGGGATTCCCAGTGCCTTTTTCTGTTATTACTATGTGCAAGTCAAGGTCTGAGTTCATTTCAGGAATATCTGTAGTGGCTTTATGCTCATACGGGCAAGAATTACTAGAAGATAATAGTTCATGTATTACTAATTGTGAACATGCCTTATTTTAACCTGAAAACAAAGCCTTCCATAGAAGAATTCTGCTTAAGTTTTTGTACAATGTTCAGATCATCTGTGCAGTTTTTAATAATTAATAGTGGTTGCCTTAGTAGAAAACCGAATCTAGTAGCATACAAAAAGAATTATGTACCATGACCAAGTGCGACTGATGTTAGGAATGCAAGATTGATTTTTTTTTTCGGGGGTGGGGGGACAGTCTCTGTCTGTCACCCAGGCTGGAGTGCAGTGGCACCATCTCAGCTCGCTGCAGCCTCTGCCTCCAGGGTTCAAGTGACTCTCCCACCTCAGCCTCCCAAGTAGGTGGGACTATAGACATGGGGCACCACACCCCACTAATTTTTGTGTTTTTGGTAGAGATGGGGTTTTGCCATGTTGGCCAGACTGGTCTTGAACTCCTGACCTCAAGCGATCTACCCGTCTCCACCTCGCAAAGTGTTGGGATTAGAGGCGTGAACCACCGTGACCGGCCGAGATTGAGTTAGTACCTGAAAATGAATTAATAAAATATTTTGTAGCAATAGAACAAAGGACAAAAACCACATAATTATCTCAGTAGATGCAGAAGTGTGTGACAAACACCAATATCCTTTTATGAGAAAAACAGAAGGAAATTTTCTCAACCTGATAAAGGGCATCTGAAAAACCCACAGCTAACATCATATTCAGTGGTGAAAGACCAAAAGTTTTTTCCTAAGACAAAGAACAAAACAAGGATGTCTGCTCTTGCTGCTTGTCTAGCCAAAGCAGTTAGGCAAGAAAAAGAATTAAAAGCATCCAGATGGAAAGGAAGGCGTAAACTCTCTTTTGCATGGTGATTTTATATGTCATCCTAAGGAGTTTACACACACACAAGAAATTTTAGAGATAATAAATGAGTTCAGCATGGTTACGGGACAGAAGACTAACATACACTAACCAGTTGTTCAAGACAATTGAATAGGGGAGAATAGTCATTTCAACAAATGCTGCTGGCAGAAGTGGATATGAACATGCAAAAGAGTGAAGCATATGGATATCCATATACAAAAATGAACTCAATAAAAGCCCTACATGAAGTGTAAAAACTGTAAAACTCTGAGAAGAAAACGAGTACATTTTCATAATGTTGGATTAGGCAGTAATTTCCAGATTTGATGCCTAAGCACAAGCAACCAAAGAAAAAATGCATCAATTGTACTTCAAAATTAAATGTTGTTATGCTTCATAGGACATCTTCAAGAAGATGAAAAGAATCCCCAAATAATGGGAGGAAATATTTCTAAATTTTATGTCTGGTAATGGACTTGTATATGTAAAGAACTCTTATAATTGAATAATAAAAGGGCAAATAGCCCAACTGAAGTGGGCAAAGGATCTGAATAGGCATTTCTGCAAAAAAAGCACATGAAAAGAAGCTCAACATCATTAGCCATCAGGGAAATGATTTCACTTCATGCCCACAAGGATGGCTATAATCAGAACGAGAAGACAGTAACAAGTGTTCACAAGGATATGGAGAAATGGGAACGTTGGAACTGTCATATGTTGCTGTGAGAATGTAAAATGGTGCAGCCGTTTTGGAAAATAGCCTGGCATTTCTTCAAGTTTAAATGTAGAATTAACACGTGACTCAGCAGTTCCATTTCTGGGTTTATACCCAAGAGAAATGAAAATATATGTCCACAGAAAAACTTGTACATGGATGTTCATAGCAGCATCATCCATAATAGCCTCAAGTAGAAGCAACTCAAATGTCTGTCAACTGATGAACAGATGACAAAACATGGTACAATGGAATATTACTCAGCAATGAAAAGGAATGCTTTATATGTTACAACATGATTGAACCCTAAAAACATGCCACAAACTGTGTATGACTCCATTGATATGAGAGGAATGGTTTACATGTTACAACATGATTGAACCCTAAAAACATGTATTATATGACTCCATTTATATGAAATGTCTCAAAGAGGCAGATTCATAGAAAGACTAGTGGTTGGCAAGGTCTTCATTTTTTAGGGGTGCACTAATGGATGTAGGATTTCTTTTTAGAGTGATTAAAATGTTACAAAATTGCTGGCTGGGTGCAGTGGCTTATGCCCATAATCACAGCACTTTGGGAGGCTGAAGTGGGAAGATCCAGGAGTTGAAGACCAGCCTGGGCAACATAGTGAGAAAATGTCTCTCTAAAAGGAAGAATTAACCTCATGTGGTGGTGTGCACCTGTAGTTCTAGCTACTAGGGAGGCTGAGGAGGAAGGATTGCTTATCCCGGGAATTCAGGGTTGCAGTGAACTATGATTGCACCACTGTACCCCATCCTGAGAGAGAGAGCAAGACCCTGTCTCTAAAAGAAAAATAAATGTTCTGAAATTGATTATGTTGATGGTCACATAACTGAATATATTAAAAACTTAAATTGTATACTTTAAGTTGGTGATCGTATAATATATGAGTTTTATCAATACAGCTACTTAAAAACCTATAGTTACGCAAATTAAAAATTTCATTTACTGGGGATAATTGAAATGATTATACCGAACATAATACATGTAGAAACAGTATAGTTTTTGTATTGCTGGATAGTCTGTTTTTTTCTTTTTAAATATTTGAAACTAAAGGTCATGTAATTGATGTTTTTCTTACATAACTGTGAAACATTTATTCTCTGTTGAAATGTTTTATCTTACGTTTTCTCCTTTAGGAATGTTACGTTCATAACTTACTAAGGATTAGTGTATATTTTCCAACCTTGAGGCATGAAATTCTGGAGCTTATTATTGAAAAACTACTCAAGTTGGATGTAAGTATTGAGTAATCTATTTTTATTTTCTTTTTTTCTTTTTTATTTTTTTTATTTTCATTTACTGACTTGAATTTGTTATAATCACAGTATGTGGAAACAATAGTCAGTGATAGAAAAGAATCCACTTGGCCAGGCATGGTGGCTCATGCCTTTATTCCCAGCACTTTGGGAGGCTGAGGCAGGCAGATCACCTGAGGTCAGGAGTTCGAGACCAGCCTGGCCAACATGGCGAAACCCTGCCTCTATAAAAAATAAAAAAAAAAAATTAGCCAGGCATGATGGTGAGTGCCTGTAATCCCAGCTACTCAGGAGGCTGAGGTGGGAGAATTGCTTGAATCTGGGAGGCGGATCTTGCAGTGAGCTGAGATCGTGCCACTGCACTCCAGCCTGGGCGACAGAGCGAGACTCCGTCTCAAAAAAAAAAGAAAAGAAAAGAAACCACTAGCACCATTCTTTGCTTCCTTTCTTTGAATGTGTCTTGAACTCCATCTGTGCATGTGCTGGGAGTTGTAGACAGTTCCTTCTCATGATTGGAGAACAAGGCGTTAAATACATAGTTATCCAAATGTAAAAGTATGGTTGTGGAAAATGCTATGAATGAAACATACATTATGAGTTAGAGAATCTGATAGAATCACAGTGGGGTCAGGAAGGGATTCCTACGGAAGTGATTTTTCCTGTTTGGCCTTTCTTAAGGGCAGATTATAATTATAAACAGTTAAAACTTTGTTTAAGGAGGCCTGCACTAAGGTGCAGTGGGAATGAAAGGAAGTGGTAGATTCTAGTGACATTGTGAGGAAAGGTGAACTGGTCCTTGAGACTGGTTTGGAGGAGGGGAGGCAGACAGTAAGGGAAAGGAATCCTTCAATAGTTGCTGCCTGTGGAATCGAATCTTGGTGTTGCCATTAATGGTAGTTAGAAATATGAAGAGGAGGCCGGGTGTGGTGGCTCACGCATGTAATCCCAGCACTTTGGGAGGCCGAGGCGGGCGGATCACGAGGTCAGGAGATCGAGACCATCCTGGCTAACATGGTGAAACTCTGTCTCACTAAAAATACAAAAAATTGGCTGGGCATGGTGGCGGGCACCTATAGTCCCAGCTACTCGGGAGGCTGAGGCAGGAGAATGGTGTGAACCTGGGAGGCGGAGCTTGCAGTGAGCCCAGATTATGCCACTCTGCTCCAGCCTGTGTGACAGAGCAAGACTCTGTCTCAAAAAAAAAAGAAAAAAATTATGAAGAGGAGGCAGTTGGAAGAGTAGTTCCATCTTGGCCAGGTTCAGTTGCTGGTGGGCAGCCTACCAGAGAATACTCACAGGCAGTCGTGGCTGCAGATGGGTACCTGAGCATAAACCTTTGGAAAGATGCAGTTTAGGACAGGGGAGGAGAAGGGTGATCAGAAGTATGGGGAAAACCAAGAGTCTGGATGCTCAGGAAGAATCCGCTGGAAGGAGGAGTTTGGTCAGCAGCATCAGATACTGCTGTCATTTTTTAGAAAGATGAAAAGAGCAACAGTCCTTGGATTTAGTGGTTAGAAGGTAGTCTTTGTTGCTTTCTGGAGGACCATGTCAGTGAAGACGCAGAAACTGCATTTCGGGAGAGGATGTGGATGGTGGGGAAGCAGAATTGGGGCTGTTGGAGACCTTGGTGCAGGGTTGTGGTGGAAGGAGGGGATGGAGCAGGGCTAAGAGGCGTGGTTTAGGAGTGGGGAGACGTGAGCAGGTTTGTGGACTGAGGGGAGAGGAGCTTTGGTGGAGGAAAACATTGATGCTATAGGAAAGCAGGAAGATGGAACAAGGTCTTAGAAGAGCTGGAGCTTGGGCCCACTGGTGCAGTGCTCACTTGGAGTTGCACCTCTCTGGCCAACTGTATATGTACTTTTTATAGTCTTTCTCTGGCATATACTTAAGGAACATTTTAGAATGTTTACAAAGAAGGTCAAGCATAGTTAATAAAAAATGGCATGGTTTGAGTGGTATGTTAAGATATTTGAATGGTGATATACCAAAATAAATATTGCATCATGCACATTTGGCTTGCAGTTCATCATTTTTCTGCTCAATTGATTGATGATATGTTTATTACACAATGTGTCTGTGAGTGTCTTGTGCATAGAGATTGTATTAGTCCATTTTCACACTGCTGATAAAGACATAGCTGAGCCTGGGAAGAAAAAGAGATGTTTTTGTTTGTTTGTTTGAGATGGTGTCTCGCTTTGTTGCCCAGGCTGGAGTGCAGTGGTGCGATCTCGGCTCACTGCAACCTCCACCTCCCGGGTTCAAGCAGTTCTCCTGCCTCAGCCTCCTGATTAGCTGGGATTACAGGCACGTGCCACCATGCCCGGCTAATTTTTTGTATTTTTAGTAGAGATGGGGTTTCACTGTGTTAGCCAGGATGGTCTCAATCTCCTGACCTCATGATCCGTCTACCTCGGCCTCCCAAAAGTGCTGGGATTACAGGCGTGAGCCACTGCACCTGGCCAAAAAAGAGGTTTAATTGGACTTACAGTTCCACATGGCTGGGGAGCCCTCAGAATCATGGCAGGAAGTGAAAGGCACTTCTTACATGGTGGCGGCAAGAGAAAATGAGGAAGATGTAAAAGTGGAAACCCCTGATAAAACCATCAGATCTCGTGAGACTTATTCACTATCACGAGAACAGTATGGGGGAAACCTACCCTATGATTCAAATTATCTCCCACCAGTCCCCCACCAACAACATGTGGGACTTACAGGAGTACAATTCAAGATGAGATTTGGGGCCAGGAGTGGTGGCTCACGCCTGTAATTCCAGCACTTTGGGAAGCTGAGGCCGGTGGATGACCTGAGGTCAGGAGTTCGAGACCAGCCTGACTAACATGGAGTAACCCCATCTCTACTAAAAATACAAAATTAGCTGGGCACAGTGGCACATGCCTGTAATCCCAGCTACTCAGGAGGCTGAGGCAGGAGAATCTCTTGAATCTGGGGGGGCGGAGTTTGCGGTGAGCCGAGATCTTGCCATTGTATTCCAGCCTGGGCAACAAGAGCAAAACTCTGCCTCAAAAAAAAAAAAAAAAAGAAAAAAATGAGATTTGGGTGGGGACACAGAGCCAGACCATATCAGAGCTAGAATAAATGTTGAATTTGTTGAGGCTACCTGACATAGAGCATCATGTGATAGTTGTCGATTTTATATAAGTATGTAGTAAAAGGGGCTTGGTTTATTATATTTAAATTCCTTCATGACCTAGGTCAGTTTACAGGCTTGCACCATAATTGTGTATTGTGTCGGGGTGTGATATAAGGCACTAATCTGGACACCTTGAACGTGTGTATATCAGATGAATTTCCATCCCAAAATAACATAGTTGTATTTTTTAAATCCTTTTATTCTTTTTCTTCCCCCCTTTGTTATAGGTGAATGCATCCCGGCAGGGTATTGAAGATGCTGAAGAAACAGCAAATCAAACTTGTGGTGGGACAGATTCCACGGAAGGATTGTGTAATATGGTTAGCAGTTTATTAATGAAAGTGGAGATGAAGTTTATCATAATCAAAGGGTGGAAACAGCTAGTGCTGCTCATCTTTGTAAGGCTTTAGATTGAAAGAATTAAAATAGTTTAGCAAACTTGAAAACGATTCCTTATATGAGTAATTTGCTGCCATGTCATTTAGCACTTAGCATAATTGGTCTATTTCCAAGGCTTTGAATTTGGGTTTGGTGAAGTATGTTTCACTTTTGTTCTTGTAACTTTCAGTGTTTGTTTTTGTAAGCCAGATGCTGTCTGTGAGGGCGTGGCTAATAGAAAAGCATACCTGTTTAATTTCTGCATTTTACCACTTGTACACTTTATAGCATTACTTCTTACGAGTAGCTGGGACCACAGGTTACCATGCCTGGCTAATTTTTGTGTTTTTAGAAGAGGCGGGGTTTCGCCATGTTGGCCAGACTGGTCTTGAACTCCTGACCGCAAGTGATCTGCCCGCCTCCTGCCCCGCAAAGCGTTGGGATTACAGGTGTGAACAACTGTGCCTGGCCCACGTTCCCTTCTCAGTACACTTGGAGAGAAAACAGATTGCTGCCTGCCAGCCCAGCTAGGTGCTCCGAAAATGTCATCCTGCCTTTTGGTCACTAGGTGGTGCTCTTCCCTTAAGCCTTTCTCTATTAAAATCTCATATGGGGTAATTAACAGTATTTCCTTTATTCTTTCCAAGGGTTGAGTTGTAACTAGCCCAAACCAACTTATTAATCTAGAATTTTAAAAACTTTAGGCTTTGTCTTTTCTTCTTCTTCTTCTTCTTCTTTTTTTTTTTTTGGTGGGGGAAACAATATAGAAGGCTTTTCCTTCTCTGCAACGATTTTGTGGCTTCCTAGAGGTCAGGAGAGTGTTGGTCATGGGAAAGAAGGTTGAATTCAGTCTGCCCACATGGGCGTGCCTAGCTTTAGAACAGCGCTATTTAGGAGAAGTTGGAAGTTACACCCTTTGGTGAGAAGCTGTGTCTGTTTTTTTCCATGATTGGCATAATTAACTCAAATACCAGCTGTACGTTAGTCCATATTTCTGTTCATGGTTGAGTTCAGTGTGTCCAGAGACCGGAAGGTGCTTTGCACTCACAGGAGTGCCCATGTGGAGCTCCATGGGATGTGAATTATTGTTGGTCACCAGTTCTGGCTGACATTGGAATCACTTGAAGAGTTTTTATAATATGTGGATTCCAAAGCCCTGTCACAAACCTATTGAATTTGTACCTCCCAGGTTGAATTTTTTGTTGTTTTTTGTTTGTTTGTTTTTTGAGATGGAGTCTCACTCTGTCACCCAGGCTGGAGTGTAGTGGCATGATCTCAGCTCACTGCAACCTCTGCCTCCTGGGTTCAAGTGATTCTTCTGCCTCAACCTCCCAAGTAGCTGGGATTACAGGCACCTGCCACCACGCCTGGCTAATTTTTGTATTTTTAGTAGAGACAGGGTTTCTCCATGTTGGCCAGTCTGGTCTCGAGCTCCTGACGTTGGGTGATCCACCCGCCTCGGCCTCCCAAAGTGCTGGGATTACAGGCGTGAGCCACTGTGCCTGGCCCTGGGTTGATTTTGATGCTTAGCTAGGTTTGGGATCCATTGGATTATTTAACACCCGAGGTGCCTTTTGTTTTTAATGATATTCTCTCAACGTGTTTTAAAAATGAAGCCCATGAGATAGTTATGAGATAGTAGAACTTTTCCCTACATTGGTGAAGTAAAAATCTTGGGATTTTGATAGCCAGATTATCTTAGGCATTAAAAAATATCACACCGACGCCCTCTCTTTTTATAGGGATTCGCAGAGGCATTTTTGGAACCTCTTTGGAAAAAATTGCAGGATCCAAGTAATCCTGCCATCATCAGGCAGGCTGCTGGAAATTATATTGGAAGCTTTTTGGCAAGAGCTAAATTTATTCCTCTTATGTAAGTAGCCTAATTTTCTGAGTACTTTTTAATATCATGCTTTAAAAAGAGTATAGCATTGTCTCAAGTCAGAAATATCTCCCATATGTTTTTGGCATGTTTTTAAAGTGAATAAAATTCCTACTCTGTGCAAGATGTTTATATTTCTAAGTGGTGATTTTAGAATAAAGTGTCTCCTTTTCTATATATAAAACCCTGTATGTAAGGCTTTTGTCATCTCTTTTGTGTGGTTGCACTTAAAGATCCATTTGTTTTGTGGATAGAGGACAGTGTTGTATACTGTTTTGATTCTTTTTGTAGGTTTGTCATTTTTTCATTTGCATTCCAAATCTATTGTATCTGTTAAAGCTGAAGAAAAACCCTTTTAAAGGTAATAGACCTATCTAGGAGGCCAGTTTCTTGCAGTGGCCCATGAAGATATCTTTGGACAAGGATGCTGTTGAAACCCTTCCCCGAGAACAAAATTATTCACCATAGGACTTGACTGGATGCATCAGGGAATACTGAAGTCCACCAGACTGTCTTTCTCTTGAGAGGTGTTGGTGAACATGTCCTATTTGGCCAATCACCCTAAGAGGGGTGCCTTTGAGATGGTTAGGAGAACCTGCTTTCCATCCCTTGGGACGTTCTTAGGGGCTCACCTGTTCCTAGAAGGTCAGAGCTACTCTGCCTTGTAATTGGAAGGTTGTCTTCCTACGCACTCATCCTTATCCTTCCTTTCTTTGCTTTTCCTCTGTACCCATGGGTATTATTTAAAGAAACCTATGAACTTACTTAGCATGGTTTGTAATGAAAGGCAGTTGTGTGTTTTTATGTTATTCTGGTTTTTTTATGAAGTGTAAAGTTGATTTGAATTTTTCTTTCCTCTAGTACTGTAAAATCATGCCTAGATCTTTTGGTTAACTGGCTGCACATATACCTTAATAACCAGGATTCGGGAACAAAGGCATTCTGCGATGTTGCTCTCCATGGACCATTTTACTCAGCCTGCCAAGCTGTGTTCTACACCTTTGTTTTTAGACACAAGCAGCTTTTGAGCGGAAACCTGAAAGAAGGTCAGTGTTGTGGGAGTGCTGGACTGGATTTTCCTTGTGTTCTTGTCACCCTTCAGAATGGTGATTCATTACTTTTTTGAGATTTTTATAAAAACTGGATTCAGAAAACTGCATGTACACTCAAACTTTTAATAATAATTTCAAGCAGCTCATAGGCCCCTACAAACCCCTTAAGATAGATTTGAGCTTGAGAACCCTGCAAACCCCTTAAGATGGATTTGAGGTTAAGAAAGAGGTTTCTGCCTTTGAAGGTTTGAAATGTGAAGATGTCTCCAGAGGTGAGGCTGAGCCCTGGGCTGTGCCAGCGCCCTGTACAAAGCTTCATTTGGATGCACCTTCTCTTTGTTGTCCTTGTAACAGCCCAGTAAATGGCAGGTATTCTCCCTTTACAGACAGCACCAAAGCACAGGAAAGTCATTTTCCCAAGATCACATGGTTACTGGCAGGATTAGAAAACTGAAGCCAGGTTCAGCTGACCCTAAAGTTTGAGTTTATATAGATTAAACTCTGCCTGAAGCCTTGAGACTTAATTGACCAGTATTGTTTTGCTAATTTCTAAGAGTTATAATTCAAATCTATCAGTTGAAACTTACTAGATTAGCGTATTTTAGTTGAAGAGAGTCTCCAAGAACAGTGTTTATAAGTCATTGTAAATTGTTCTGTTTATGTTTATGAATAATTCATATGGTTTTGTGGGTCACTTCCTCTAAACCAGGGTCTGTCAACCCTGCATGATTGCCATTTGGGCTGCATCATCCTTCATCGTCGGGGGCTGTCCTCTGCACTGTAGGATGTTTAACAGCCTCCACCTACTAGCTGCCAACAGCAGTCCCTGACCACCCCCAGCTGTGACAACTAAAAGTGTCTCCAGACACTGCCAGGTGTCCTCTGTGGGGGTTGCAGTCTCCTTAGGTTAACAGCCACAGCTCTAAACTGAAAGTTGTACGTGTTGCATTATATATGTTTACCTACATCCTACATGCTTCTAAAAGATGTTGTATGAACTAGTAGGATGAGGTTTTATCACAAGGTAAGTAAATACAAGCTCTGCTTTTCTTTGTATAAATTAATGCCAGGAATCTGAATTAAATATCTTGTTTTTGTAAGCAGTGACATCCCATTTAGGTAATTTTTATTGAAATATGCATCAAAGAAACTCCTAAGAAAATATACTTAAGTACAAGTTGGTCAGCTTGTCTCTTAAAATAAATGTGATGTCTTTATTTTACTCATGTAGGAAAGAATTGTATTCATTAAGTCTAAGAAAGTGGCTTCTGTCTAAATTTGCCGTCCGTCGAGGTAGAAGGCAAATTTGGAGTTTTCTTGTTTAGAAAAAAAACTACAGATGACTACTGTGCACCTGAAAACAGCACTCAGCTTCACTAACAAGACATGCAAGCTAGAATCAAATTGCTGTTTTGTTTTGTTGCCTGTCGTGATTGTTAGCTGAAACCAAATCACAAGGTCTTTTTCTCCCTCTGTATTATCTCAGCATACACTGAGCTTACAAACGTATGAACTTCGTGTTGTCGTGGAATCTTACAGCCTGCTACTTCCTAAGTTTTCTTTAGAGAAGCTGCCTTGGTGACCAATGAATGTGGTTAGCCTAGTGATACTCTTCTGGGCCATATTACTGTGTGACTATCTGCATGGACCTTTATTTAAAGCATTTCTGCAAATAATTTTTTTAAGTTTTTTTTAAATGTGTGATAATTTGTGCTTTTAAAGATATCTTACACTTTTCACTTATTTGTACCTTTAAAAAATCTTTTTTTTTTTAAACCAAAGGTTTGCAGTATCTTCAGAGTCTGAATTTTGAGTGGATAGTGATGAGCCAGCTAAATCCCCTGAAGATTTGCCTGCCCTCAGTGGTTAACTTTTTTGCTGCAATCACAAAGTAAGTTATTTACGCTTTCTTGATGGGAGTTATTTAAAATATTTTTATTTATGTTTATCTAGTATTGTAAGAGTCTGTTAAATTTCTATGAAATTAGTAACATTATAAAAGGCCAGGTGTGGTGGCTGACACCTGTAATCTCAACATTTTGGGAGGCTGAGGTGGGAGGATTGCTTGAGGCCAGGAGTTAAAAGACCAGCTTGAGCAACATAGTGAGACCCTATCTCTATAAAAAAATTTTAAAAATTAGCTGGGTGTGGTTGCCTGTGCCTGTAGTCCCAACTACTCAGGAGGCTGAGGTAGGAGGATCACTTGAGCCCAGGAGGTCAAGGATGCAGTGAGCCCTGATTGTACCACTGCCTTCCAGTCTGGGCTCCAGAATGAGACCCTGTCTCTTAAACAAACAAAAACAACCCAGTCCTTGCAGGAAATACTGTGATACAGCTATTGTTTTTATACTTTGATGGCATTGGAAATTACTACTACTTCTTATCCAAAGGGCAGCACTTTGAAATAAGTATGGCAACCAGTAAGCTGAGAGGGGCAAAGCCATAGATGCTTATTAGAGTGACTCCTGTAATAGTAATAGAAATAAACTGGACATGAGGCAAATGTTGACCTGTAAGAGATTGGTTTAGAGAGTTCTGTTCTCTCAGATCTGGTAGCTATGGCTAATCCATAGCCTTTCCTCTGTGCCAGGCAGTTCTAAGCACTTTACATAGAACTAATTTGATCCTCAAACAACCCTCTAGGATGAAACCCTGTTTATCAACAGGGAGGTGGAGGTACAGAGAGGTGAAATCACTTGCCTAAAGTCATAGAGCTAGACTGGCAGCACAGATTTATATGTAGTCTGGCTCCTTTGTAAGCTTTCACTAAGTTATTCTGCTTTATGGAGAAAGCAAATTGGAGAATTGAATATTCAATGAGGATATTTAGGCCAGATCATAGCTTAAAATCTTCAACAGATAAGAGCCAGCAGCTTGCTGAGCTCTGTCAGCCTCTTTAGTTCTCCTTTGCTAGGCGTCTGGTTCAAGGTGTCCTCTCTTCTGAGTCTCAGTGATAGTAAAGGATTAGGAAAAGGCATAAAGAGACCAATAAGCAACGGCGGTGAGTGGGTGGAGGCTTCAGCACTTTGGTTAAGATGGTGAGCAGCTCAAAGAGTGAGGATGGATGAAGCAAAGCAGAGGCCGCTGCCCCTGGTATGTTCTCGGGGTGGGGACAGAGGACTGCATTTGTGAACCATCTGGTCCAGGGGCTCTCGATTTGGGGTTGGCATGCACATTGGAGGGACAGAGTGTGATGCGATGTGAGGCTAAGAGCAGGGGATTGAAATAAAAGTCTCTGCCTAGGTACAGATATGGTAAATAAAGGCGTGTACCATTCTGTAGCTGTTGCTTTTGCCTGCTTGATGCTTTTGAGATTGAACCATATTGACACAAAGCTTTATTTTGATTTTAACTGCTGTGTTATGTTCTGGGAATCTTTTTTATTGAGTCTTTGTTGGGATTTCATCTGTTAGTTTTTGTCTTTTTTTTTTTTTTTTTGAGACAAGGTCTTGCTCTGTCACCCAGGCTGGAGGGCAGTGGTGTGATCTTAGCTCACTACAACCACCACCTCCCAGGCTCATGCACTTCTCCTGCCTCAGCCTCCCGAATAGCTGGGATTACAGGCACCTGCCACCACACCCAGCTAATTTTTGTATTTTTAGTAGAGACGGGGTTTCATCATGTTGACCAGGCTGGTCTCAAACTCCTGAGCTCAAGTGAACCACCTGCCTCAACCTCCCAAAGTGCTGGGATTACAGGTGTGAGCCACCGTGCCCAGCCGGCTGTGTTAGTGTTTTAGTGCTCAGGAACATTCTTGTGTGTGGGCACACGCTTCCTTGTCACACACCCGGAAGTGCGGTCAGCTGCGGGGTTGTAGGAGATGCAGATCTTCAACTTTACCTGATAGTGCAAACCACCCTCCAGTGTGGTTTTGCTGATGTGTCCTCCACCAGGTGGAGGGGTCAAGTGCTGTGAGCCTTGGCTAACAGGACAGAAATCAAAGTATGTGGCTTGAAGTTGCCATGGTGACCTGAGAACCTGACATGGAGAGTGACAGAAGTGAGATCTAAGTCCTCATCTTGGAGAAGCTGTCCAATAGATAATTTTTCAAGTTGCTCAATCATTTAGAGACAACTACTGGAAAAATTAAAAACATAATTGTCTTTATGTTATGTTTTCTTCTATGCATTTAACTGTTCTCACTCGGCATGCCTAGTCCTTTCTGTGCCTGTTTTTGAGGTCATGACTTAGTCAACCCCTTGTCCCTCCTTCAGTAAAGGCTTATTTCTTCTTCAGTGCTTCTTCAGCAAGTCTCTTCACCAACCGCTATTTCCTCCTGAGTAACTCCTGAATCCCTTTTCCACCAACCTTCTAATTCTTTTGCAAACAGTAAAAATAAAGACACCTATAGTTATGTAATCTAAGAGTTTTGCCTTGCAAACATTTATTTTTAATGAATAATATCTATTACTCATTAAAATATAAGCCCAGTTTCACATTCTGAGTGATAGCCACGTTTTCTTTCTCCTTAGCAAACTTGCAGATAGAAGACCCATAGAACGGTACCCTAAAAGTGTTACTTTCTGCTTTATATTGTTATTTTTACTAGCACTTGTTATATTCAGCAATTTCTCTGGTAGGTACAGTTGTCACATGCAGCTCACATCCGCAGAGTCACTCCAGCATGTTAATGCCTCTGTCTGTGTTGTTTTTTTGTTCCACAGTAAGTACCAGCTCGTCTTCTGCTACACCATCATTGAGAGGAACAATCGCCAGATGCTGCCAGTCATTAGGAGTACCACTGGAGGAGACTCAGTGCAGACCTGCACAAACCCACTGGACACCTTCTTCCCCTTTGATCCCTGTGTGCTGAAGAGGTAGGTACTTTTAAACATTGACGCTGGAGGAGGTGGATTTTTTTTTTCTTTTTGAGACGGAGTCTCGCTCTGTCGCCCAGGCTGGAGTGCGGTGGTGTGATCTCGGCTCACCTCAAGCTCCGCCTCCCGGGTTCACGCCATTCTCCTGCCTCAGCCTCCCAAGTAGCTGGGACTACAGGCACCCACTGCCACGCCTGGCTAATTTTTTTGTATTTTTAGTAGAGATGGGGTTTCACTGTGTTAGCCAGGATGGTCTCGATCTCCTGACCTCATGATCCGCCCGCCTCGGCCTCCCAAAGTGCTGGAATTACAGGCGTGAGCCACCGCGCCCGGCCAGGAGGTGGATTTAAACGTGATACATGTTTGCTTTTCCCAAAATTGGGATTTAGGGCTCTTCACCAGAAGTGGCCCTTCCTCGCTGTTGATGAGCATCTCGTGGTCTCCCTGTGTATATTTCACAGATGCAAAGTAGAGGATTTCTAGCAGGACTTGCTGAGTGGTGCAGGCACCCCAGAGTGGGTAGATCTTTGCCTCACTAGGAGCCAGACTGACATCAAGGGTTTTTTGGGTTTTTTTTTGTTTTTCTTTAAACTGTTATTTAAACATGTAAGGTTATGGGGATAATGGTGCCAGGATAGGGGAGGGTGCTGTCTTTTCTTGCTTCATAATTTTCTGCCAAGTGTCTTGTTCCTTCCTCTAGAGACCACATCCCATTCTGTTGCACAGGATAAACAAAAAACAAACAATTGGCTGGGCGTAATGGCTCATGCCTGTAATCCGAGCACTTTGGGAGGCTGAGGCGGGCGGATCACTTGAAGTCAGGAGTTCAAGACCAGCCTAGCCAAGATGGTGAAACCCTGTCTCTACTAAAAATACAAAAATTAGCCGGGCATGGTGGTGGGCGCCTGTAATTCCAGCTACTCGGGAGGCTGAGGCAGGAGAATCGCTTGAACCCGGGAGGTGGAGGTTGCAGTGAGCCGAGATTGCACCACTGCACTCCAGCCTGGGTGAGAGAGTGAGACTCTGTCTCAAAAAACAAAAAAAAAAACCAAAAAGCGATTTATCTAGATGAGTTATTCTAGAAAACCACTGGGCCAGCCTTAACTTGGCACTTGTATAAGGAAGCAGGATTTTTGCTTATTATGGTATCTAAAATAACTAGCAGCATCATGACCATCTGGGGTTGTCTGGTCCCTGAAGTCTTGGTTGACTGAAACCAGATTAGTTGTTTTTCCTAGACTTACTTTTCAGCAAATTACTACAGAAATATAAAAAAGAGAGTTCCAGAATATTGCGGTTTCATTTCCATTTGGATATACTGTATCTAACTGACTTGTCAGTTTTTGTAAAGTTTAGAAACAATTTCACATGAAAATGGAAAGATGAAAAATGGTAGTTCAATACTCCATCGACATGAGTGAATGAACTCTTATACAGAAAGAGCCACATTAGTTACAGCATTTACATAGAGGGTTGTTTTTTTGTTTTGTTTTTTTCTTTTTCTTTTTTTTTTTTTTGAGACAGTCTCGCTCTGTCGCCCAGGCTGGAGTGCAGTGGCATGATATCGGCTCGCTGCAAGCTCTGCCTCCCAGGTTCAGGCCATTCTGCCTCAGCCTCCTGAGTAGCTGGGACTACAGGCGTCCGCCACCACACCCGGCTAATTTTTTGTATTTTTAGTAGAGATGGGGTTTCACCGTGTTAGCCAGGATGGTCTCGATCTCCTGACCTCATGATCTGCCCACCTCAGCCTCCCAAAGTGCTGGGATTACAGGCGTGAGCCACTGCGCCCAGCCAGGTTTTTTTAAATGTAATTATTTAAGCTGTAGTTTTCACTTCTTGGTTTTGGGTAATAGATCTTGTGAGAAAAGATCCAAACCAATTTTGACTTCTGCTGAAGTATTTAACTTGACTTTGAAATGTGATCTTTGTTGACAGGTCAAAGAAATTCATTGATCCTATTTATCAGGTATGGGAAGACATGAGTGCTGAAGAGCTACAGGAGTTCAAGAAACCCATGAAAAAGGTCAGTTTGTGATTGATTGAGCACACTCTCGGAATCTCCTTTCTGGTTCCAGGTCACAGTCAGATAGTGATAGTAAGTGGCAAGTCGCTCATGGGTGTAATCCCCACACTGTAGGGGGTCAAGGCCAGAGGATTGCTGGAGACCAGCCTGGGCAACACAGTGACACCCTGTTTCTACAAAAATTTTTTAAATTAGCTGGGCGTGGTGGTGCACACCTGTAATCCCAGCTCCTCTGGAAGCTGAGGTGGGAGGTCAAGGCTGCAGTGAGCTGTAAATGCAGCATGGCATTTCATCCTGGGCAACAGAGCAAGACCCTGTTTTCTTTAAAAAAGCACACCGAAACCGTGTCTTACTCATTCTGCCTTTATAAAATTCCAGGCCCAGGTTTTGTTGTTATTTAAAGAGTCTATGGCTTTTTTGGATAAATTGCTTAAACCAGACACTTCACATACTGACATGTGAGAAGCGAAGGTTAATTACAAATTAGCTGAACAAATTTAGATCTTTGCCACTTGCGCATTCTCACCAAGTAACAATCTCCAGTTGACTCATGTTGAAATTGCCCCAGCAGTTTACATTAGTTTTATAGATCTTCATGAATGGGTGGTGAAGACGCAGGTTGCAACATACCCTCCAAGTCACATGAGGTGGAGCTGAGACAGTTACAGTTAGAGAGGAAAGTTAGAATCCAGTAATAAAGAATTTCGCTGCTCTGTTGCTTGGGAGCACATTTGTTCTCTCATTAAAAGCAGCTTCAAGATGGCTTTTTTGTTGTTGTTTTTCATAAGTAATCATTAATAAGTAATCATTGGAAAGCCCCACCACACCCAACCAATTAGCTGCGTGTGGTGGCAGGCATCTGTAATCTCAGCTACTCAGGAGACTGAGGCAGGAGAATTGCTTGAACCTGGGAGGCGGAGTTTGCAGTGAGTTGAGATTGCACCGCTGTATTCCAACCTGGGCGACAGCGCCAGACCCTGTCTCAAAAGAAAAAAATAATAATAATATAAAGTGACCAGGTGTGTTGACTCACGCCTGTAATCGCACCACTTTGGGTGGAAGCAGGAGGATCACTGGAGCCCAGGAGTTTGAAACCAGCCTAGGCAACATAGTGAGACCCTGTCTCTATATTAAACACACACACACACAAAGGCAGCCAGACTATGCACTAGGAACTGCCCTGGGAATCCCTTTGTGTTCTCACAACAATCCCATTTCACAGATGAAGAAATCAAGGCACAGAAATATTAAGTAACGTGTCCAGGTGCGGTGGCTCACACCTGTAATCCCAGTACTTTGGGAGGCTGAGGCAGGCAGATCACAAGGTCAGGAGTTCGAGACCATCCTGGCCAACATGGTGAAACCCTGTCTCTACTAAAAATACAAAAGTCCTAGGGGTAGTCAGCCGCTCTCACCCCTCCCTCATCCTCTCACACAAGAGTCATTTACTGTCCCTCCAGTTATGCCCAGTCACGCAGACACTCTGCTGCTCAAATGCCCTCACCCCATCCTCAGCCTGCTCCCAGGCCACCTCCCTCCAGAATCCACCCTGCCTGCCAGGTGGCCATAGGGACCCTCGCCATACTGTCTGCTTGTGGCAGTGCCCTCCGGCCTGGGGGGTCTTCCAGAGCAGATCTCTGGCCAAGCGCAGTGGCTCATGCCTGTAATCTCAGCACTTTCAGAGGCTAAGGCAGGTGGATCACCTGAGGTCAGGAGTTCGAGACCAGCCTTGCTAACATGGTGAAACCCCGTCTCTACTAAAAATACAAAAATTAGCCAGGTGTGGTGGTGCACGCCTGTAGTCCCAGCTACTCAGGAGGCTGAGGTAGGAGAATCTCTTGGACCCGGGAGGTGGAGGTTGCAGTGAGCCGAAATGGTGCCACTGCACTCCAGCCTGGGCAACAGTGAGACTCTGTCTTAAAAAAAAAAAAAAAAGATCTCTGATATAAGCTCCCCTGGCACACAGTGAGCTTCCAGAAATGGTCCCTCGACCTCTAAATCCACCAAGACCCAGGGAACACGCCCACTCTGAGCACCCTGACAATGTCCCAGTCCCAACACGGTACCCTGAAGCTGTCCCCAAAGTTTCCCCTGCCACACTCCCTGACCACACTCTGGTATCTCAGAGCCCTAGCAACAGCCCTATAGAGGGAGGGTTCTAGGCATGGGGCAGGCATGAGCACTGCTTATAACCAAGCAAAACACTCCCTCTGTGCCAACATAGGTGGGGCAGGTCACGCTGGGGTCTGTTTGCCCTGTCTGCCCGCTGCAGCCTCCTTGGGGAGGGCCAGGGTTGTCTGTGCATCCTGTGAGCCCCAGGGTCTATGTGCACATATGTGTGTCTGTGCCTTTCTCTCTCTCTCAGTTTGTGTGTGTGTGTGTGTGTGTGTCTGTGCTGCTCTCTGTGTGTGTGTGTGTGTGTGTGTGTGTGTGTGTACACGGCGCATCTGAATTGTCCTGAGTGCTGTCTCGGGTATCCTTGAGCTGTGTGTGCATGTGTCCCCCTAGCAGTATCTCAGTATTTTTGCCTGTGGGAGCTGCACACCGTGAGCTGCACACCTGAGGGCCAGGTGAGTCTGGGGCTGGTCCTGTGCCTGCGCATCTGTGTGCTGGCGGTGTCTGCATAGTATTCTGTGGCTACATGTATCTGTACACCCCAGAAATGGGCAGTCACCCAGGAGACCTCTCTACAGTGAACCCAAAGGATGGATAGTGGGGTAGGGACAGTATGTTCTTTTTTTTTGGTCACCGGGGTCTGTTGTACAGGGGCACAATATATTCTTCTCCCACCCCCAAGCTGGGCCCTTTCTGCCCCTGCTCCTCCCACCCTCTGGTGTCTCACATCTCAGGGACAGGTGGAATGAAGGATAAGTTCGCGGACCCCAGATCAGGACAACCGGGAAGCTTCCGGGCTGCTGGAGAGGGTCACAGCCGGTTAGGGGAGGGAGCCAGGAGAGGACTCTGTGGCCCTGGGGAAGGGCTGGGCTAGTTCTGGGTCCCTGGGAGGAGTGAGTGGGGGGCCCTGCAGAGGGCTGGGACCCAGAGTGTGGGTGAGCATTAGAAGAGCAAGCTGGGGGCTCTAGGGCAACTAGGAACTTGGAGAAGGATGGGAGGCAGGGCTGCTGGGTCCCTAGGAAGGGCTGGAGGAATCCCGGAATGCCTGAGTTCTGGGAAAGCCCTTTCCTCACTCACCCTCGCCAGACCTGGGGCCAGGTCCAAGCAGCAGCAGCAGCAGCAGCAGCAGGAGCAGCATGATTGGCAGGCACGCAGGTAGCGGCCCCATCGGAGGGTGGCAGAGGTGGGACGGTGCTGCCGGGCCACCAGAGGCAGCAAGCCCGGCGGACAAACACCCTGGCTGCCACGCCCTGGCCCGGCCCCCCCGACCTCACCTTCCCTCGGGGCCCAGGCGGAGCCAGCTAGAGGCGGGCACCTGGGGTGGTGCAATGGCGTCCTGATCTCTGCATCTTGGTCACTGAAGGGGCTCGAGAGGCCGCGAGGCGCTGGGGACAGGTCCGGGAGTCAGGCCCAGGAAAGTCTCCTCGGAATAAGGGAAGAAAAGGCGCTCTTTTGATGTTATTATTCCCCCAGCCCCTCCCCCGCTCACCTAATCCCGTGTGTACAGTGTCATGGAACCTTACCATGTTGTGTGTGTAATCCCCTGTGTGCAGTGTCATGGAACCTTACCATGTTGTGTGTGTAATCCCGTGTGCGGTGTCATGGAACCTTACCATGTTGTGTATGTAATCCCCTGTGTGCGGCGTCATGGATCCTTACCATGTGGTGTGTGTAATCCCCTGTGTGTGGCATCATGGAACCTTACCATGTTGTGTGTGTAATCCCCTGTGTGCAGTGTCATGGAACTTTACCATGTTGTGTGTGTAAGTCTGCTCTGTTAGCAGCTCCGCAGGATTCATTCACAGGTGCCCCCTCCACAGTTGACTCTTCTCTTTCAGAGGGCTCCTGGCATAGTCTGTCTGATTTTTCCTTTATACACAACCCTATAGGGAAGATCCTTGCATATATGTCTTGGCAAATAGATAAGTTCCTGGAAGTAGAATTGCTACATGTGTTTAAAAGTTTGTTAAGACGGTAACAGGTTTTCTAGAAATGTTTTACTAATTCTTCCACGGACAGTGCTTGAGAACAAGTTTTTTCTACACCTTTGCTAAGGCTGGTAATTTTTAAAAATGGTGTTGAAGGCACATGTCTACTTTGAAATCATAACTGTTTGTTTGTTTAAAGGAGACCCTTGAGAAATGAAACCCTAAATTTCAGGAACTTCATCTCTTCATCTGTGAAAACACTTTGTCCACACTTATTGTTTTAAAAAGATTTTTTTTTTTGGCCATAAAGTAGTATATGTTTTATTGTTCTGTTAAGTTTGAAGTGACCAGCCTACCACAGTTAGGTCACTGAGTGTTTCGGTTGCCTGGTTATTCTTTCAGGAATGTTTGAATCGAAATGCTCACAATTTATTCCCCCAGAAGAGAGAATTTTCAGAAATCTCCTAAGAAAGTCTGATGTCCGTTCATATGATCTGTTTGCTTTGTTAGTAGAGAAAACTACCTTTGGAGACTAGTTGTAGCATGGAAGGGGAAGGCAGTAGAAATAGTTTTGGGGTGAGGCGAGCAGTCCCAGGGGAACACGAAGGCAGCATTTCAGGAGTGCTGCTGGTTAGTTTTCCACGCCATCACTGCACATTATTTTACAAATCCCTGTTTCTAGTTCAGAAGGCAAATGACAGTTTCTTTAGAAAATGTAACACTGTAATCTTGTGAAATGAAAGTGTTCCAGTTACATCATTTTCGGTGATTTCAGAACCATTAAAGTTCTGACAGCCTACTTCCCCAATCTCTTTGTAGACTGTGGCCCAAAGAAGGCTTAGAGAAATAATTTTGAATCTTGATTTTGTTCCAACTCTGTTCCTTAAATGCCTAAGAACTGCGATTTCTTGAGTATTTGTTAAAAGCCTACTGTGTCAGCCAGGCATGGTGGCTCATGCCTGTAATCCCAGCACCTTGGGAGGCTGAGGCGGGCGGATCACGATGTCAGGGGATCGAGACCATCCTGGCAAACACGGTGAAGTCTCTACTATAAATACAAAAAAAATACAAAAAATTAGCTGGACGTGGTGGTGGATGCCTGTAGTCCCAGCTGCTCAGGAGGCTGAGGCAGGAGAATGGTGTGATCCCGGGAGGCGGAGCTTGCAGTGAGCTGAGATCGCGCCACTGCACTCCAGCCTGGGCGACAGAGCAAGACTCGGTCTCAAAAAAAAAAAAACAAAACCTACTGTGCACAGAGCTCCAAGGCCTGCCCCAGTACAAAGCCTGCAGTCTCTGACCCAGGAGAAAGTGTGCACAGCTGCAGGTACCTTGATGTGTCAAACACATTTGCATTCATAGTAGGTTTAAAGTACTTTCCTTGTCTCGAAAGTATGCATCTAATAAAGTTTAACAGGATAGTCAAGAAAGTAGAAGAAATAAAAATTTCCCATAATTCTACTGGTTGTAGCAGCTTTTAAATTGTTGACGTGTATGTCTTTCCAACTTTTCCTTATTTTTATTTAAAAGAAAGACTTCTAGGATCATCTGACTTGGCGTGTACCGACTATGGCTTGTGCTTACTCTACCTGTCTGAATGCAAAAATTGTGACTTGCATCAGGCCTGTCACTGCAGTTGATTGATTGTGATATCTTTATTTACTTATTTAAGACAGAGTTTTGCTCTGTTGCCAGGCTGGAGTGCAGTGACGTGATCTCGGCTCACTGCAACCTTTGTCTCCTGAATTCAAGTGATTCTCCTGCCTCAGCCTCCCAAGTAGCTGGGATTACAGGTGCCCGCCACCACGCCCAGCTAATTTTTGTATTTTCAGTAGAGACGGGGATTTCACTATGTTGGCCAGGCTGGTCTCAAACTCCTGACCTCAGGTGATCACTCACCTCGGCCTCCCAAAGTGCTGGGATTATAGGCGTGAGCCACTGCACCCAGCCTGATTGTGATATCTTTAAAATGAACAAGGAGTTCTTTGGTCTAATTCTAAAAGTAATGCATACAAAATTATAAAAAGCAACACATACAAAAAGCAGCAAAGTACAAAGAAGAAAATAAATGTCACTTGCTGTCCCACTACCTGTGGAGTCATTACTGGAGTTACTGCACACCTCTCTTCTGCCGTTATGACGAAACTAGCTCTGTGACCCCAGAGAAGTCCCGTAACCTTCCTGGACTTGTTTTCTTCTCAGCAAACTAAAAGGTTAGAGTAATGAGTACAAGGGTCTCTCTCTCTGTTCTTCCAGGCCTTGTGTGATGACCAGTTTCCAGTGAGAGTAAAGAGCCTTTGACTGAGGTCCTGAGAAACTTTGACTAACCACAGGCACTTGTAGGCATGGATGGAGTTTTAAAAGTTTCATGAAGTGAGAATTCATCTGCAAAGGCTTAGGTGGAGATGGTTGATGCGCTCCCTGCCTGTAAGGAGTCCTGAGGCCGAAGGCAGAGCTGTGTGCTGTACTCAAGGGACACCCCCACCTCAGCCCCTGAGTAGCTGGGACTATCGAGGCTAATAGCTTAAAGTTTTTAACAGTAATACCAGTGTGTGACCAGTGTGTCATAGGTGCTGATAATCAAAACTGTCTCAACCTTAACACACTAAGTGACAGAACCCCGACCCTCCCAGGCACAGCTGAGACCAGCTGCCCCCATCACACAGCAAGCGTCAGGTGATCATCACGGCTTCCCACAGGATAAGCAACTCGGCCCCAGCTCAGGGCGGCCACAGTGTGGTCCCAACCTCCTTCCTTTGTCTAAAATTGACTACAAAAACAATGTCAAAGATAACCTCAAAATCAAAGACCAAAATCGGCTGACAGTGGTCCTTGGCTTTGGATAATTTCCCACCAGGTAGATCAGATTTGACTGCTTTTGCCTAGGACCTGTGAGACGTTCCTGTTAGAACTGCAGGACAATTCAGCATCTTTCAGTTTTAGAGTTTTGAGATGAATCATCTAGTGTGTACAGGCTTAAAGGCATGGACACTCTTTTGTTTTCCTGTTAAGATCTTCTTCGGAATGTCAATCTATGTAACACGTCTGAGGGGAGTTGCTTTGGTGGAGGTGGAGGCAGGGACCAGAGGGGACTGTGCACTTGGCTTTCCTCTAGCACCTGGAGAATCTGAATGCCAGCCAGGAGTGCTTCATCCACATCGGTGGGCAGCCTTGTGTGTAAGGTGCTGGGAGGGCGGTCTGCTGTGGGGTGGGTGCTGTGACCTTGTTGGTGTCACAGTATAAACAGGTGTGAGTTGAGACCCTTCCAGGAATGCCTTCCCGAACAAGGCGGCATTTGAGTGGGGCTGGACAGAAGGTGGTTAGATTTCCCTGGTGGAGGTGGCTGGAGGGTTGGTAGTATGGGAAGGGCTGGGGCACAGCACCAGCAGAGCGGGGCAGGTGTCATCTGGCCACAGTGAGGTCATCCTCCTTGGCTGTGGTGTTGGTGCCCTTGAAAGCAGATGGTGTGCCAAGGTGTGCAAGTGCTGAAAGGCATTCCCAGTGGCCAGCATTCAGATTTCTGATTTTTTTCTATCAGAAATGTTACAGTAAGCGTGCTCATATGTATGCGTGTATATAATATCTATTCTTATATGCTGGCATTCATTTTTGTAAATAGTCACACACTGGTATTACTGTTAAAAACTTAAAGCTATTAACCTGGATAGTCCCAGCTACTCGGGCTGAGGTGGGGGGTCCCTTGAGTACAGGAGTTTGAGTCCAGCCTGGGTGACATAGCAAGACCTCATCTCTTAAAAAACAAAAAACAAAAAACAAACAAGATGATTAATATTAACCCAGAGTCCGTATTTGTTGCTTAGTGAAGAAGAAGGCTGCAGACAAATCTGTTGATGAGGTAGATGGTCTCGCACCTCCCACATGTATGCCATTTGCTTATCTCTGTGTGAGCATGTAGAGTAGAGTGCGGTAGGAGTGCACTAGACAGTTCACACTGTCATTTCAGGCAAGGAAATGAGAAGAAAAAAACACTCATGGCACAATGTACAATCTTTAACAAGAACTGTTGACCTTAAACTTCTATCTATAACTGCAAATATGTAAATTTTTAAAAATTGACTAGGTCTAAGGAAAAGGACTAGAAGGGTCACAGACAGATAGAAATGTGATTTGCAGAGATGAGGCAATTGTGGCCGATTTTGGTCTTTGATTTTGAGGTTATCTTTGACATTGTTTTTGTAGTCAGTTTTAGACAAAAGGAAGGAGGTTGGGACCACACTGTGGCCGCCCTGAGCTGGGGCCGAGTTGCTTATCCTGTGGGAAGCCGTGACGATCACCTGACACTTGCTGTGTGATGGGGGCAGCTGGTCTCAGCTGTGCCTGGGAGGGTCACTTAGTGTGTTAAGGTTGAGACTGTTTTGATTATCAGCACCCATGACAATGTGATATTCAGTGTATTTTTTCCCCTTTTAGTTCTGGACCTGCAGATAGAGTGGCTTTGATTTTGGAATGAGGTGACCAACAGATAAAACTTTATTTTAAAGTTGGGAAGAAATCATTATTATCGATTGGGTTTTATCGTGGGTTTTCTCAAACCAAACAGGGCAGCCCCACAGAGCATTGAGTCAGAAGTCAGAAGCTTGCAGGTTTGGAGTTAGGACTGACTCAGTGGCACATTAATTACCCAGTGTCTGGGCTTTTCTTGGGATTAAGGAGTTATCCTATTTTTCTGCCTGACTGAGAATAAGTTTAAAAAGGTAAAATATGAAATAGGTTCTGCTGTTTCTCATTCAACCTTAAGGTGTCAGCACTGTTTACTATCTTAATGTTAAAATAATTCTGTAAAACTTTTCATGTTAAACATTTTTTTTCTCTGTCACTGATTTCAGTTGTTCTGGAGAATCATGTAGCGACAGATGAAGACGAACCTGCTTTGAAATGCCAGCGACTAGAAATCAATTGCCAGGATCCATCTATAAAGGTAAAAATCTGACTCTGTTCTGTGATGTGTAGTGCACTGCAGTGTTCTGTGATGTGTAGTGTGCTGCAGTGTTCTGTGATGTGTAGTGCATTGCAGATTTCAAGGGCTGCTATAACAAATTACCATCAATGGGATGGCTTACAAATGTAGCCTCTCAGCTGTGGAGGCCAGAGATCCAAAACCAAGATGCAGGCAGGGGCTCGCTCCCTCCAAAGGTTCTACAAGGTGGATCCTTCCTGCCTCTTCCAGCTTCTAGTGGCTCCGGCCCTGCCTCAGCTTGTGGGGCTCCTTCCAGCTGTGCCTTCCTCTTCATGTTGCTGCCACCTCTGTGTGTCTGTGACTGTTTCCCCTTCTCTCCTCTAGTAAGGACTTGTCATTGGATTTAAGGCCCACCCTAATCCAGGTTGATCTCATTGACTAAATTACATCTACACAGACCCAAAGAGTTTCTAAATTACATCTCCACAGTTTCCAAAGAGACCACATGGGTAGGTTCTGGCGGTTAGGATGTGGATATATCACTTTAGGGTGTGGCTATGTCACCAGGCAGCCTGCTACAGAAGAGTGTGAGCCATTTTTTCTCTTGAAGAGCACAAAGAGTAAGAATTGTTTACCTTGAGATGCTGCTGAAGGAGGCATCTTCCCACACACCTGCAGGCCCATTTTGGATGGAAGGAAAGTGAAATTTCTACCAGTGATGAATGACTTCTGTGTCTGCCATTTAAGTCACTTAGATTCTAAAGTTTACTAGATGGGGTTCTTGGGAACTGCTCATTCAGTTAATTATTTTTGGATCTTTGAATTTGCTTGGTTGGTTCCAGTGTTTGCAGTCACAGAGGTAAATATCGGCACATGTGAGAAGGTTATGAGAGCAACACAAAACCAAAGTCACTTTTCATATAATTCCTCTACTTACACAGGGTGTCTATTTGGTAATATTTAATTTGTTTTGTTAACAAGGAGAAGCAGTGTAAATGTGTATGAAAAACTTACAAATAAATTCACTGTAAAATGCCTATTTCCAACCAATGGATAGGATGTGGCTCTTTTAGTAAACACTGCGTTATCATTTCCTAAATAAAACGCAGTTGTGATTTTATCACAGAAGACACATCTATTACACATAGCACAGAAATATATAAAGTGGGCATGGAAGTGGCCCTGCCTTTGTCCTTGTCCCACTGTTGAGAAGAGGGTGGGCCCCCGGTTGAATGTGACTTGCGTAGAGTCGTGTGCGTGGCTCTAGGTTGTTTTATTGGTATATAAGAGTGATTTTTCCCAAAACCCCAGGCAGAATCATTGGTAATTCAGAATTAAAATAATATGGGTGTACTGTTTAAAGAATTTGAGAGCCAAACATTTGATGTTCTCTGGTTGTTGAAAATAGCGGGGTTATCAGTGGCCATTCAGGGATTCAGCCACCTATTGTTGCTTTTCAAGACGATGCATGTTTGTCATGCCATGGACCGTGCCTCCTTTGTAGATAAGCTGATTGAGTGTCATCACGTGGGCTTGGGTCCACCTGATGCCGTGGTTCCTTCCCTCTCTCACACGCGCCTTAAACAGAGAGTAGTCAGTCAGGGAGGGTGAGTTTCAGTTGGTTTCTTTAGCTCCTGTCTATATCAGTGCCCAGTGGTGAATCTTGCCAGGAGAGGTGGTGACCTGAGAAAAGGTGAGTTGTTGGGCAATATGTGGATTTTCCCTCCTGCAGTGCTGTCCCTGCCACTATGTACACCAGGTTTCCATGCCAGCTACATGTTGTAGGATATCACTGCAGTTTTGATATTCTGCAGATTCCCTTGAGATCAGAAAGGAGAGTGGGTGTAAGCAGTGTTGTAGGTCAGCTGCAGTTAGTGGGAAAGCGGTTCCAGCTTCAATGTGGGCCAGGCTCCCGCTCCCCCGTCAGTGTGGGACGGCCTCCCGCTCCCCTGTGCTGCGAGCTCCACGGCCAGCTCTCAGTGGCTGCCACAGTGCCGCCCCTGCTGTCCCGAGCCTACCTCCCCCTTCCTTCTGATGTGTGCACTTTGGACCCCACACTCTTTAGGTCATGGGCAGGAAAGGAGAGAGAAAAGACAAAACACAAATTCTGTGCTATTTTCAGCTGTTGATTCTTAAGGCAGGTGCCAGCCTTCCTGAGTACTAAGCAGGGCTGGTGGGCACTCCCCCAACCTGTCCCTCCCTAGACCCGAAGGAGTGTCCTTCTGTCTGCTGGTGAGACCTGGTGGAGGGTGTCTCTTTTGCACAGTGCAATTCCTGTGTGATTAACACGTTTCCACGTGTGCTCATGGTGGCTCCTGGATGGGACGGCAGCTAGGGAAATGAAGTTCTTCCCTTTCTGGTTTGTGTGTTTTCTGTTTCTTGGGTTTGGAGTCCGGCACGTGACTGCTCACTGTGGTTACTTGGAGTTAGAAATCCGGAGGAGACTCAGCCGGAAAGGTCAGACGTGGAGCCCGGCTTTGCCAACCACTAGGTGGCAAGCTTGCCGCTCAAGAGCCCCACGGGAGCCTCAGGACCAAATCCCAAGTCAGGGCCACAGGGGGTCCCGTCACCTTTTCCGATTAGGCAGCGGGGTGTGAGGTGAATGTGCGTGGCCTGTGGCTTTTATGCTGTTTCGATGTTAGGTGTAATCTGTTTTTATTGTTGAGAAGATTTGACTAGTTTTATATGTAAATTTACTGATTAATAATAACATATTAAAGTACATTTTTAAAATTAAATGGGCTTAACCAAGAATTGCAACTGCACATAGAAGTGAAACCATGACTAAATCATCACATTTGAAACAGGACGTGTGACTCGTGTGTAAAATGTGAACTTGTTACTCACATGTTTCTGGCTCATAGCTCAGAAGCTAGTTCCAGTGTGGGGATTGTTCTGTCTGAATAGATAGAGTTGAGATCAGGAAATAGCTGTTTGGTGTTTCTTGGGGTTGTCTTCTTACAGTTCAGGAGACCCTTCCTAAAGCCGGTCTTTTCTCACTTCCAGTCATTCCTGTATTCCATCAACCAGACAATCTGCTTGCGGTTGGATAGCATTGAAGCCAAATTGCAAGCCCTGGAGGCTACTTGTAAATCCTTAGAAGAAAAGCTGGATCTGGTCACGAACAAGCAGCACAGCCCCATCCAGGTTCCCATGGTTGCCGGCTCCCCTCTCAGGACAACCCAGATGTGCAACAAAGTGCGATGGTAAGAACAGACCAGGGTGCCGGGGCCTTCAGGTCACTTGGGGAGAAGCGCGTCACCTCCTCGCCCAGGCCCGCAGCTTAGTGGCTCAGTTTGCTGGAGATGCGCAGTGTCTGCCTCAGCAGTCTCAGCAGTTTCTAACTAAAGCTGACTTTAGTTAGACCGAAACCGAACACATGGCATCCTGCCAGGATGACCTGAAGTCATCCTCACCTTTCCTTTCCACATAAAGCCGGCCCATACACCTTTTCTTTGGAACTAACCCACCAGATCTTAGAAGATGTACACGTGCTTCTTTCCTTTTTCCTACTCTACCTGGCTAGTCTTTAGATATGTTTTTCTTCGTATGTGGTGTTTATACATTTCACATGAATATATCAAACTTTTCATTCAAATCTGCAGTTTTTATTTTGCTTATTTTTAAAAAGTAGAGTCTAATGAGTCTAATCTTAGAAGGCTGTGTGGTAGTTTGTGAACTGTTTGAGTGGAACCTTTATGATGTCTTAAGAAGTCTCGGACCTGCTTGGTGTCCACTCATCCAAGGCTTCCTGTCAGATATTCCAGCTGACAGCTCGCG